>NC_000016.10:68501894-68804924 GCF_000001405.40 Homo sapiens | reverse complement strand
TGGGAGGTCAAGGCTGCAGTGAGCTGTGTTCCCACCACTGCACTCCAGCCTGGGTGACAGAGCAAGACTCTGTCTCCAAAAAAAAAAAAAAAAAAAAAAAGATTTTGTTACCTGGATATGTTGTTTTTTAAAAAAGTTAAAAATTAATCAATATATAATGAAAGCGAGGTAAGACTGCCATCTAATTACAGTACCACCTGGTTCCAGAAGGATCCTTTGAACTATAGAGACAAACCAAGGTGAATCTCAAACCAGCTGAGGCATAATCTGCTACCTACCACCCAATATCCACTCTTTGTTTCTGATTAAAAACAAAATAAAAACCTATCTCTCCAATATATATCTCAATTTTGTAATTCTGGAATATACATTCCAGAAATGTATTCATATGAAAGACTACATTCCCTACACTGCATGTGCAGCTAGATGTGGTCATGAGGCTAAATTTTGGCCAGTGTTTCTCAAGTGTTGCTTGTGGAGAATTCCACAAAGGTTTCTTAAAAGGCAGATAGGGCCGGGCGCAGTGGCTCACACCTGTAATCCCAGCACTTTAGGAGGCCGAGGCAGGTGGATCACAAGGTCAGGAGATCGAGACCATCCTGGCTAACACGGTGAAACCCCGTCTCTACTAAAAATACAAAAAATAAGCCAGGCGTGGTGGCGGATGCCTGTAGTCTCAGCTACTCAGGAGGCTGAGGCAGGAGAATGGCATGAATCCGGGAGGTGGAGCTTGCAGTGAGCTGAGATCGCGCCACTGCACTCCAGCCTGGGTGACAGAGCGAGACTCCATCTCAAAAAAAAAAAAAAAAAAAAAAAAAAAAAGGCAGACAGATAACTAAGTAATGAATTTTTATGCTTCTCCTTTCTCCTTCTTATTGCTTAGAATAAAGACATGATTAAAAAAATAAAAAAAGACATGATGACTGGAGCTCCAGCCGCCATCTGGGATCACGAGGTCTCCTTGAGGATGAGGTCATGTGCTGAGGATGGCGGAGCAAAAAGGAAAGGGGGAACCTGGGCTCTTGATGACTATCAAGTCTCCATACTGGGCACAGCTTACCCTAGGGCTTCCTTAACTTGAGGAATAAACCACGACATAAACCACGACAATTGGAGATTTATATAACATGCACTTGAACCCAATCATGATACAGCAGACATGGAGGCAGAAACAAAGTTCAAGAGATGTGGAAGAAAAGTTGAAGACCCAAGCTCAAAACTGTCCCTGCAGCCGGGCTCAGTGGCTCAAACCTATAATCCCAGCACTTTGGGAGGCTGAGGTGGGCAGATCACTTGAGGTCAGGAGTTCGAGACCAGCCTGGCCAACATGATGAAACCCATCTCTACTAAAATCCAAAAATCAGCCAGGCATGGTGATGGGCTCCTGTATTCCCAGCTACTTGAGAGGCTGAGGCAGAAGAATTGTTTGAACCCAGGAGGCAGACGTTGCCGTGAGCCGAAATTGCACCACTGCCCTCCAGCCTGGGAGACAGAGCAAGAATCTGTCTCTAAAAAAATAAAACTGTCTCTGGATCATAAGAGGCTTCCACACACAGCTGCCTGGCAAGGACTCACTGTGCTGAGTTTTTTTCACATGAATGATGGGGACCCTTGGAGACTTTGAGTCAAGGAGCTAAGTTAATATGGTCCTATAGTATTAGATTCCTCATTTTTCTGGTCTAATTACACCAGGGAGAAAAATCAGATCGGGAGGACCATTAAGTTCCAAGAATATCAAGAGTCTTCAGCGAGAAAAGAAGATGCCAATCTTACTGGCCCTGGCACTTACAACATATTCCACACGTCCAAAGCAGTAAGCAGGACACAACCAGAATATCCCCCAGAGAGACATTTCGGTAGGAAGCACCACGGGAGCACTTGAGAAACTGGCTTCGAATAACAACCCCTAGAAACATTCCTGCCAAGAACCCAGGCAGACATCCATCCATCCTTCCATTCATGGCCAATTCATCTGTTTGTCTGTTCCTGGTATGGGCCAGACCTAAGGCCAGGCACTGCAAATACAATGGGGAAGGGTCTTGTGGAGGTTATAGTCTAATGGGGTAAGAGCTGCCCACTGGTTCTTCTCCTTCTTCACCAAGGCTCTTCTTACTGGAAGCACAAAAAGCAAAATGATCAGAGAATCCAGCTCTTGGCCAGGCGCAGTGGCTCACTCCTGTAATTCCAGCACTTTGGGAGGCTGAGGCAGGCAGATCATTTGAGGTCAGGAATTCGAGACCAGCCTGGCCAACATGGTGAAACCCTGCCTCTACTAAAAATACAAAAATTAGCCGGGTATGGTGGCGGGCGCCTGTAATCCCAGCTACTCAGGAGGTGGAGGCAGGAGGATCACTTGAACTGGGGAGGTGGAGGTTGCTGTGAGTCACGCCACTGCACTCCAGCCTGAGCCACAGAGTGAGACTACGTCTTAAAAAAAAAAGAGAGAGAGAGAGAAGAATCCAGCTCTCATTCATTCTTCTTCCCCCAAGAGGGGAGTGGTAAAGACAGCTAACAATGACTAAGTATGCCTTGCGTATTTTTAGCATTTCACATGTATTAATTAATTCCATCCTCACTGTTATCTCCATTTTACAGATAAGGAAGCTCAAGCATAGACAGGTGACGTAATTCCTCCAACATTACCCAAGTAGTAAATAGCACGGCTGAGATTCAGTCCCAGACGGTGTTCAGGCCTTTACCACTCTTCTACACTACCCGATCCCCACACCCCAAAAACTCCAGCAAGAATTATTCAGTTAGGCCAAGAGCCCTCAACTTGGGCTGATTTGTCCCCCCAGGGGCCATGGGCAACATGTGGAGATACTTTGGGTTGTCATAACTGGTGGAAGTGCTACTGGTGTCTAACCAGTTAAGGCCAGGGATGCTTGCTAAACATCCTACACAGTGCACAGGACAACCCCTACAACACAAAATCATCCAGCCCAAAATGTCAACGGTACCAAGGCTGAGAAACCTGGATTAGACAGCGCACTAAAACAACAGCGAACTTCTCAGAAAAATGCCAACATACCTGATGGGGCGGGGGGCGGTGGTGGTGCCCCACTGTATTCAGCGTGACTTTGGTGGAAAACTTTCTGTAGGTGGAGTCCCAGGCGTAGACCAAGAAATGGATCTGTGGGTTATGAAACCGTAGAGGCCTTTTGACTGTAATCACACCATCTGTGCCCACTTTGAATCGGGTGTCGAGGGAAAAATAGGCTGTCCTTTGTCGACCGGTGCAATCTTCAAAATTCACTGCAGGGCAGAAATCACAGAGATTAGGAAATTGGACAGATTAAAGACAAGAGCATTCCTTCTCCAAAGAGCGAACTTGTGGGAAGACTCCCACAAAACCAAACACAACCAAAACAAACCATAATCTGGTGACAGAACAACAAAGCTATCACCATAATGTTCTTCACAACTACAGGATGACTTCCTTGTGCTCTGATTTCTTTCTCATCTTCTTGTCAATTGAAAATATTATCTTGTCTAGAAAGTAACTTCTCGACTGGGCACAGTGTCTCATGCCTGTAACCCCAGCATTTTGGGAGGCCAAGGTGGGCAGATCACTTGAGGTCAGGAGCTTGAGACCAGCCTGGCCAACATGATGAAACCCTGTCTCTACTAAAAATACAAAAAAAAATTAGCCAGGTTTAGTGGCAGGCGCCTGTAATTGCAGCCACTTGGGAGGCTGAGGCAGGAGAATCTCTTGAACCTGTAAGGTGGAGGTTGCAGTGAGCTGAGATTGCGCCACTGCACTCCAGCCTGGGCAACAGAGCGAGACTCCATCTCAAAAAATAAATAAATAAAAGTAACTAAAACTTTAAAAAGTATTAATACTCTAAAACTGGAGAAGCTGTGGTTGAAGCATCTACACTATACATTAGAATCTCAAAGGACTCATTCAAATAGGTAACCATCAAGCTATATGCCAGACACTGTGTTGGACTGTGAGGACAAAATCGTGACGAAGATACTTAAGGTTTCTGCTCTCATTGAGTTTACACTACTGAGGAAGAGATGGACAAAGACAGAAACTTAAAATTTCAGGCAGTGGTAATAGGTAAAAAGAAATTAAAATAAAAGAGGGTGATATAAGAGTGGCAGAGGAGAAGGGAGTTTGCTGAAGATGTAACATCTATTGCATGGTGAGGGCAGGCCTTTCTGAGGTAGGCCCATCTGAGCTGGGACCTGAAGGAGCCAGCCTTGCAGAAGCCTGGCTCAAAGAAGCTTCCAGGCAGAGGGGAGCAGTCGATAAGACCATTCATTCTAGGAAACTCTCAGCTTGGCCTGTTTTCCTCCCTTTCAAATAATTGTCCGATGGAATTTCTATTTCATCCAAGTTCTCTTTTATAAAAATTCCTGCCGTCCTATCTTACAAGGCTAGACAGGAGGATCAGGTTTCTGCCAGAAAGCCCTTGAAGCCATCCCTGACGCCTAGGCAGCAGTTTTCATTTCTTCCATCAGGGGCCACCCTTGCAAACATTTCTGAAGCCAATAGCCCTGCCCTTGCCAGAGAAAAATAAGACCACGTTTGGGGGTGAGAGGGGAAGTAACAGATTTTCTCCATTTTGAAGATGAAACTGAGGCTCACAGAGGTTAAGAAATTTACCTGACATCCTGTAACTATTAAATGGCAGAGCTGAGACAGCCCTTTAACATGGGTTAGTCTCATGGTTGGCTCTTCCTCTCTCTGGAGAGACCCTATTAAGGCCTTGGTTTTTTTTTTTTTAAATAATATTTTCATAGAGATGGGATCTTGTTATGTTGCCCAGGCTGGTCTTGAACTCCTGGACTCAACCAGTCTTCCTGCCTCGGCCTTCCAAAGTGCTAGGATGACAGGCATAAGCCAGTGTGCCCAGCCAACCTTGGTTTTTTTTTTTTTTTTAATTATTATTACTATTAATTTTTTTTGAGACAGTCTCGCTCTGTTGCCGAGGCTGGAGTGCAGTGGCACGATCTCGGCTCACTGAAACCTCCGCCTCCTGGGTTCAAGCAATTCTGCCTCAGCCTCCCGAGTAGCTGGGATTACAGGCATGTGCCATCACACCTGAATAATTTATGTAATTTTAGTAGAGACAGGGTTTCACCATGTTGTCCAGGCTGGTCTCAAACTCCTGACCTCAGGTGATCCATCCACCTCGCCTCCCAAAGTGCTGGGATTACATGAATGAGCCACCACACCCGGCCCCAACCTTGGTTATTTTTAAAAGGAAGATTATATTAGTTTATAGATAGATTATACCTATAATCTATCTATTCAAAGCCCTACCCTTTGAGAAGTGACAGTATGAGAGGGAGCCCCAACCTGAATTCCAGGTGCTCATAAGACTCATTATCTCCTCATGCAACCTGATCCCCTGGGCTGATTATAGGAAATTATAGGAAAGATTGAAAGGTTCTCCAGCTCCAGTCTTGATCTCTAAGACTGAGATCAGAGGCTACCCCATGCAATAGCTAGGAGTCTGCTACCTGGCAAATAAACTGAGCAACGAAACCAGGAAGAGCTCGTTCATACGAAGGGAGCTGTGTCATTCAAAGAGTCGCCCACCTGACCCTCCCTCCCAGTTTGTTTAAAAAATAAAAATAAAAAATCACCACCATGCCCCAACCCCTACCTTCTCAGCCCTTAGACTGGGTCTACAACTCACTTCCGCAACTTGAAGGAAAGGATGGGGTGAGCAGGGGGAGCCGTAATAAATGATGGGAAGACAGAGACAAGGAAAAAGGGCTGGACCCAGGGTCTGCGACTGGATTATAAAACCAGATTCTGCCATGTTCTTGCTGGGTGGCCTTAGCAAATTGCTAAACCTCTATGGGCCTTGGCCTTCTCTACTATAACATAAAGGTTATCACCACTGTTTGAGTCTACCTCTTTAGGGTTTTGTGAAGACCAAGACAGTGAATGGGATGACATTTTCTAAGTTAAAAAGCAATGAAAGTAGAAGAGATGACTATTATTCCTGTGTATTTGGGTAGACAAGTGTTTGTTAACTGAACAGCTGAGCCATAAGATGATGAAAGAATCAAGAAGAAATGCCAAGTCCTTAAAGGATGGGCAGATACCATCCTTTTAAGTCTAAAATAGGAATTTCTTTTCAAACTAGCAAAACCAGATGCTCTTCAAAGAGTCCTCCCCCACCCCCAGCAGAAGTAATGGGGCAACTAGGTCATCTTTAGGGGCTTGTCATGTAAACAGGGAATGAAGGCTGCACTGAATTCCTTTCTCCAGCCTTCCCAAATTTAGACAGTGAAAGTTGAGACAAGCATGATTGGACTTGCCAAGGGTGGCGGCCTGAAAAAATGAAAATGGTTTTGCAAATAACTTGATCCAAGGCACTTAACCTGCTTTGGGGCACCTCATCTTAATGGTGGTTAAGCCCTACCCTTTGAGAAGTGACAGTATGACGAGGAGCCCCAACCTGAATTCCAGGTGCTCATAAGACTCATTATCTCCCCATGCAACCTGATCCCCTGGGCTGATTATAGGAAATTGTAGGAAAGATTGAAAGGTTCTTCAGCTCCAGAAAGGCTCTGGGAAGCTCACTGTCACGCTGGCAAGGGCTGGGTTGTCTCTGAGCCCAGCAAGTGGGAGGAAAGAAGAATGGCAAAATGTTGAAACTGGAGGATCAGAATACGGGGACTGGGTATATTTCAACATGCCCATAAAAAAAGCTAACAAAAATAAAGCTAACAAGGGTCTAAGTGTTCTTTAACCCAGTATGCCCACCTTTCATAAACTTATTTGGTGACTTGGTGTAAAAACCAAATCCCAACAAAAGAAGCTAAGACCCCACTCCCCACTACTGGCCATCTCCATGTGGGAAAGTCTTTTTTTTTTTTGAGACAGAGTGTCACTCTGTCACCCAGGCTGGAGTGCAATGGTGCAATCTGGGCTCACTGCAACCTCTGCCTCCCAGATTCAAGCAATTCTCCTGCTTCAGCCTCCCGAGTAGCGGGGATTACAGGTGCACACCACCACGCCCAGCTAATTTTTGTATTTTTAGTAGAGACAAGGTTTCACCATGTTGGCCAGGCTGGTCTCGAACTCCTGACCTCAAGTGATCTGCCCGCCTCTGCCTCCCAAACTGCTGGGATTATAGGTGTGAGCCACTGTGCCCAGCTGGGAAAGTCTTTTCATTACAATATCATCACCATCATCAAAAACTGCAGCCTCAACTAAGCTTCAATTAGCTTTTATGAACTATTTTATTCAGATTTTATTTAATTTTATTTGTGTGCTTTTTGAGACAGGTCTCTGTCACCTAGGGTGGAATGCAGTGGTGCAAACACTGCTCACTGCAGCCTTGGCTTTCGGGGCTCAAGCAATCCTCCTGCTTCAGCCTCCTGAGTAGCTGGGGCTACAGGTACATGCCACCATGCCTGGCTAATTTTATTTATTGTAGAGATGGGGTCTGACTACGTTGCCCAGGCTGCTCACAAACTCCTGGGCTCAAGCCATCTTCCCGCTTTGGCCTCCCAAAGTGCTGGGATTACAGAAGTGAATGACTGAGCCCAGCCTCATTTTAATTTTTTGAGAAAGGGTTTTACTCTGTCACCCAGGCTAAAGTGCAGTGGCACAAACGCTAGCTCACCGCAGCCTCAGCTTCCTGGGCTCAAACCATCCTCCCACCTCATCCTCCAGAGTAGCTGAGACTACAGGTGTACTCCACCGCAGCAAATTTTTAATTATTGTTTGTAGGGACAGGGTCTCGCTATGATGCCAAGCCTGGTCATGAACTTCTGACCTCAGGTGATCCACCTGCCTCAGCCTCCCAAAGTTCTGGGATTACAGGCATGAGCCATCATGCTTGGCCTATTTTATTAGTATTTTAAACATGTGTAGAATATTAATGTGCCATGCTCTATTTTAAGCATGTGCTGCCACACCCAGCTAATTTTTGTATTTTTTGTATTTCAGCAAAAAATGTAATTTTATGTTTACAGGACTAGATGGGGTTTTGCCACGTTGCCCAGGCTGGTCTTGAACTCCTGGCCTCAAGCGATCCACCAACCTCAGCCTCCCAAAGTGCTGGGATTACAGATACAAGTATTGTGCCTGGCCAGGAGGCAGTTTGAAAACAACAACAACATATTTTCCTTATATATCCTTGTATTACTTGGCCTGTTACAATTAGAATGAATTCTTTTTTTTTTCATGACAAAAACTAGTAAGAATGACTTTTAAAAAGTGTTTTTAATACTCTGTCATCCCTGCATGCTGCTATTAAACCTACGGTGCCCCACTTTCTAGCCTACTGGGCAAAAGTAGCTTTCAAGAGAGGACCCCAAGAGAGATGACTGATGTTCAAATACAAATGAAACCCAAGTTCATGAAAAGCTTTTGGTCCTGGGGCAGGCTCTGAGCATTCAGCAACATTCCTTGCTTGAAATTGCCATCATGCCACACGGAACAGTCCCACTTTGACGATCCCGTTTCTTCTCCCACGCCCGCCTGGTCCCATAACTGGAATGTGAGTGGGTAGAAACAAGACAGTCTCAAAAGCTTCTATATTATTTTCAGACGATGTTGGGATTTAAGGACAGGGCCAGCTATGGAAGGCAGCAAACCATAGTTGAGTTGTTTGGTAACCAGTGGGATAACCTAGTATCTTAGACGTAACTAGTTGGAAGCAGTGTTTTGCCCACCCTGCATACAAAGGGGCACATTATGGATTGCCTCCCTCTCATCAGAACACATTTCCCACAGCGAACACCAAAGAATACTGCATTTAGCAATTCTTTTTTTTTTGTTTTTAAAGACAGAGTCTCGCACTGTCACCCGGGCTGGAGTGCCATGGCAGGATCTCAACTCACTGCAACCTCCACCTCCCGGGTTCAAGCCATTCTCCTGCCCCAGCCTCCCGAGTAGCTGGGATTACAGGTGCCTGCCACCACGCCCGGCTAATCTTTTGTATTTTTAGTAGAGACGGGGTTTCACTATGTTGGCCAGGATAACCTCGAACTCCTGACCTTGTGATCCGCCTGCCTTGGCCGCCCAAAGTGCTGGGATTACAGGCATAAGCCACCGCACCCGGCCTGCATTTAGCTTTATTCAAAGACCATTTGAACTTGAGAGCTCAGCCTCAGTTACACATAAAAACTGGAGGACAAGATCAGAGAACTGGCTGGGCATGGTGGCTCATGCCTGTAATCCCAGCACTTTGGGAGGCCGAGCCAGGTGGATCACCTGAGGTCAGGAGTTCAAGACCAGCCTGGTCAACATGGTGAAACCCCGTCTCTACTGAAAATACAAAAAATTAGCCAGGCATGGTGGCGGGCACCTGTAATCCCAGCTACTCAGAAGGCCAGGACAGGAGAATTGCTCGAACACAGGAGGCAGAGGTTGCAGTGAGCAGAGATTGCACCATTGCGCTCCAGTGTAGGTGACAGAGCAAAAAAGACTCCATCTCAAAAACAAACAAACAAACAAAAAAATCAGAGAACTAGCCAGGCATGGTGGCTCATACCTGTAATCTCACCATTTTGCGAAGCCAAGGCAGGAGGATCACTTGAGCCCAGGAGTTTGAGACTAGCCTGGGCAACATAGTAAGACCCCATCTCTTAAAATAAAAATAAAAAAAAAGAAATCTAACTTGATGGATGAAAGGAATCCTGGGGAGACAGCCTCATTCAGCTAGTTAGGCATTTTTCTTTTTGCTGGTTAGGGACAGTGTTTCTAACTCCATCTCCACAGATACTGCTGCCTATAAGATCTCCTTCCAGGCTATTTTCTTAGATGACACTGGGGATTCTGGCATGTGTTCTTTTAATGAGTATTCATGAAATCAGTAACATTACAGGTTTATTGAGCATTCATACTCAGCAGAAAATGTTAATTTTATGTTTACAAATGCAAGACTAGCCTGAGCAACATAGTGAAACCTCATTTTCTACCAAAAAAAGAAAATCTAAAAAGTTAGCCCGGTTGGCCAGGTGCGGTGGCTCACGCCTGTAATCCCAGCACTATGGGAGGCCGAGACGGGTGGATCACAAGGTCAGGAGATCGAGACCATCCTGGCTAACACGGTGAAACCCCGTCTCTACTAAAAATACAAAAAAAAAAAAATAGCTGGGCATGGTGGTGGGCGCCTGTAGTCCCAGCTACTCGGGAGGCTGAGGCAGGAGAATGGTGTGAACCTGGGAGTCGGAGCTTGCAGTGAGCCAAGATCGTGCCACTGCACTCCAGCCTGGGCGACTGAGCGAGACTCCATCTCAAAAAAAAAAAAAAAAAAAGTTAGCCCGGCATGTTGGTGCACCTGTAGTCCTAGATATTAGAGAGGCTGAGGCAGAAGGGTTGCTTGAGCCCAGGAGTTGGAGGCTGCAGTGTGCTATGATTGTACCACCACACTCCACCCTAGGTGACAAAGTAAGACCCCATCTCTAAAATTATAGTAATAAAAATTAAAATAACAAATTTTTAAAAATAAAAATGCAAAGGAAAGAACAATTAGGCCTCCAGTTTGTCCACACTTAGGGCATGTTGAAAAGGACATTCAAGTTCCACCAGGAACACTGACTCTCACTTGATGATAAGTCTCTAATGTTGTGTGTCCATTTGCTACTAAGAGCTAATGGACACGGCCAGGTATGGTGGCTCATGCCTGTAACCCAACACTTCGGGAGGCAGAGGCAAGAGGACTGCTTGTGTCCAGGAGTTTGAGACCACCCTAGGCAATATAGCAAGACCGTGTCTCTATAAAAAACTCAAAAAGTCAAAAATTAGCTGGGAGCAGTGGTGTGTGCCTGTAGTCCCAGCTACTCGGGAGGCTGAGACAAGAGGTTTGCTTGAGCCCAGGAGGTCGAGGCTGCGGTGAGCTGTGATGGCACCACTGCAGTCAGCCTGGGCAACAGAGTGAGACCTTGTATCAAAAAACAAAAACAAAAACAAAACTATGGACAACAACAACAGTCTATGTCCTTATTAGATAGAGCAGTCCTGTGTGGTAGGGATTTTAGCATCCTCCCACTTTTTTTTTTTTTTTTTTTTTGAGACAGAGTCTTGCTCTGTTGCCCACACTGGAGTGCAATGGTGCAATCTCAGTTCACTGCAACTTCTGCCTCCCAGGTTCAAGGGATTCTGCTGCCTCAGCCTCCTGCCTCCCGGGTTCGAGGGATTCTCCTGCCTCAGCCTCCCAAGTAGTTGGGATTACAGGCATGCGCCACCATGCCCAGCTAATTTTGTATTTTTTCACTAGAGACGAGGTTTCACCTCTTGGTCAGGCTGGTCCTAAACTCCTGGCCTCAGGTGATCCATCCGCCTTGGCCTCCCCAAGTGCTGGGATTACAGGTATGAGCCACTGCGCCTGGCCAGCATCCCTTTCCTATAAATGGGGAAACAGAGAAGGAACTTAACCAAGTTCCATAGCTATGAAGTGACGGAAGCTGTAGTCTGATGCTACTTAGCCGCCAGGACTCACCAGGCAGCCTGTCTGTTAGTACTGATGAGCCATTCACAAGCCTGCTAGCTGAATGGATCTGAGAAGTTAGTTCTCACAAAAGAATAGGACAGTTGGAGAGTAACTTGAATGAGAATAACGGCAAAAGCATCATTATACACACTCCCTCTCTTCTTGGATGAAAATTGAGCCTTGGAAATCCAGTTCCAGGCCTCAGAGAAACCTAAGGATATTCCAACAGCCACACTATACTCCAGTTTCAAAAAGGTCTCGCTGTATGTTACCACTTTGCATAAGCTGAAATAAGTCAAAGTTCCTCTAAACTGCCAACGTCAACCACAACATTTTTCCAGGGAAGATAAGCAGGTTGGAGTATCACGTTGCACAAGCATGACTCTTAACGTGCCCACAACATCCATGCAATGTGCTCTCAGGGTGGCAGCTGCGGCTCCTGCACCCCTGTTGACAGGCGACCCCCATGGGTTCCCAGGGACTGGAAGTTTATTTGCATGAAGCTTATCAAGTTCCTTCTAACGTCCCCCAAACATATGTGCCCAGAACAAATTATGTATCGTCTCTGTCTTCACTGAGCTACACCCTGAAAACAGATGTCAACAACGAACGCTGCCTGGATGGGAAGCAGGGAGCAAAGTCCCCTTGGCTTCTGTCCCCATCAAAGCAGACGGGGGTGGAGAGAGAAAACAGTGACATTGAAGATTAAGGAAAAATTAGCCCAGGACCCTTTACCCTTTACTTTCTGAAGTGGGAGAAACAAGGCTAAAGGTGTAAGCCATCGCCCTTGACTTTTTCCCTTTGTTTAAGATTACTCAAGCGACTTGGTCACACTGGCAAAGGGTGTCTTTTTGCTTTCCCAACCATGGTTCTGCTTGGACAAATGCTGTTTCCTTCTCTGACGGCAAACGCCATGGGTGTTGATCAGAACCAGCCCGGGGGGAAGGGTCATGAATGGCGCTTCTGGAATTGATTAAAAGTCAGTGTCGCAGGGCGTACTGGCTCACGCCTATAATCCCAGCCCTTTGGGAGGTGGGTGGAACACTTGAGGTCAGGAGTTCAAGACCAGCCTGGTCCACATGGTGAAACTCTGTCTCTACCAAAAATACAAAAATTAGCCAGGCGTGGTGGCGCATGCCTGTAATCCCAGCTACTCGGGAGGCTGAGGCAGGAGAATTGCTTGAACCTGGGAGGCGGAGGTTGCAGTGAGTCAAGATTGCGCCACTGCCCTCCAGCCTGGGCGACAGAGCAAGACTCCATCTCAAAAAAAAAAAAAAAAGTCAGTGTTTAGGCCGGGTGTGGTGCCTCATGCCTGTAATCACAGCACTTTGGGAGGCTGAGGCAGATGGATCACCTGAGGTCAGGAGTTTGAGACCAGCCTGACCAACATGGTGAAACCCAATCTCTACAAAAATTCAAAATTTAAGCTGGGCATGGTGGTGGGCACCTGTAATCTCAGCCACTTGGGAGAGTAAGGCAGGAGAATTGCTTGAACCTGGGAGGTGGAGGTTGCAGTGAGCTGAGATCACGCCACTGCACTCCAGCCTGGGCAACAGAGAGAGACTCCATCTCAAAAAAATAAACAAACAAAATACATAGGCAGACGTCCCCACCTCCTTTGAGGGATTGCTTCAAGGATTCTTCCTCCAGTAAATCTTTAGCGAGCCCTTACTCTCTTTGTCAAGCATCATCCTAAGGCCTGAGAAATACAGCAATGGACAAAGCAAAGTCCCTGACCTCATGGGGCTTTCATTTCAATGTCAAAGAGATAATTAACAAGTAAATCAATAAGTAATCATGGTGGCTCATGCCTGTAATCCCAGCACTTTGGGAGGCCGAGGTGAGAGGATCACTTGGGCCCAGGAATTCAAGACTAGCCTGAGCAACATGGCAAGACCCCAACTCTACAAAAAATTAAAAATTAGCTGGGTGTGGTGGCGCGTGTCTATAGTCCCAGCTATTTAGGAGGCTGAGGCAGGAGGATCACCTGAGCACAGGAGGTCGAGGCTGCAGTGAGCTGTAACTGTGCCACTGCACTCCAGCCTGGGCGACAGATTGAGATGCTATCTCCAAAAAGAAAGAAAACGAAAAAAAGTATCAGGAATGAAAAGTGTAATAGAGAAATATAAGCAGGTAAGGAATTTCCAAGGGCTTTATGTGACAGGCAGGACAACTCACTAAATAAAGGACATTAGGGAATATTAGGGCATATTAGGGAATAAAGGGAAGTGAAAGAGACTGCCCCAGCTTGGAGCTGTGTGCTGAAGTAAGGGAGAGAGCAGGCGGCAGTGCGGGGGAACAGTTCCAAGGTCTACTCAAAGCCTGCACACCTACTGTGTGCATACCTCCTGCATGGGGGCAGCCTGTTCTAGTACTGAAGATCCAGCCACAATCACAACAGATAACCACTCCTGCCCACCCGGGGGCCAACATTCAAGTGGAATTAACATGATTTTAGCACAGGCCTATGAGAAAGGTTAGCTCTTGCTCCTGCGGGCCAGATTGCCTCATTGCCTCCCCATACCCCATACCCTTCTTGACAACAAGGCCAGAAGGGAACTTAGTTTTAAATCATTTTTCTTTCCAGGCCTCTCCCAGAGAGGACAGCAACAGCCAGTGTGCCCATTGATTAACAGCCTCACTCAGTTTCATCTCAATATTCCTGCCTGGATTGGTATCTGCTGCCTTGACTGGAGAAGCTGGGGTTGCTTCTCTGCTCAAGTCAAAACCAACTGCTTGGTTTCAATTTTCCAGAGTCAACACCAACTGGCAAGGAATCTCATCTCAATTTGTTTTCAAGAAGAGGGGAGAAAAACAACTCATCTCCATTCTAGCAAGGAGTTGGCAGCGACATTAGGCCTCCTGCAGAGGCGGAGGCTGGAGGGGGACTGCTTCCCCACCTGTCTTAGGGAGGGAAATGCGTTTGATTTTCTCAAAAAGAATAAGGAGAATGGGGAGGCCCTCTGGGTTCACAGCAAATTGGAGGGGCTTTCTTGTCCCAGCTGTGGCTGCATGCGTAACAACACAGCCTGTCTGCCGAAACAGAGGCCGTAACTGATCATTTTCATGGACTGCAACCCAGGAAACATTCCTGTGGTCAGGTTGGGCAACTCTAGGAACTGTTTGCTTACTGATTAAAAAGAAAATCATCACATTTTCTTCCTCCTTTTTCTTTCTGTTGGATTCCCCGAGGTTAGGGAGACCCCATGTACTGAATTCCAAAGCTACTAAATCCCTCCTCCTCTCTCTCCCTGATGCCCCGTGCAGGAAAGGGCAGCTGACAGGCCTGAGATGTGGGAGAACAAGTCCTGGGCCCTCACAGACATTGGTAAGGCTTACATTCCGACTGGTGAAATAAAGCATGCACCAAAATGCCTCCTAACATCATTTCCATTCAGGGTCTAATGTGCTGCACAGAGACTTTCCTGGGTTTTTTGTTTTTGTTTTTGTTTTTGAGATGGAGTTTTGCTCTTGTTGCCCAGGCTGGAGTGCAATGGTGTGATCTTGGCTCACGGCAACCTCTGCCTCCCGGGTTCAAGTGATTCTCCTGCCTCAGCCTCCCGAGTAGATGGGATTACAGGCATGCGCCACCATGCCCGGTTAATTTTGTAGTTTTAGAGATGGGGTTTCTCCATGTTGGTCGGGCAGGTCTCGAACTCCCAACATCATGTGATCCGCCCGCCTCAGCCTCCCAAAGTGCTGGGATTACAGGCATGAGCCACCGGGCCCAGCCTCCTGGGGCACTTTTTAAAAATACTCAGCCAGGGCCCCTGCCTCAGACTAACTGAATCCAGATGTCCAGGGCTGGGGCAGTAGCAACTAAGGAGTGAGGGATTTCTTCTGGAGGTGATGAAAATGTTATGAAATTGATTGTGGTGACGCTTGCTTAAGTCTGTGACTATAAGGGAAACTGTTAAATTCTACACTTTAAATGGTGTAATATATGCTATGTGGATTATGTTTCGATAAAGCTGTTACAAAAAAAAAAAAAAGATGAGCCAATCGCACAAAGTATTCACAAGCCCATCCTTGCAGAGAGACCACTGCTAACACCTGATATGTGTCCTTCAGATCCTGGTCTATATCCCTTTCCTAATTCATTTACTCCCTTGTCCTGCATCCCTTTACATCCTGTTCTCCAAAATTAGGTTCTGGACATTATTCTATTTTTAAACACCTGGCCAGGTGCGGTGGCTCACACCTATAATCCCAGCACTTTGGGGAGGCTGAAGTGGGCGGATCACTTGAGTCCAAGTCCCGTCAAGACCAGCCTGGGCAACATGGGGAGAGCCCATCTCTACAAAAAATACAAAAAAAAATTAGCTGGGCATGGTGGCATGCACCTGTAGTCCCCATTATTTGGGAGGGCTGAGGTAGGAGGATCACTTGAGCTGGGGACGTCAAGGCTGCAGAGAATCATGTTCGGGCCACTGCACTCCAGCTTGGGTGACACAGTGAGAACGGATCTTCCTGTCCAACTTTCTTTTATTTATTCATTCATTTTTTGAGACAGAGTCTTGCTCTGTCACCCAGGCTGGAGTGCAGTGGCATGACCTCAGATTACCGCAACCTCCGCCTCCTGCGTTCAAGTGACTCTCCTGCCTCAGCCTCCCAAGCAGCTGGGATTACAGGTGCCCGCCACCATACCCAGCTAATTTTTGTTTTTTGTTTTTTTTAGGAGAGATGGGGTTTCTCCATGTTGGTCAGGCTGGTCTTGAACTCCTGATCTTGTGATCCACCCGTCTCGGCCTCCAAAAGTGTTGAGATTACAGGCGTGAGCCACCATGCCCAGCCCCAACTTTCTTCTTATTTCACATTTACCCATTTAAAAAAATGTGTAAATGTGGCTTATATACAGTCAACCCAAAAAGTAATTAGGATGGGTAAAATATGGTATAGCTACTCAGCAATAAAAAGGATCAAACATCACAAAACGCAGTAGCATAGATGAACCTTAAAAGCATTACACCGAGTGAAAGAAGCTGTTCACCAAAGTACACAGTTCATATGAAAAATCTAGAAAACTAGAGACAAAAAGCAGATCAAGGGTTGTCTGGAGCTGAGTTAGGCTTGACTACCAATAGGCCCAAGGGAACTTGGGAGGTGGTGGAAGTATTCTAAAACTGGATTGTGATGACAGCTCAACAGCTGTGTACGTTTATAAAAATTATCTAACTGTACACTTACAGTGGGTAAATTGTGTGGTATGTAAATTAAATCTCAATGAACCAGTAAGAAATATATAGCTATTAGGGTCTCTTGAGGAATACCCCATCAGTCAAAGTCCTATGGTTCAAAAATGAAAGAATCCAGGCACCCAAAAATGCCAAGGTTATGAAAAAGTGCAGAGAAGAGAAGCCATAAACAATTCTTAATTAACAGTAGGCTGGGTGCGGTGGCTCACACCTGTAATCCCAGCACTTTGGGAGGCCAAGGAGGGCGAATCACTTGAGGTCAGGAGTTTAAGACAGGCCTGGCCAACATGGTGAAACCTCGTCTCTACTAAAAATACAAAAAATTAGCGGGGCGTGGTGGCACATGCCTATAATCCCAGCTATTCAGGAGGCTGAGGCAGGAGAATTGCTTGAACCCAGGAGGCGGAGGTTGCGGTGAGCCAAGATCATGCCATTGTACTCCAGCCTGGGCAACAAGAGTGAAACTGTCTCAAAAAAAAAAAAAAAAAAATTAGCCGGGCGTGGTGGTGGGTGTCTATAATCCCAGCTACTTGGGAGGCTGAAGTGGGAGAACTGCTTGAACCCAGGAGGCAGAGGTTGCAGTGAGCTGAGATTGCACCATTGCACTCCAGCCTGGATGATAAAGCAAGACTCTATCTCCAAAAAACAAAACAAAACAAAACAATAGTTATAGGCTGGGCATGGTGGTTCACACCTGTAATCCCAGCACTTTGGGAGGCTGAGGTGGGAGGATCACTTGAGGCCAGGAGTTTGAGACCAGCCTGGGCAACATAGTAGGATCCCATCTCTATTTAAAAAAAAAAAAAATCAACAACTAAAAACTGAAAACAAAAAATCTTTTTGAGAGTAAATATTCACTATGACAGTCATTACGTGTGGGCACTGTGAACTTTACATTGACTCCTATGTTGCTGTGAGGCAGGTAGGGGTTTTTAACCCCCTTAATGCTGATGAGCAACTGAGGCGAAAGGCTTAAGTCATTTGCTCAAGGTCAGGGCCTTGTCAAGGTCACAGAGCAGGTCAGCCTCTGAAGGAACATTCGCCCCAGAACCAGCCAGCACCAAAGCTTCTGTTCTTCAGCACTAGGCTTGCGGAGGGAGAGAAATTCCAGGGGTAGTTAACAGCAATGTGGGATGGGTAAAAGTAACCACAGATTTATTCTCTATAAAAAACACAACCCAGATATAAACACGCATCAATCTAGGGCCACATTTTCCAAGCACTGGCTGACACCAAAATGTGCTGAATCTGGCTGCAAAAACACAGGAAAGCCGTTGTGGAATTCAGAACCTTTGAATCATTCAATAACTCAAGAACAAGATCTGGAAACCTTCTACAAAGAATGAATGTGAGGCTTGCACTACTTTCAAATGTGGGCTGTGCTGGAAAGGCTCGGACCCTCTGCCTCTGACCTTTGGAACAAAACTCAAACAGCCCAAGAGAACAGCTGGGAGCCAACACTGCGAAGTGAGGCATTTCCCACAGTCTCCAGGTCACATGTGCTTGCAGATGACTGTACAACAAGTGCTCACTTGTCCAATAGAGCTCACAAGAGGATGCCTTTTCTCTTTTAATGGATGCTAGCATCATTTTTCATTATCAAGAACAAATAAGCATTGATGGGAAAGGCAGCTGCTTCCAAGAGCATTTGCTGAATCTACTCTGGCTGCCTGGAAAGGTAACTGCTCAGACTATATGTGTGCCTTGGCTCAGGCTCCTGAGAAATGAAGCCTACAACCCATGCTGCATCCTCCTGAATACCAAAAAAAAAAAAAAAAAAAGAAAAAAAAAAAAAGAAAGCAGAAAGATCTCAGACTGGGGGGCTCACTTCAAGAATTCCAAGTAGGGTCAGGTGCAGGCTCAACCCTGTAATCCCCGCACTTTGGGAGGCCAAGGCATGTGGATCGCCAGAGATCAGGGGTTCGAGACCAGCCTGACCATCATGGTGAAACCCTGTCTCTACTAAAAATACAAAAACAAGCCAGGCATGGTGGCGGGCACCTGTAATCCCAGCTACTTGGGAGGCTGAGGCAGGAGAATCGCTTGAACCCAGGATGAAGAGGTTGCAGTGAGCCAATATCGCATCACTGCACTCCGGCCTGGGCGACAGAGCAAGACTCTGTCTCAAATTTGAAAAAAAAAGAATTCCAAGTAGGCAAAAATAATAAGAAAAGAAAAGAGCATGAAGAAGAGTGACCCACAGGTGCCAGAATCTGACTCTGGCATACACTGGAGAACAGCCACAGGTCACTCACAAGATGCTGTGGTACTGTTGCTACCACCACAAGGAGATGGGGCACCTGTTCCAGCAGTGGTTCTCCAGCCTTTTATTTTCCTGGTTGCTGCTCTTGCAGAAATGCTCCATGGGCCATTTACCTGGACTGTTCCCATTTTCCGATGTGAAACTGGAAAGCTTGCACACAAAAATGACGTATGTAAAAGGTTATTCACTAAGGCATTGTTTGTGCTAGCAAAACATGGGCGACAGCCCAAATAGCCATCAATAGAGGATTAGTTTAAATCAATTATAGAATTTCCTTACAATGAAATACTATGAACCTATTAAAAAAAAAAAAGCTCTTTATGCTCTGCAGGGGAATGATCGTCAAGACACATTATTGTTTGCTGATAAAAGCAAGTGCAAAGCAGTGCTATCTTTTGTGTAACTAAAAAGAAGGGGATAAGAAATAAGTTTATCCCTGTAATCCCAGCATTTTGGGAGGCTGAGGTGGGAGGATCACTTAAACCCAGGAGTTTGAGTCTGCAGTGAGCCACGACTGCACAACAGCACTCCAGCCTGAGCCACAGAACAAGACTCTGTCTTGGTCAGGCATAGTGGCTCACGCCTATAATCCCAGCACTTTGGGAAGCTGAGGTGGGTGGATCGCTTGAGGTCAGGAGTTGGAGACCAGCCTGGCCAACATGGTAAAACCGTGTCTCTACTAAAAATACAAAACTTAGCTGGGCATGGTAGTGCATGCCTGTAGTCTCAGCTTCTTGGGAGGCTGAGGGAGGAGAATCGCTTGATTCTGGGAGGCAGAGGTTGCAGTGAGCCGAGATCGCGCCACTGTACTCCAGCCTGGGCAACAGAGCAAGACTCCATCTCAAAGAAAAAAAGAACAAGACTCTGTCTCAAAGAATATATGTTCATATTTGTTTATAGTTACATATAGAACTTTAAAAGACACTAACAAGTGAGATTTTAGGTATGGGGGAGGCACCTTATTAGAACAAAGGGAGACAGGGTGGGAGTAGAACTTTTCATTGTATACTTTTTAGATTATTTTTTTTTCAATGGTGTCCATGTGAACATATAACCTATTCATAAAGTTAAAAATAATCCCTTCTTGCAATCACAGTGCAAAAGGCATGAGGGTGAAAGTCATCTGCTAAAATGACCGAACAGGAGGGTAGGAGGGGCCTGCTCCCGCCTCACCCTCCTGAGAAACTGGGATTAGAGACAGGAAACACTGGACCTAGGAACTTATAAGCTGTTAAAAAAAAAAAAAGAATGGAACTGGAGATTAGTATTCTAAGTGAAGTAACTCAGGAATGGAAAACCAAATATTGTATGTTCTCACTCATAAGTGGGAGCTAAGCTATGAGGATCCAAAGGCATAAAAAGATACAATGGACTTTGGGGACTTTGGGGGAAAGGGTGGGAAGGGGGTGAGGGATAAAAGACTACACAGTGTACACAGGTACAGTGTACACTGCTCCAATCATGGGTGCACCAAAATCTCAGAAATCACCACTAAAGAACTTGTTCACATAACCAACACCATGCAGGATGCAGGAGACCAGAGGGAGGGGTCCATGTGGGCGGTGGAAAGGAGGATGACCCACACATGATGGGAGAGGGAAGGGGGTGCTGCCGGCGGATGCTGGTCAGCTGGTCTAGCAAAAAAAAAATGCTGGATGTCAGTTGACCAGAGTCAGATGACCAGATTCTCTCTGGAGAATGTCAGGCAAGACCCCTGCATTTTTTCTGGGTTCGTTTTATCATCTGTAATGCACAGAGGCGGAACTGTACCAGCAAAGATGTGGGGCTCCAAGGCCTTGGACATCATGGCAAGTAGGAATCAGTATGGCTTTTTAAGAGAACATTCTGATCATGTTTATAGATTTTACATGCATAAATCCTTTCTTTCAGCAAAGCCCATTTTTAGGACTTCATCTCACAGAGGGACTCACACATTGCATCAGGGCAGATATACGGAGGGCCACTACAATCTTGTTTATGGTGGCAAAAGATAGACACATCATTGACAGAGGGCTGGATAAATCAATGATGGGCATCCACTCAATGGAAAATGATGCAAAAATTAAAAATCATGAAGGGCTGGGCACGGTGGCTCATGCCTAAATCCCAGCACTTTGGGAGGCCGAGGTGGGTAGATTGCTTGAGGTCAGGAGTTCAGGACCAGCCTGGCCAACATGGTGAAACTCCATCTCTACTAAAAATACAAAAATTAGCCAGGCGTGGTGGTAGGTGCCTGTAGTCCCAGCTACAAGGGAGGCTGAGGCTTGAGAATTGCTTGAACCCGGGAGGTGAGGGTTGCAGTGAGTCCAGATCATGCCACTACACTCCAGCCTGGGTGACAGAGCGAGACTCTATCTCAAAAAAAATAAATAAAATAAAAAGAATGAGGGAGCTGTTTAAAAAAGAATCAAGTAAGTGTATATGTAATAATATGGGAAGAATCTGTCTTTAAAGAGCACACAGCTAAATGGGATAGGGAATAGGCTTAGAATATCTTCAGAAGGAAACAAGAAATCGGTAACACTGCTTGTCTCAGATGAACTGCTGACAGGCAGACACTTTTAGGCTCTTAGGTACCATTTAAATTGGCTTGTGTTTGTTTTCCTATGTTCACATAAACAAACTTTTTTTTCTTTTTTTCTTTTTTCTTTTTTTTTTTTTTTTGAGATACTCTGTCACCTAGGCTGGAGTGCAGTGGCATCATCTTAGCTCACTGCAACCTTCACCTCCTGGGTTCAAGCGATTCTCGTGCCTCAGCCTCCTGAGTAGCTGGGATTACAGGCATGTGCCACCATGCCTGGCTAATTTTTGTATTTTTAGTAGAGACGGGGTTTCGCCATGTTACCCAGGCTGGTCTCGAACTCCTGAGCTCAGGATATCTGCCTGCCTCGGCCTCCCAAAGTGCCAGGATTACAGGAGTGAGCCACCACTCCCGGCCCTTTTTCTTTTCTTTAATGAGAGGGTTGAACCAAAGGAGGGATGGGTGTTCAGTTGACCGTAATCTCAATAGGCAACATGTGATGTGGCTTCCAAAACCAGATTTCAGTTGTGTTTTCAGAAATGAGACACTTAGGATATGGGAGACTATATAGTCCTTCTCTGATTCTATTTGTGGTTTGATAAGTACATTCTCAGGGTTGCAATCTGATGACCTCAATGATAAGTGCTGTTTTTTTTCCAAGAGTCATGCTCTAAGAGGAACACTGACCCATGGAGCTGGTCCAGGGACGGAGGGGCAAGGATGGGAAGGAACCCTGTGTGGGGTGAGGGGCAGGAAACGGGCTCACTGTCAACAATTCTAGGGCTGACTCCTTTGCGAAGGATCGGTCACAATGGCACCAGAGGGTAAGATGTGGGCCAGCGGAGAGAAGAAAGAACAAGATAATCTGACCCTACACAGAACTAGGCTGTAGCCTCCTGAACGCCCCCTCAAAGCACAGGTGGCTTTACCAGGTGCTGCCTCATAGAGCACTAACGGTCAGCGCTTAGGCCTGGAGTCTAGATAGATGTGGACTTGAATGCAAACTGTGCCTCTGACTAGCTGTGTTAACTTCAGGAAAGTTAAACGCTTGAGTCTTAGTTTCCTCTTCAACTACAGAGTGGCCCCCACCTGTCACAGTTGGTGGGAACATTTGAAGAGTTTGTATGTGGTAAGCTGCCGCTCCTGTTCTGCCACAGATGGCTTTTGCAGAACTCGAAACTTCTGCAACTGCCTCTGAGGTCACCCTAAGGAGAGGCAGTGCCCCCAAGGTGGGTGTGCAGGTTCCTGGGACAGGGCAACATCCCCAGGGCCTTCCCTGTAGGGTCAAATCCTGAGGGTGTGGACTGCCTCCCTGTGGCCCCCGTCCACGCCCTCAGGATTGGCCACTCCTGCCTTTGGGTGTGGTGGTCCCTTGCCTGTGGGGGGTGCCTGTGGAGCCAGAAGGAAGCCCTGAACTTGAGAAAGTCAATCCTTTTCCACCCCTCTTGATCAAAGATTTGATACCATGGGGAACAGCAGCTGCCCACACCAACCACTCCCTTCTCAGGCCATCTGGAAACATCTCTGTGGCCATGAAAGGAGTTTCCTGGGCTGCGGTTTTGTTTTTCTGACCCCCTCCTTGAGGCCTTAGCAGTGAGTGCCTAGGATTTGAGCCAAGGTTTGGGCTAGTGAAGGGCATCAAGGAAGGCATGGGCCCCCTGGAACTGTGGGTTAAGATATGGGCACCTGTGGGAGGCTCTGTGGTCTTCAACAGTCTCTCAAAGAGTCTCAGATCCCAAAGGGATTAAAGATATACTGAGGGGGCCCGGCATGATTGCTCAGGCCTGTAATCCCAGCAGTTTGGCTAAGGCAGGGAGATCACTCGAGTCCAGGAGTTTGAGATCAGCCTGGGCAACATAGTGAGACCCTGTCAATAAAGAAAATTAAAAAATTGGCCGGGCATGGTGTTGCATGCCTGTTATCCCCGCACTTTGGGAGGCCAAGGGGGATGGATTGCTTGAGCTCAGGAGTTCGACACCAACCTGGGCAACATGGCAAGACCCCATCTCTAAAAAAAGAAAAAATTAGCCAGGTGTAGTGGCATGCTCCTGTAGTCCCAATTACTGGGCAGGCTGAGGTGGAGTTAATTGCTTGAGCCCAGGAGGTCAAGGCTGCAACTAGCCGTGATCACACCATTGCACACCAGCCTGGATGACAGAGTGAGACCCTAACTCTAAAAAGGAAGGAAAAAGTAAAAGACATACTGAGGGGTTAAAATGAGTGCTGCGGGTGTGTGGAGGAGGGTGGAGAATGAAGCGGAGGCAACTGAGGCCACAATGCCTAATTGTTTCCAATACCCCCACCCTCAACTCAAACCCTCTGACCTGCAGATAAATAATGTCAGGCCTCCTGTGTGAGTGCTTTGAGTGCTGCGAATTACAAAATACAAAGCACAGCTGAGGAGTGGGGACAGGGTGGTCAAAAGGTGAGAGGAGAACATGGAGACAGAACGGCTTGTCAGCCGACACTTTTTTCCCCACAGACTCAATTCATCTCTGGACTCCTGGACCATTGCAGTAGCTCCTTAATCTTCCCAATTCTGGCCCAGGTTGCTACGGCGTCTTCTCTACACAGTAGCCGCATTGAGCTTGCTACAACCTCGGTCAGGCCATGACAAGCCTCTGCTCTATGCAGAGCCCTCCAGAGACTCACTTTTCCCAGAATAAAAGCCCAGCTCTCTACAGTGAGGCCTCAGCTACTTCTGACTTTGTCACCAACTACCCTCATGTCACTTGCTCTGCTCAGCCAACACCCTGGAGGTAACTGTGGGCATGAAATCACGAGAATGAGGTGCAGTACTAGCCAGCTTTGAAGACGCATGAAGTTATGGGAGCGCCACTCCTGATTCATCAGCACTGTTCTCCTGGGGTTGACTCCAAGGCCCTTTAGCCAAAAACATACAATAAGGTAGTAAACGCTGTAGAGAAAACAATAGAACAGGTGCTGGGCATGGTGGCCGAAGCCCGTAATCCCAAGCACTTTGGGAGGTCGAGATGGGTAGATCACTTGAAATCAGCCTGGCCAACATGGCGAAACCCTATCTCTACTAAAAATACAAAAATTAGCCAGGTGTGGTGGTGCACACCTGTAATCCCAGCTACTTGGGAGGCTGAGGCAGGAGAGAATCACTTGAACCCAGGAGGTACAGGTTGCAGTGAGCCAAAATCATGCCACTGCACTCCAACCTGGGTGACAAAGGGAGACTCTGTCTCAAAATAAATAAACAAAAAATAATAAAATAAAATAAACAGGGAGGAAGGATAAGGAGGGAGTGCTGGAGGCAGTGGTGTGCCATGTCAAAGGCAATGAAGGTGACTTAGAGCAAAGGCAGTTTTAGCTGAGACCTAAGACTTGCTGGAAGGGAGGGAAGGAGGGAGGAAGGGAGCCACACGGTCCCCTTTGGAAGGACATTTCAGGCAGAGGGAAAAGCAAACACAACTTGGTTGGAAGCCAATCCAGGGTGGTGGCTGAGTAGAGCGAGTGACACAAGGGTAGTCAGTGACAAAGTCAGACGTAGCTGGAGCCTCATTGTAGAGAGCCGGGCTTTTATTCTGGGAGAAGTAAGGAGTGTCTTGGAGTTATCTGCAGATGAGAGGGTTTCAGCTGGGGATGGGGGGATTGGAAACAGCCAGACACTGTGGCCTCAGTTGCCTCCCTTTCATTCTCCAGCCTCCCTCCAACACCCCCAGCACTCATCTGTTGCCAGGCTGGAGTGCAGTGGTGTGATCTTGGCTCACTGTCACCTCCACCTCCCAGGTTCACGCAATTCTTCTCAGCCTCCCGAGTAGCTGGGACTACAGGCATGTGCCACCATGCCCAATTAATTTTTGTATTTTTAGTAGAGACGAGGTTTCATCATGTTGGCCAGGATGGTCTCGATCTCTTGACTTTGTGATCCTCCTGCCTGCTCGGCCTCCCAAAGTGCTGGGATTACAGGTGTGAGCCATCGTGCCCGGCCAACCCCTCAGTTACTGACCCTATCAGAAGCACCATGCAGAATTGCAGTTAATCTTCACAACAGCCTAGAAGGTAGGTACCGTGTTACTCCCATTTCACAGGTGAATAAAGCAATACTCACAGTGGTAAGGGATTTGCCCAAGGCCACGTAGCTATAACAGCACACAGCAGAGCTGGGAATTGAACTCAGGCCTGCCGGACCCCAAAGCCCATCACCTTAACTTCCACCTAGCCCTGCCTCCCTGGAGGATGTGCCTCTTTGCCCCTCTGTGCAGGGAGTAAAGAGGCAGAGAGAGGCAAAGTCACCAAAGGAGGGTGGCAGCTTACAGATGGGAGCAGTTTTCCCAGGACAAGCCACTGGGGCATCTCAGTCAAGCCCGCACTGCAGGTGGAAGGCTAAAAGTGCTGATGAGGCAGGCGGTGTTGATGTCTGACCAGGCCCATTTAGAGCAGGCCTTCAGGGATTTCAGCAGCACAGGAACTGGCTCTGAGCACTGTAAATAAGTTGACTCAACACCTTGGCAGGTGATAGGGCTTTTTGGCCCTGACAAAACCTGAAAGGCCACCTGGCTGTTCCCAAAGGCCTTAATTTGCTTAAATAATGGCAAAACCTCTGGTGTGAATTCCCAGAGAACTTCCTGCCTTCTGACATGAGAGGGCACACACCAAGGGAGCCAGGAAGAGAAAAACCTCTCTCCCCCTCAATCAATTCCATAGGAAAACTGCTTATTAACTAAATCAGGAGGCAGAGGCTTGCCGTTCATACCAGCGTTAAATACTCTTTCCCTTCTCATTGTGACTGCACCGTTTCTGCTGACAGGGCAGGAGTTCAGACCAGTCAGGCTACTGCTTTCTCTTTTAAACACCCTTTTAAGCCATTAGCTTAGGCTCATCTGGAAAACCGGCCTGCCTGCCTGCCTTCTGATTACACACACAATATATTCAGCTTATCTCAGGTGTCCATTTCCTTCAGCAGGTAGGGAGCTGTGGTTTCCCAGAAGCATTTCTGTTTCTGGGAAGGCTGCAAACCAAGGCTCTACACATAGGGCAGGACCACGTGGAATCACTGGGGCTCACAATTGTTTACTAAAAGCTCAGGACTGGAGCTCTACTTACTAATCTGAACAAGAGCTGTTTCACTAATGATGATTTGTTCCCTGTTGGCATTTCAAAAAATATTGAGATATCATTAACACAACACAAAATTCACCAATTTAAAGTGTACAATTGGTCGGGCACGGTGGCTCACACCTGTAATCCCAGCATTTTGGGAGGCCAAGGCAGGCGGATCACAAGGTCAGGAATTCGAGACCAGCCTGGCCAATATGGTGAAACCCCGTCTGTACTAAAAATACAAAAATTAGCTGGACATGGTGGCAGGTGCCTGTAGCCCCAACTACTTGGGAAGCTAAGGCAGGAGAATTGCTTGAACCCGGGAGGTGGAGGTTGCAGGGGACTGAGATTGCACCACTGCACTCCAGCCTGGGCAACAGAGCGAGATTCCGTCTCAAAAATAAATAAATAAATAAAGTGTCCAATTTCTGGCCAGGCATGGTGGCTCATGCCTGTAATCCTAGCACTTTGGAAGGCCAAGGCAGGTGGATCACCTGAGGTCAGGAGTTTGAGACCAGTCTGGCCAACATGGCAAAACCCCATCTCTACTAAAAATACAAAAGTTAGCTGGGCGTGGTGGTGTGCGCCTGTAGTCCCTGCTACTTGGGAGGCTGAGGCAGGAGAATCGCTTGAACCTGGGAGGCAAAGGTTGCAGTGAGCTGAAATTGTGCCACTGCACTCCAGCCTGGGCAACAGAGTGAGACCCCATCTCAAAAATAATGATAAAAATAAAAAATTTAAAAATACAAAAATTAGCCAGGTGTGGTGGTGCATGCCTATAGTCAAGCCACTCAGGAGGCTGAGATGGGAGGATGGCTTGAGCCTGGGAGGTCGAGGCTGCAATAAGCCGTGGTTGCACCACCACTGCACTCCAGCTTGGGTGACAGAATCAGACCCCCTTCTCAAAAAAAAAAAAAAAAAAAAAAAGGAAACATTACCTTTTCTAGAACACTACCACCCCACAAACACTGCTTTTGAAGGCAGTCTTGGCTAAAGCCTTTGGTGGCAGAGATAATATTAGCAGCTAATGCTCTAGAGCACACTGCATGCCAGGCTTATATTAGTCATTTATTTTCATAATAATAGTATGAATTAGGTACTATTATTGTCTCCATTTGACAAATGAGAAAACTGAGGCATATGAGGGTTGAGTAACTTGCCCAAGGTCACATAACTTACAAGTTACTGGTGTGAACCTGGAATTCGAGCAAGCACAGGCCGTCTGGCCCCAGAGCCCGTGGCTCTTGACCACTATGCTTTCATGAAGGGTTTTCTGCCTATGAGGCTTGAGAAAGACTGAAGGAAGCACCATGCCAACACACCTGAACACACACTAAATGAACCTGGGGGGACTGTGGCTTTCTCTCTCTGAACCAGTTCATGATATGAGGCTTAGAGGCACCAATGTTGCATTTGGAACAGCAACAAACACAAGCTTGGGACTGCACGGTGGTTACAAGTAACAAGTCTGAAGTCAGCCACACCAAGATTGAGGTTTCAGCTCCACCACTCAGACATACTTGAGGTTAAGTCACTTACCCTCTCTAAGCCTTAGTTTCCTCTCTATAAGATGGGCCGAATGGCAATCTCTAAATAACAGGACTGTCGTGAGAACTACATGAGAAAGTATATAATGTAAAGTGACCAGCCTAATCTGACAAGCCTGTTGGATTTCATGCATGGGCTGTTTTGCTGAAAACTGTGCATAACTCAAAACATGCTCAGCTTTCCTTTAAAAGTAGATGTGATGCACTCCCATTCTTTAAAAGCTGCAATATAAAATGAAACTTTATGCCAGGTGCAGGAACTCATGCCTATAATCCCAGCACTTTGAAAAAGCCAAGGTAGGAGGATAGCTTGAGCCCAGGAACTCGAGACTAGCCTGGGCAATATAGTGAGACCCCTGTCTCTACAAAACATACTATTTAAAAAAAATTTTTAATGAGATTTTACTAAGTAAAATATTATAGTGCAGTTTCAAGTCTGAATGATTCAAATCCGCTGAATGTCAGGTACTGTCCATAGCTAATATTGGACTCCTGCTGTGCACCAGGCATGCCACTCAGCACTTTAATCCACTATTCATGTTCAGGAAACGTTGGTCATTATTAAAAATAGTAAAAGTATATGAACTATGCTTGTTACCTGCTACTACATTAAAAGAAATCTAAAATAGGCCTGGTGCGGTGGCTCACACCTGTAATCCCAACACTTTGGGAGGCCAAGGTGGGTGGATCACTTGAAGTCAGGAGTTTGAGACCAGCCTGGTCAAGATGGTAAAACCCCATCTCTACTAAAAATACAAAACTTAGTCAGGCATGGTGGTGCGTGCCTACAGTCCCAGCTAGCTACTTGGGAGGCTGAGGCACAAGAGTAGCCTGAACCTGGGGGTGGGAGGTAGAGGTTGCAGTAAGCCAAGATTGCACCACTGCACTCCAGTCTGGGTGATAAACTGAGACTCTGTCTCACCAAAAGAAAAAAAGAAATCTAAAATAGCCATATTTGAGGACTTTTGACAATCTTCCCTCCTAACTTTCCTCCTTTTGGGTGGATGGGGGAGACCTGTGGAAGACAGGGGAAATGTAAAGGGGGACATTTTGCTAAACATCTGAGTGACAGCTTTGGAAAACGACCACACCTAAGTTTACACTTTCTTGACCTTGATGTCTAATTTCAGGGTCTATCAAATCATAACCTTTTGTTTCTTTGGAGAGCAACATGCTGATACCATCAGCTTTATCTTAGACGCTTCAGATGTAGAAATGCCAGCTATGCTTTATTATAGGGGAAGGAAATGTCTTTTTAAATTACAAACTTGAGTCCCATGTGTGGCTAGTGTGTGCATGCATATAGCTTACATGAAACCTACATGCTTTTAAACACAAAAACAGAAATGTGTAACTGCTCCTAGAATCCAACCGAATCCAAAGTGGGAGAACAAAAAGGGGGCCTTAGGCAAACCAAAGGCAAGAACACCACCTTCTCTTCTCATGTTCCCTTCTGGGTACACAAGGATCTCGGGAGGTGATGTTTGAAATGACTTGCATGTGAGAGTTTGTAATAAACACAAGACATTCTTGGCATGGTTGGGAATATTTGCCATCAGAGTTGGATGTTAGATGACATTATACGTTTTCTTAGTTGTGATAATGGCATTGTGGTTCAGGAGATGCAGACTAAAGTATTTAGGGGTGAAACATGCCTGCAGCGTACTTTCAAATGGCTCATAAAGTGCATGCTCGGACGCACACACTTAAGAGGCACACACAGAGAAGGCAAATATGACAATGTTAATTGTAAAATGAGGGTGTTCTTTTTTCTTTTTTTTTTTTTTTTGAGACAGGGCCTTGCCCTATCACCCAGGCTGGAGTGCAATGGTGCAATCATAGCTCATTGCACCCTGGACCTCCCAGGCTCAAGCATTCCTCCCACCTCAGCCTTCTGAGTAGCTGGGACCACAGGTGCGCACCACCATGCTTGGCTTCATTGTACTATTTCTCAACTTTTATGTATTTAAGTTTCCATAATTAGAAGTTTTGGGGATGGGGAGGGGCTTCTATAATGAGAACTAACCAAACTAACCACGTGGATTTATTTCAGATAAAATCAGGACTGAGATTCACCCAGTATGGACTGACAACAACCACACCAATGGTTGAAATATTGAAAAGTCCCATCAGTTGGTGAGTAGCCTTTGCTCTGAGCCTCCTGGTGTCCTCCCCAGTGCCCACCCTCCAGCTGCTGCCCAGGGCCCCAGCACTGCTTGAGCACTAAACACCAGGCATCCGCTTTCATTGCAAAGGGTCCAGGCTGTACTGGTCATCAAACTTTACTTATTTTATTTATGACAGGGTATTGCTCTGTCACCCAGGATGGAGTGCACCACGTTGAATGCAAAGGGTCCAGGCTGTACTGGTCATCATCAAACTTATTTATTTATTTGAGACAGGGTCTTGCTGTGTCGCCCAGGCTGGAATGCAGTGGTGCAATCTTGGCTCACTGCAAGCTCTGCCTCCCGGGTTCAAGCAATTATCCTATCTTGGCCTCCTGAGCAGCTGGGATTAAAGGCACCCACCGCCACGCCCAGCTAATTTTTGTATTATTAGTAGAGATGGGGTTTCACCATGTGGGCCAGGCTCAAACTCCTGACCTCAAGTAATCTGCCCGACTCGGCCTCCCAAAGTGCTAGGATTACAGGCATGAGCGACCGCACCCAGCCATCAACAAACATTTTAAAACTGTGCTTCTGGCCATTCACGGTGGCTCATGCCTGTAATTCCAGCACTTTAGGAGGCTGAAGCAGGAGGATTGCTTGAGGCCAGGAATCAAGACCAGCCTGGGCAACATAGCAAGACCCTGTCTCTACAAAAAATTTAAAATTAGCCAGATGTGGTGGCGTGTGCCTGTACTGCCAGCTACTTGGGAGGCTGAGGTGGGAAGATCGCTTGAGGCTGGGAAGTTGAGCTGCAGTGAGCTATGACTGCACCACTGCACTCTAGCCTAGGTGACAGAACGTGGCCCTGTCTTAAAAATAAATAAATAAAACATTATTCTTGCATATTCTTAACTACTGGCCATACTCCACCAATCTCTCGTCTTGGCCATCTTTGTCCACATAACTTGTTTCTCATGGATATGAACAGGAAGAGCCCTGTGGCACACAGGTTAAGTGCTCAAGCTGAGTTTAAATCTTGGCTGTGCCACCTCCCATCTGTGGGACCCTGGACTAGTCACTTTACCTCTCAGAGCCTCAGTTTACTTTACTGCAAATTGGAGATAATACAGTCAGTTCTTCAATAATCCTTGTTTTGAAAATGCAAATGTGTTTCAATGTGAATGATGTATTAGGAAATAACTTGAGCAGGCTGGGTGCACTGGCTCACGCCTGTAATCCCAGCACTTTGGGAGGCCAGGGCGGGCAGATCACCTGAGGTCAGGAGTTCGAGACCAGCCTGGCCAACATGGCGAAACCCCGTCTGTACTAAAAATACAAAAAAATTAGCTGGGAGTGGTGGTGCACACCTGTAATCCCAGCTACTGGGGAGGCTGAGGCAGGAGAATCACTTGAACCTGGGAGGCAGAAGTTGCAGTGAGCCAAGATTGTGCCACTGCATTCCAGCCTGGGTGACAGAGCAAGACTCCATCTCAACAAAAAAAAAAAAAAAAAGGAAAATAACTTGAGTATAACTCAATGTCAAGGTTGCTCACATGTGCAATTTTGTCTCCAACCAACACTAGGTGAATGCAGAAGACTCTATCTAGCTGAAGCACGGGAACACACAAAACACCCACCTTCTCCAGCTGCCTCAGTTCACATGTTACAAACCTCACCCATCCACACCTGGTGTTACAACTTCCATCTCATTTCAGACAATTCTCCTTCCACCACTTATAACAAGCCACAACCCTTTAGAGACCCATTTCCACAAGCAAAATTCTTTTTGTCTAATGTATTACGATGAAGTTCTTGAGTGCTGAGCTCCTAAACCCACTTTCCCATAAGCCTGGTGGTTTTGGTTTTTGTTTTTGTTTTTTGAGACTGGGTGTCACTCTGTTGCCCAGGCTGGAATCCAGTGACACAATCATGGCTCACTGCAGCATTGACCTCCCAGGCTCAAGCGATCCTCCCACCTCAGCCTTCTGGGTAGCTGGGACCCCCAGGTAATTTTTTTGTACTTTTTGTATTTTTTGTTAGGATGGGGTCTCACTCTGTTGCCCAGGCTGGTCCTGAACTCCTGGGCACAAGCGATCCACCTGCCTCGGCCTCCCAAAGTACTGGGATTACAGGCTTGAGCCACCGTGCCCAGCCTAAGTCTGGTGTTTTTCATGGGCAATTTGACATAGTGTGGTGATTTTGAGGAAGACCTACATCACAGGGTATGGAGTGAAGTATATATAAGATCTGTATACGGTGCGGGTTAGCCCAGAGCCAGGCCAGTTGTAAGTGGTCCATAGATGTCAGCTGTGACTGTTCTCTCGCTCTGAATGTAGACAGAGCCTGGTGCATAAAAGATGCCCAGTGAACATTTATTGAATTTTCCTTGATGGGTCTATGGCTTATTAATCTTAGTGAACTAATTAAAGAGACTTATCTATCTCTCCCATATGTTGGAGAGGGACAAACCATAAATTAGAGAGGAAGCTTCCAAGTTCTAATGGAGCCCCGCCCTTCCATGCATGGCACGAAGAGGATAAGAAAGGCAGTGTCCCTGTCTGCTAGGCCTGCCCGATTAGGTGGTAAGCAAGGCAAGGACATATGCGATTGGCCGTTGTGTGGCAACACGGGGCCAATTTTGAGATAAGGAGCCTAGACCCTGAGTCCTTAAGTCAGGGTCCCAGTGTAGCATTAAGTGGTTGAGAGCCCCAGGTCAGAGGTCAGACGACCCAAGTTCAAGCCCCAGATCCACTTATCAACTATGCCACCTTGGGCATGTGATTTCACCTCTCCTGCCTGCCTCGATTTCCTCATATGCAAAACAGAAATAGTGATGGTCTCTATTTCCTAAGGGGATGGGATGATTCAACAAGTTAATCCACGTAAAGCCCTTTAGCACTGTCAGACACAGAATAAAAGCTCAATGGGCTAGGCACGGTGGCTCGCGCCTGTAATCCCAGCACTTTAGGAGGCAGAGGCAAGAGGCCAGGTATTTGAGACCAGCCTGGGCAACATAGTGAGATCTCTTTACAAAAAAAAAATTTTTTTTTTTTTTTGAGAGGGAGTCTTGCTCTGTCGCCAGGCTGGAGTGTAGTGGTGCGATCTCGGCTCACTGCAACCTCCACCTCCTGGGTTCAAGCGATTCTCCTGTCTCAGCCTCCCTAGTAGCTGGGACTACAGGCATGCGCCACCACGCCCAGCTAATTTTTGTATTTTTAATAGAGACGGGGTTTCACCATGTTGGCCAGGATGGTCTCGATCTCTTGACCTTGTGATCCACCCGCCTCCACCTCCCAAAGTGCTGGGATTACAGGCGTGAGCCACCGCGCCCGGCTACAAAAAATTTTTTTAAATTAGCCAGGTATGGTGGCACGTGCCTATGGTCCCAGCTACTCGGGAGGCTCAGATGGGAGGATTGCTTGAGACTAGGAGTTCGAGACTACAGCGAGCTGTGATCTGCACTGCACTCCAGCTTGGGTGACAAAGTGAGACCCTGTCTTAAAAAGAAAAAGAAAAAAGGGCTCAATACACATTAGCTGCTATTCTGGGATTCTAGGGCTGAAAAAGAAGATCAGAGCCTGCGTAGGAAAGCGTAGGTGTGAGTAGCAGCCAGGGAAGGTCTGAGTTGCCTGGGACTGCAAGGCAGAACAGCCAGGAGCTAACTTCCACCAACCACGCGCCCCGAACCCTTTCTCACACACCAGCCCGCACTTAGCCGTGTCCATGGAAGAAATGAGAATCAGCTCTGTCTCCTGCACATCATTTCCAAAAGACGGGAGAGCCTCCTCCACTGGCGGGGAAAGGATTCCTATGGAACCTGACGCAGGAGTTGGCTGCACGGTCTGGTTTGCATCACTTCGTCTCGGTGGAAGCTGATGGAGGCAGAGGCACTTATCTGTCCTTCAGAAGATAAGGTCTAAAAAACTAGAGACCAGCTCTAGCCTCTGCCTTCCCCTCCCAGCTTATCTCCCGCCTGTGAGCCCATCTACCCACCAGGCCCTGCCACACTGGGCCTCTTGCCCACTCCACACACTGCGCTCCTTCCTGTCTCAGGCTCTCAGCCCTTGCTGTTCCTCTGCTTGGAATTCTCTTCCTACTGCTCTCTTCATGGTGTCCTCCTTTCTACCACTAGGTACCACACAAACATCCTCCTGCCTGATCCACTCCTCAGCTAAAGGGGCCCTGCACCACTACCCCAGGCACTCCCTACCCCGTTTCACTGCTTTACATCCTTCTAGAATGTGCTGCCCTCTGAAATCCTTATTTATTGCCACGTTCCCTGAAGGTGCGAGGCTGGTGCCTGGCCCACAGCAGGCTCTGAATGAATCTGGATGTCAACTGGCTGGTACCCACCTGAAGGCAGAGGCAGAGTCATTCAGCTGTCCATGAACATCCCCTAAGGGCCCTCTATGTGCTGCGGACTGAGCTTTGGGCTCCGGGAGTGGGGATGGGACACAAGAGACCCAAATACTTACCTCTGAGGTCCTTCCAGGCACAGGAAAAGATGTAGTCAGAGGGGGTCTAGCCAGGCGATGTCTTGTGGAAGACAGGCCCAGTCAGGAAGGTGACAGTTTTAGGACAGGAGGCAGAGCTCCCCAGAGCACACACCTGGTGGTGGCAGAGAGGGCTAGGCCAGGTGGCCCCAAAAGCCCTTCCAACTTTATGATTCTGAGGCAAAGATGAAGAAAGCAACATAATAGTAGCCAAGAAAGGACCCCTAATTGACAGGGAGGAAAGGTCTCCAGATAGACTTGGACCTGAAAACAACCGGGGGCATGACAGCAGCCATCAGAGGCTACCATTTTCTTTAAAAAAAAAAAAAAAAAAGCCAGCTGCGGTGGCTCACACCTGTAATCCCAGCACTTTGGGAGGCCGAGGTGGGCAGATCATGACGAGCTCAGGAGATTGAGACCATCCTGGCTAACACGGTGAAACCCCGTCTCTACTAAGAATACAAAAAAATTAGCCAGGCGTGATGGCATAAACCTGTAGTCCCCAGCGTGAGCCACCGCGCCAGGCCCCAGCTAATGTTTTTATCTTTTGTAGAGATGGGGTCTCCCTATGTTGCCCGGGCTGGTCTTGAACTCCTGGACTCCGGCGATACTCCCACCTTGGCCTCCCAAAGTGCTGGGATTATAGGTGTGAACCACCACTCCCAGCCATGGATAAAATATTTTAATTATGAAATTACATGTGCAGGTTGGGCACAGTGGCTCATGCTTATAATCCCCACACTTTGGGAGACTGAAGCGGGAGGATCTCTTGATCCCAGGAGCTCAAGACCAGCCTGGGCAACATAGTGAGACCCTGTCTCAATTAAAAAGAGGAAAAAAAAAAAAAGAAATTCCATTTGCAGAGGGTTTTCTATGAACACCTGATAGGCCACGGTACAATTTAGAGGCATCTTACCATGTGCTGCCTCAAAGGAATCAGAAAGCAGCCAACAGACATTGAAGTAGGAAGAGCAAGAGCATGATTTTGAAAAAAAGTATACACATAAATCTAACTGTATGAAACATTTCTATAGGCATATTTCAGTAGTTATTGATATAGATGTATTTGTAATGAATACAGAAATAGCTGTGTGGAGTCATTCAAATATCTGAGGACCTCCTCTATGCTGGGCAGAATTCTGAGCCCAAGCCCTAGAAGTACAGCAATGAACAAAACAGACCCACCCTCAAGGAGCTCATATTCAAAGAGAGGGAGACAAGCAGATCATGAAATTGAATAGTAATCAGTGCCATGGAAAAAAGGCAGGGTAGGCGGTACAGTGACAAGGGTATAGATGTGAGCTATTATCCAAGACAGACTCTGCTGAGAACTGGGGCAGTTTGAGCAGAGACTGGAAAGAGATAAGCAAGAGTGGCATGAGGATGCCTGGGGGAAGGGTGCTCTGGGCACAGGGAACAGCAGGCACCATGGCCCTGAGGCAGAGAGTGTTGGATAACGATTTACTTTAGTAAAATGCCATTACTTATACTTGCATTTATATTACAACATATAAGATAATAATAGAGACCTTACTTCTAGGAGGATGTATACAAAAATGTTCCCCGGTGGTGATATCTAGATAGTGACTTTACACACAATTTAAATATTTTTGTTCTTTTTATTAAGAGATGGTATCTCCCTATGGAGGCTGGACTTCAACACTTGGGCTCAACTGATCCTCTCACCTCAGCCTCCAGGGAACACCTGGGACTATAGGCATGTACCACTGCACCCAGCTTTTTTCTTTTAGCTATCTATATTTTCCAAAGTTTTCCCCACAACTAACATGTATTAGCTGCAAAATGACAAATATCAATGGAAAGTCCAAGGTATTAAGAGCTGTTGCCAAAATCACATGAAGGTAAGAGCTCTGTGGAGAAACTGGATCCTCTCTAAGGAACAGATTTATGCTTAACTCATAGAAACCTAATTACGCAACTGATCTTGTTTTCCTCTTTGCTCAGAGTCAAATCTGTGGTCTGCTTTTAGCAGGGATCTAGGTCTGTGGCAAACACATCACTATCCAACCTTCTTCCTATACTCATCTTTTTTCTTAAATCGTAATTAAGCCGGGCGCAGTGGCTCACGCCTGTAATCCCAGCACTTCGGGAGGCCAAGGCGGACAGATCACCTGAGGTCAGGACTTCGAGACCAGCCTGATCAACGTGGAGAAACCTTGTCTCTACTAAAAATGCAAAATTAGCTGGGTGTGGTGACGCATGCCTGTAATCCCAGCTACTTGGGAGTCTGGGGCACTTGAACCCGGGAGGCGGAGGTTGCAGTGAGCCAAAAGCGTGCCATTGCACTCCAGCCTGGGCAACAAGAGCAAAGCTCCATCTCAAAAAAAAAAAAAGTAATTAAAATATTTTATAACATATTTTTAGAGATGGGGGTCTCTCTATGTTGCCCCAGCTGGTCTGGAACACTTAGGCTCAAGTGATCCTCCTGCTTCAGCCTCCCAAGTAACTGGCAATACAAGTGCACACTACCACACCCGGCTCTCCTCTTATCTTTTATTCTTATTTCTCCTTTGCCCATTTCCTTAACCCTATCTGAGAAATACATATAGCTATTATGCAATTATGCATCTGGGTGCCCCAAACCTCAAAATTCTTTGTTGGAGAGGTAGGAATGAACAAAGTAAATAAAAAAACAAACAAACAACAATAACAACAAAAGACCAAGATACAGACAAGAGATTCTTAATGAAGTCTTGAAAAAGAAATGTTGTTTTGGGAAGTCTTGTTACTATGAGAAAGAGAATCCCCATCTCTGGGGAATCCCAACTTTCTCATTATTGAAACTTAATGGTCTAGGCCGGGCACGGTGGCTCAGGCCTATAATCCCAGCACTTTGGGAGGCTGAGGTGGGTGAATTACCTGAGGTCAGGAGTTCAAGACCAGCCTGGCCAACATGGTGAAACCCTGTCTTCACTAAAAATACAAAAAAAATTAGCCGGGCATGGTGGCACACCCCTGTAATCCCAGCTACTCGGGAGGCTGAGGCGGGAGAAGTGCTTGAGCCCGGGAGGTAGAGGTTGCAGTGAGTTGAGATCATGCCACTGCACTCTAGCCTGGCCAACAGAGCGAGACTGTCTCAGGGGAAAAGAAAAAAAAAAAGAAACTTAATGGTCTAAAATGGAGCAGGGATGGTCTGGTTCATCGTGTTCTATTATGAAAATAAAACGACCCTAAAACTTTCTAAGTGGCAGATCTCCCTGTCACAGCAGACCACAGCTAAATGAACTTCTCTGGGTCTCAGTTTCCTCATCCAAAAATGGGGTCTAGGCGGGGCGCAGTGGCTCACACCTGTAATCCCAGCAATTTGGGAGGCCGAGACAGGCAGATCACTTGAGGTCAGGAGTTCGAGGTTAGCCTAGCCAACGTGGTGAAACCTTCTCTACTAAAAATACAAAAAATCAGCCGGGCGTGATGGTGGGTGCCTGTAATCCCAGCTACTCGGGAGGCTGAGGCAGGAGGATTGCTTGAACCCAGGAGGCAGAAGTTGTAGTGAGCCGAGATCACACCACCGCACTCCAGCCTGGGCAACAGAGTGAGACTGTCTCAAAAAAAAAGGGGGTTCTAGACCTTACTACTCCCACAAAGTAACTGGGAGAATTATATGTTACTATACAAATGCTCAGGGCAATGCCCCACATATAGTAAGGCTATGTCAGTGTTAATAATAATAGCAATTATGTTTACCCATTATCAGTAATAACTAATTGTAATTCTGAGTGCACACATGACATTCTATATTGTTCATCTCATTTAATCTCCCCCAAAACCTTATGAAGTAGGTTCTACTAATGCCATTTTACAGAGGGAAAACATTGACCGGAAGACAAGATGCCCTTGAAAGAAATCCTGCTACTGGTCCCCTGGATTTTGGGAGAGCCTGGGCCAGTTTTCTCAAGGAAGGGAAGCGGTGCATCCGGCAGTTAGGGACAAGTTGTGAATCTTTGCCCTGCCATGAAATAGTCAAGGGGATGTCTCAGAGCCACAGTGTCTTCATCCATAAAATGGGGTAATATAAATTTTTTTGTTTTGTTTTGTAAACAGAATCTCACTCTGTCGCCCAGGCTGGAGCACAGTGGCGTGATCTCAGCTCACTGCAACCTCTACCTCCCGGGTTCAAGCGATTCTCCTGCTTCAGCCTCCCAAGTAGCTGGGACTACAGGCGCGCACCACCACACCCGGCTAATTTTCTGTATTTTTAGTAGAGAAGGGGTTTCACCATGTTGGCCAGGCTGGTCTCAAACTCCTGACCTCATGATTCGCCTGCCTTGGCCTCCCAAAGTGCTGGGATTACAGGCATGAGCCACCGTGCCTGGCCGATATAAAATTATAGTAGGGGTGATGTGAAACACTAAACGATCTCACATATGTAAAACTAAATGCATACCAGTAAGTGAAGGGTTCCCAATCAATAAATAACTGAAGGGTCTTCGATTATTTGACACATAGGAGAAGATTAACTAAAAACCAGGCACAAGATAGAAAGAGAAACTAGATCCAACTGTGACAGGGAAATTTCCCATGAGAGGAAAACAAATCTTTTAAAAAGTGTTAAATATCTGAAAATCATGACATGTCTAGAAATACTTAAAGAAAAAAAAAAAAGGAGACAGGTCACCTGTCTTGAGGCAAACAAGCAAAGACAACTCAGGAGCCCTCAGGTTCATGATTAATTGCCCCTACAATTTTGGGATTTCATTTAGAATCAAATAACTAAAATGCCTTACATACCTGCTGGATCCGTTACCAAACTCCAGATGGATTAATCATTGACCAAATCCCCCCTACCTTTCCAAAAAAATTAAAAAGCAGCCAGGCGCAGTGGCTCACGCCTGTAATCCCAGCACTTTGGGAGGCCGAGGCGGACGGATCATGAGGTCAGGAGATCGAGACCATCCTGGCCAACATGGAGAAACCCTGTCTCTACCAAAAATACAAAAATTAGCCAGGTGTGGTGGCAGTTGCCTGTAGTCCCAGCTACTCAGGAGGCTGAGGCAGGCAAATCGCTTGAACCCAGGAGGCAGAGGTTGCAGTGAGCCGAGATCACGCCACTGTACCTGGCGACAGAGCGAGACTCCATCTCGAAAAATAAAAAATAAAAATAAAAAAGCAATTTAATTCCACATTCACAGCAAGGAAAGTCCCCAAAATTCTCAGTTGGCCCAACCTAAAAGTGAAACTGCAGCTGCCTTATCTCCATGCTGGATCTGTTTTCTGCTCAGCTTGAGTTTCATGCTGGCTTCTCCGCAGACAGCAGGAGGGTTTGGTGATGCATTTTAATATTGGGCTGGGCAAGTTAGAAATAAGGGAGTTGGGTTTGCAGAGTCATAAAAGTGATGCCTCTTTCCAAAACCATGTAAGTTAACTTGTCAAATCATCCACTAGTCTGCATTATCCAGTCTACCGTCACCGCACTAGGAGCCAGAGATCTTGGATACAGCAGGTGGCCAAGGACTACCTGAATGGAAGAGTGAATGATGGGTGAACAGATGAACAGACAGACAGAAGGAAGGGGCTCCCTGGCCACCTAAGGTCTCCTCTCCAAATACACTGGAATCCCTCCTCCACCACTGAGTTGCTGGTGCTTGTTACACACCTTGCATATTTTGCTTGCTTTCCTTCTCCAAGAACACACAGGGAGTTTGCAGGCCTTAACTTCATTTCCCTTCACCTGTCTTGATAGACCCTGAGATTGGCTCTATGTTATTTTATTTTATTTTGAGATGGAGTCTCACTCTATCGCCCAGGCTGGAGTGCAGTGGCGTGATCTCAGTTCGCTGCAGCCTCTGCCTCCCAGTTCAAGCGATTCTCCTGTCTCAGCCTCCCAAGTAGCTTGGACTACAGGTGCACAGCACCATACCTGGCTAATTTTTGTATTTTTAGTAGAGATGGGGATTCGCCATGTTGGCCAGGCTGGTCTCAAACTCCTGACCGCAGGTGATCCACCCGCCTTGGCCTCCCAAAGTGCTGGGATTACAGGCGTGAGCCACCATGCCTGGCCAGCTCCCATTTTAGACTGGTAATTCCACTCAGAGTTAGCCCTAAATGTCATCTGGGATGACTCCTCAGAGAAATCTGATGAAAGATGTAGACATGATCCACATCTGTGAACTGATCACACACACACCCCTTTGTCTACAACTTCGGGTAGCTTCATAGCCCATCCCCCACCAAACCCAACCAATAATCATCTTTTTTAACAAGTAAACAAACAAAAAAACCCATCAAATCTCAAATCTCTTGACTCAAAACCTCTGGGAGGGAAAGCCCCTCAAAGTCTCCACTTTTAAGCTCTCCATGTGTCCGCCATCCCCCCAACCAGCTCTGGCCCAGGTTTGGAAACCTGCTCTCGCCCAGGTTGTCCTTGCAGTGGGATCCAGGGACCACCAGTTCCAGCACAGGATGGGCTTATTTTAAAATGCAGATTCCTGGACTCACCCCAGACTTAAACATCAGAATCTCTAGGGGTGCAGTCTGCACTTGTAGTTAGTTTTGCAGGAGGTTTTGAAGCACATTAAAGACAGAGAACTGTTTCCTTGGACTTCACAGGGTTAAAATGTCAGACAGGCAAAGGCCTATAAACAACTGCTAATGAACTAATCAGCATTTCAAATCCTGGAGCTGACAACGGTAACCACTTTCCCAGAAGTGGGGGAGGAGGGCCGAGGGAAGGAGACCCCTCCGCAGATTTATTCTTCCCTCCCCTACTTCCAGGTCCCACAGTTGACTTCCAGTTCCCTTGCCCCTCTCACTCTGGGAGGTCCTCACCTTTCCTCAACTGCCTCAGCAGTTGCCTCTGCCAAGCCGGCTGTTCCTCTCTCTAAACCTCAGTCTCTTCATCTGTAAAGTGGGGAGGAGGCTAGGGGCCAATGGACTGTGGCCATAAGGGAATTTGAGGTGTAAACCCACTCCCAAGGCTCCTGTCCCATTTTCCCAGCTGAAATTGGACTTCTTCCCCCAGCACCCCCACCAGGCATTCTCCAGGATTGGCAGGCTGTGTTTGTTTCTCCCCTTCTGTCTCCAACTATAATGTGAATTCCACACATTGTAGGGAGTGGGGATTTTCTTCTGGCACAGGGTTGGCTCAACAGCCAAGAGTGAGTTGGAGTTTTGGGCTCAGTGCCTGGCTGGTACTAAGCACGCAAAACAGGAATAGCTGTCACCATAATTTCTCCTCAATGTAAAAAGCAGGGGAATTGAACGCTTTAAATTAAGCTACTTTTTACAATTGATTTATCTTCAGGAAGCAAATAGCCTTGCTGTGGGGAAGAGAGGAATCAAACTTTTTAAAGGTCCCTTACTGTTTAAAAAGATGGCCAGAGAGATCCATCTAAGCTCAGCTGGTTTGGGGCTTTTTTTTTTTTTTTTTTTTTTTTTTTTTTTGAGACGGAATCTTGCTCTGTTGCCGAGGCTGGAGTGCAGTGGTGCTCACTCTTGGCTCACTCCAACCTCTGCCTCCCAGGGGTTCAAGCGATTCTCCTGCCTCAGCCTCCCAAGTAGCTGGGATTATAGGCGCCCACCAACACGCCCGGATAATTTTTATGTTTTTAGTACAGACTGGGTTTCGCCATGTCGGCCAGGCTGGTCTCAAACTCCTGACTTCAGGTGATCCTCTGGCCTTGGCCTCCCAAAGTGCTGAGAATACAGGCGTGATCCACCATGCCCGGCCTGTGTTTTTGTTTTGTTTTGTTTTTGTTTCTGAGAGGAGCAAAATGTGATTGAAAGTTTTAGGAATCTGGCTTCCTCCTCTCCATTATAATGCACTCCCTCACTGCAAAAGTCCCCAAAAGATGGACATAAGTCACCTCCACTGGGGGTTATGGGGTAACCCTGCAGCCTAATCCTCCCACAGCAAAGAGCCCCTCATCAAACTACTCACTGAGTGGCAACTACATGCCAGGCTTAATGCTGGGGGCTGCGAATACTTCCCAAGTACCCAGCCTGGTGGGGGAGCATAAAGGAACCCAGGGGATCCCAACTGGCAAAGGGAAGGAGTAGGACGTATCCCGACACAGGCCTTGGGGATGAGGATCAGAGAAGGCTTCCTAGAGGTAGCAACAACGAAGATGGCCCTGAGAGAGAAATGAGCCAGGCAAGGAACACTGGGAGGTGTCCCCAGTGGAGGGGTCAGAATATGCCAGAGCCAGCAGCGCCATTGGAAATGGGAGTCCATGGCCCCACCCTGGGCCAAATGGAGCAGAAGCCCAGGGGAGGCCCAGACCTCTGTGCTCAGCTCAGAACCTGAGCAGGCAGGCCAGTGCCCATGCTACTAACCATCAGGCTCCACTGCCCAGAATGGAGAGGGGAGGCAGAACTGGCAGGAGGAGGCAGCCGGTGGATCTGGGCTAAAGGACCAGAGGAGTCCCAAGTGAAAGACAAAGTCCTGGTGATGGGTACAAGGCCCTCCACATGCTGCCACCCCCTCTGCCCTTCTGCCAGCCCCTGCCCCTTGATCACTGACCTTGCCCTTCTGCTCAGTGTCAGGGGTGTGTCTTTGCTGTTCCCTCCATCTAGAACGCCCTCCCCTCCGTCTAGAACACCCTTCCCTACCTAGTCACATGGCCTGATCCTTCACCTCTCTTGGGTCTTTGCTCAAATGTCCCCCTTCAGTGAGGCCTTCTCAGATCACCCTAGTACTTCCCAGCAATGCTCCATTCCGATTCATCTTTCCTACACACCTGTCTCCACTCAGTGCTCTAAATATTTTGCACATTGATTATGTTTATTGCCTGCTCCCTGCAATACCTGAGAATACAAATTCCATGATGGGGGACATTCATATGTGTCTGGGTCTCTGTGTCCGCCATTCACAACAGTGCTTGGCGCATAACAGCCCCTCCATCATTACTGAACAAACGAATGGAGGATAGACACATGGATGGGTAGGATGGGTGAGATGGGCACCTAGAAGCAAGCTTGAGGAGAAGGGGATTTGGGATAAACATGTGGGGGCAGGGGAGAGGGTATGGGATAGCCCAGCGGGGCTGCCCCAAGCCTGATGTATCAGCCTAGACCACTCAGGCCTCTCCAAGGGCTGCCCCAGGCAGCGGGAGGGCAGAGGACCTGCTGTCCGGGTTCTCCAAGTTCTCCCAGCTTGCTAGCCTTCAGGCCAAAAGGGCCTCACCCAACCAGCCACACTATTGTCCTTCTGCAGTCCTGCCAGGCTCTGTTGAGCCCTGTCTGCCTCAAAGGCCCTGTAGGAAGAACCAACGAGGGAGTTTTCTCACAGCCCCTACCCTCCTGTGTGACTCGAGGACCGGAAGTTCAGTTTCACTTGACCTATCTGAGTCACCATCCAAATATACCATCTGTCATATTCCTGTCTCCCAGTCTCTGCACAGGAGGTCCCGCCCCCACCTCTCTAGGCTTGGGGCATCCCCCTCTCAGCCAACAACAGAGGCTGAGAGTCTCCCCGTATTCCTGTTCACATACCACCCCACATCCCAGACTCCCCCTGGCCTCCCCACTCTGGGGAAGCTCCACCAGCTGACCCAGCCCACACAGTCCCACCCCACCTGAATTCTAAATGAGCCCATTGTCTGACGACTTGGCATCCCAGTGTTTTCTATCACCCCTGGGTCAGCTCCAAACTCCTGGAAACAAGGCTGGTAACTGACACAGAGCACACAGAAGGCACTCACACACTGTGCGGAAGAGAACTAAACCTCAAGGTGTGTGTGGTGGTCTGTGATATTATTAATAAAGACACCTTGCCCAGATTAAAGAGAAAGAATGGGGGAGAAACATTCTCCAAGGCCTGTTATAAAGGAGGGGCAAAATTCTCCAAGGCCTGTTATAAAGGAGGGGCAGGAGACGGTTATACTTTACAAGACAATTCACATTCCCATCTTTGGAAAACTAGAATTTAAAATACTTTAGAAGGGCTGGGCGTGGTGGCTCATGCCTGTAATCCCAGTGCTTTGGGAGGCTGAGTGGGGGAGGATCATGGGGTCAGGAGATTGAGACCATCCTGGCTAACACGGTGAAACCCCGTCTCTACTAAAAATGCAAAAAAAAAAAAAAAAAAAATTAGCTGGGCGTGGTGTTGGGCACCTATAGTCCCAGCTACTCAGGAGGCTGAGGCAGGAGAATGGCATGAACCCGGGAGGCAGAGCTTGCAGTGAGCTGAGAGCGCACCATTGCACTCTAGCCTGGGGGACAAGAGCAAGATTTCATCTCAAAAAAAAAAAATTAAAAAAAAAAAAAAAATATATATATATGGAATACTTTACAAGACAGTTCACATTTCCATCTGTGGAAAACTAGAATTTTAAAAACTCAGCCGGGCACGGTGGAAAAGGGGATTTTAGGGGCTGCATGGGTGGACCTTGGCATGAGGCTCCTTTCTAGGCCAAAGTGATGGATCTAGAATGGAAACATTCTTAGAAATAGAGCCGCTGAGCACAGGAAGGATAAAAGCCAGCCAGGGCGGTACACACTTTTCCTTCCCAGCTCCCCTAGCTGTAGAAGCTTCTGTTTATGATTTGGAAATGGAATTGTCAGGCCCGGCGTGGTGGCTCACGCCTATAATCTATAATCCTAGCACTTTGGGAGGCCAAGGCAGATCACCTGAGGTGAGGAGTTTGACACCAGCCTGGCCAAAATGGTGAAACCTTGTCTCCATTAAAAAATACAAAAATTATCTGGGCATGGTGGTACGCGCCTGTAATCCCAGCTACTTGGGAGGCTGAGGCAGGAGAATCGCTTGAACTCGGGAGGCGGAGGTTGCAGTGAGCCAAGATCGCACCATTGCACTCCAGCCCAGGCAACAGAGCAAAATTCCATCTCAACCAAAAAAAAAAAAAAAAGAAAGAAAAGAAAATGGAATTGCCATAGTACCTAACTCTAAAGTTGATGCAAGGATTAAAAAAACAAGATCATACATGAACAGTTGAGTACTCAATCAATAAATGAATGCAACGACTATTGTGGTCATTGTATAACAATACTATTATTATTGGTAGAGATGGGGGTCTTGCTATGTTGCCCAGGCTGGTCTTGAACTCTTGGGCTCAAGCGATTCTCCTGCCTTGGCCTCCCAAAGTGTTGGGATAACAGGCATGAGCCACTGTGCCCCCTGTAATCCCACCACTTGTCGGAGGCTGAGGCAGGAGGATTGCCCGAGCCGAGGAGTTTGAGACCAACCTGGGCAACACAGTGAGACCTTGTATTTTTCAAAATAAATTAATTAAATGTAATTAGCTGGGCACGGTGGCTCACACCTGTAATCCCAACACTTTGAGAGGGCTAGAGGGGCAGATCATCTGAGGTCAGGAGTTTGAGACCAGCCTGACCAACATGGTGAAACCCCATCTCTCTAAAAATAGAAAAAATTAGCCAGGCATGGTGGCAGGCGCCTATAATCCCAGCTACTCAGAAGGCTGAGGCAGGAGAATTGCTTGAACCCGGGAGGCGGAAGTTGCAGTGAGCCGAGATGGCACCAGTCTGGGCAACAGAGCAAGACTCCATCTCAAAAAAAAAAAAAATTGCACTCAAATGGATGTTGGGTCAAAGGAGCGTCTTATTCTTTAGGAGGTCAAGAGCAAAGTGATAAGGGGGTATCACTCTTCCTCATACTCAATCCTCTGTGGCTCCTTTGACACTTACACTACCCGCCCCCCGCCCCATGCTTTTTCACTCCCTTGACACAAGTCTAAAGCAGAAACATCTAATGAGAAAAACTAATTTGTTTTTTTAGAGATCGATTCTTGAGACATTGACCAGGTTGGAGAGCAGTAACTATTCACGGGCACAATCAGCATGCACTGCAGCCTCGAAACTCCCAGGCTCAAGTGATCCTCCTGCCTCAACCTCCCAAGTAGCTAGGACTACAGATGTGTACCACGGAGCCCAGCCAATAAAAACTAAATGAAGAGTGGTTGCTACGTACCAGGCACTGGAAGCACTTCGCACATGCTAACTCATTGAATCCTCATTGCAATCCTTTGTGGTAGGGGCTATGTTTATCCCCTTTGTACAGGTGAGGGGACTGAGGCACAGAAAGATTAAGAAACTGGCCCTAGGGAATTCCCATTTGGGTCTCTCTCTCTCTCTCTCTCTCAAAAAAAAAAAAAAAAAAAAAAAAAAAGAAATAAAAAGAAGCCTACCCTAGGCAAAATGGGGTGGGGTTGGGATAGAGGGGAGGGACACAAAAAAATTTGAAAAAAAAGAAAGAAACTTGCAGGCCAGTGCAGCAACTCACATCCGTAATCCCAGCACTTTGGGAGGCTGAGGCGGGCAGATGGCTTGAGCTCAGGAGTTCAAAACCAGCCTGGGCAACATGGCAAAACCTCGTCTCTACAAAAAATACAAAAAAAAAAAAAAAAAAGATTAGCCTGGAGTGGTGGCATGCACCTGTAGTCCCAGCTACTTGGGAGGCTGAGGTGGGAGGATGGGGATGACTTGAGCCCAGGAGGCAGAGGTTGCAGTGAGCCAAAATTGTACCACTCCACTCCAGCCTGGGTGACAGAAAAAGGCCCTGTCTCAAAAAAAAGAAAGAAAGAAAGGAAGGAAGGAAGGAAGGAAGGAGAGAGAGAGAAAGAAAAAGAGAGAGAGAAAGAAAGAAAGAGAAAGAAACTTGCCCAAAATCACAGGAAAAGTAAGGGTCCAGTTGGGATTGGAATCCAGGCAATCCTGCTGCATTCCACCCTCCCAGTTCATCTTCTCTAAGAGAAGCTCATAGGCTAAAAGAGAAATAAATGCTGAAGAGTCAAATCTCTGTCAAAACCAGAAATGAAACCTCACATCTGGCAAGTAAAATGTGGTTTCCTAGGTTCAACAGCTTCCCAGGTATTTAAACACTCCCATGGTGGAAGTGAGAGGATTAGCAGAAAGAAGAATGAAAAATCATAACCAAATTACAAAGCCCAAAGAAAAATAAGTACAACTTACAGGAAGTTTCAAAATCAAAAACTCAGCTGGTTGCCATGGCTCACACCTGTAATCCCAGCACTTTGGGAGGCCAAGGTGGGCGGATCACTTGAGGTCAGGACCAGCCTGGCCAACATGGTGAAACCCTGTCTCTACTAAAAATACAAAAATTAGCCGGGCATGGTGGCGCTGGCCTATAATCCCAGCTACTCGGGAGGCTGAGGAAGGAGAATAGCTTGAACCTGGGAGGTGGAGGTTGCAGTGAGCTGAGACTCCAACACTGCGCTCCAGCCTGGGTGACAGAGCAAGACTCTGTCTCAAAACAAAACAAAACAAAAATCAGAGACTCAAAATACAGCTCTGAAACATCCAAAAACCTCAAGGAGTAGAAGAGGGCTTTGTTTTGTTTTGTTTTTTGTTTTTGAGAGAGCGTCTCGCTCTGTCACCCAAGCTGGAGTGCAGTGGTGCAAAACGCAGCTCACTGCAGCCTTAACCTCCTGGACTCAAGGGATCTACCTGCCTCAGCCTCCCATGAAGCTGGGATCACAGGCACACGCCACCATGCCTGGGTAATTGTTTTTGTATGTAGAGACAGGGTTTCCCTTTGTTGCCCAATCTGGTCTCCAACTTCTGGGCTCAAGCAATCCTCCCACTTTGGCCTCCCGAAGTGCTGGATTACAGGCATGAGCTACCGCACCCGGCCTCTTTTTAAATGCAGACTTGAGACAAGAAGGCAAAAGTTACAAGAAATACAACCACAAATTCTATTTTCTCCAGAAAATTTAGTCATGATTACAAGCCTGGGAGTTAGGTGGTAATGAAACCAGCCACATGAACGTCACCAAGCAGCTGTTATTTCTCCAAAACCTTTTAGCACGAAGCTAACAGAGACGAGATCTAGGGCTAGTATCTCCTGGGACTTATGAGTAAGAGCCGGCACCTAGAGTACCTGTCACTATAGAGGGTGATGTCACCGCTGATTCAACCTGATATTGAAAAACCTTACCAGGAGAGGCCTCTCAATGTCGGTGACTCAGGGCCCCACCCCACCTGTTCATAAAGTAAGTGCCCAGGTGTTTGCCTCACTGCTTATTCAAGGGATGATGTTTTCCAATAGGAAAGCCACAACTCTCCCCACCAACAAGTTGGTCATCTTGTTCCCTTTTTCAAACACTCCCACATAGTTGTGGTGAAGAATTTGTTGGGGAGGAAGCCTCGTACTGAAGGTGAGATTCCAAAGTAAGTACCAGGTCCTAGGAACACTCGTATACATGCACAAAAAAAAAAAAAAAATATGCCCTAAATGATGCCTGTTTAGAAAATATCATCCCTCTGCAGGAAGAATCTTTAGAAAACTCGGCTAGGCACAGTGGCTCATTCATGCCTGTAATCCCAGCACTTTGGGAGGCCGAGGAGGGCTTATCACCTAAGGTCAGGAGTTGGAGACCAGCCTGGCCAACATGGTGAAACCCCGTCTCTACGAAAAATACAAAAAGTAGCCAGGTGTGGTGGCACATGCCTGTAATCCCAGCTACACCGGAGGCTGAGGTGGGAGAATCGCTTGAACCCGGGAGGCAGAGGTTGCAATGAGCCGAGATCAGGCCACTGCACTCTAGCCTGGGCAACAAGAGCAAGACTCTGTCTCAAAAAAAAAAAAAAAAAAAATTTAGAAAACTCTGCTGGAGCAATATTCCTCTTGGGCAACATGCTGAGGGGTGGGGAGTGGCTTGGAATGAGCATTATTTCCTGGTTTGAATCTGATACCCTTTAAAGGAGATGTTCCTAAAGTGGCAGGTCAAAAGAGAAAGATAAATAAATAAAAAATGAAGGAGATGTGAAAATGAGCCCTCAGGATTCCTTCTCTAGAAAATGCCTGGCCTGGCCGGGCATGGTGGCTCAGACCTGTAATCCTAGCACTTTGGGAGGCCAAGGCGGGGGTATTGCTTAAGCTCAGGAGTTCGAGACTAGCCTGGGCAACGTAACAAGACCCTCTCTATTTATTTTAACAAAAAATTTAAAAATTAAAAGAAAAATGCCTGACTAGAGAACAGTCTTTTTCAATGACATGAATATAGACTTGAATGTAGAAGTCCAGTCCCCTCAAGATACAGTCCAATTCTATTTTTTTTTTTTTTTTTTTTTTGAGACAGAGTCTTGCCCTGTCACCCAGGCTGGAATGCAGTGGTACGATCATGGCTAAACCTCCCAGGCAGCTTCAACCTCCCAGGCTCAAGTGATCCTCTCACCCCAGCTCCCAAGTAGCTGGGACTACAAGCATATGCCACTACACCTGGCTAATTTTTGGATTTTTTGTAGAGGCGGGGTTCTATCATGCCCAGGCTGGTCTTGAACTCCTGGGCTCAAGAGATCTACCTGCCTTGGCTTGGGATTACAGTCATAAACCACCACACCCAGCTGACACAGTCCAGTTCTAACATCTATTGAGCACCTCACTTCTTCTTCTTTACACAAATGCCATCCTTCTTAGTGATGACTGCCCCTAAATTTCTCCACCCCAATGCATAGTTTTTATCACCCTTCCTGCTGAGTTTTATTCTTTCTTCCATACATCACCATCTACCTGTCCCCTCCAATTAGAAGAGAAATTCCATGAGGACAGGGCTTTTTCTCTGTTTGGGCCCCGCTGCATCCCCAATGCCTAGCAGAGGGCTTGGCAGGTGCTCAGCACAAATTCATTAAGTGAATGGACAGACAAATACCTCTGTCACCTGAGACCTTCAGAGAAGGAATGATCCATCCCTTTCACCTGGCTGCTCACAGACTGTTCTGTGAGTTGCCTTTTCCTGCTATAAAGAGCACAGACTTTGGAGTCCAACAGCCACCAGACATACGGCCAGGCTCTCCCACTTCCTGTGTGCATGACACACCTGTGTGCATGAGGGTTACAGGAGATGGCATACGGGAAGAGTTCAACATACAGAAAGCACCGCTCAATACACTGTTGCTTATGATCACAATACAGAGTACAACAACAAATACTTTTCTTTTTTCTTGAGACAGTGTCTCACTCTGTCGCCCAGGCTGGAGTGCAGGGAGGCAGTCACAGCTCACTGCAGCCTTGACCTCTGTGGTCTCAGGTGATCCTCCCACCTTAGCCTCCCAGGTAGCTGGGTCTGCCAGCTCATGCCACCAGGCCTGGCTAATTTTTAAAAATCTTTTGTAGAGACAGGGTCTCCCTATGTTGCCCAGGCTGGTCTCAAGGGATCCTCCCACCTCAACATTCCAAAGTGCTGGGATTACAGGCATGAGCCACTGTGCCCTGCCGAATAATTTTTTTTTTTTTTTTTTGAGACAGAATCTCGCTCTGTCACCCAGGCTGGAGTACAATGGCTCACTTGGCTCACTGCAAGCTCCACCTCCCAGGTTCAAGCCATTCTCCTGCCTCAGCCTCCCAAGTAGCTGGGACTATAGGCGCCTGCCACTACGCCTGGCCAATTTTTTTTTGTATTTTTAGTAGAGATGGGGTTTCACCATGTTAGCCAGGATGGTCTCGATCTGCTGACCTCATGATCCGCCTGCCTCAGCCTCCCAAAGTACTGGGATTACAGTCGGCCACCGTGCCCTGCCCCTGCCAAATAATTTTTTTTTAAGTATGTCTCAAATATTGCATGGGACATACTTATGCTAAATATTAGCCATCGTTTATCTGAAAGTCAAATGTAACTGATAGTCCTGTATTGTTATTTGCTAAATCTAGCCACACTACCCATTAAGCCATTACCCTGCTGAAGGCAGGACAGTCTAGGTTACATAAAGATTTGTAAGATGTGCCGGGCGCGGTGGCTCACGCCTGTAATCCCAGCACTTTGGGAGGCCGAGGAGGGCAGATCACGAGGTCAGGATATTGAGACCATCCTGGGTAACACGGTGAAACCCCGTGTCTATTAAAAATACAAAAATTAGCCGGGCATGGTGGCTAAAAATTAGCTACTCAGGAGGCTGAGGCAGGAGAATCGCTTGAACCTGGGAGGCAGAGGTTGCAGTGAGCCAAGATTGCACCACTGCCCTCCAGCCTGGGTGACAGAGGGAGACTCCCTCTCAAGAAAATAAGAAAAAAAAAAGATTTACAAGATGTTGCCCTACAGTACTCTCTCATGAATATTTATTGATCAGATGGATTTTGAAGCCATGAGATTTTTATCTTGGCCGAGATCTGATTAAGCAGGCCTTGCTTTTTTTTTTTTTTTTTTTTGAGACTGAGTCTCGCTTTGTCGCCCAGGCTGGAGTGCAGTGGCGCGATCTCAGCTTACTGCAACCTCCACCTCCCAGGTTCAAGAGATTTTTGTGCCTCGGCCTCCCGAAGTGCTGGGATTACAGGCGTGAGCCACCACGCCTGGCCGGCCTTGCATTTTTGTCTTTGAGCTTTTTGCGTCTCTCATCAAGCTCTTTCCAGGCTCCTCTGCACTGCCAAAAACTGGAAGAACAGACATCGGTTCTTGAACAATTCATGGGTCTGAAGGATGCTGAGATACCCAGGGGGCAGGTGTTGGGTGTATCTGAGAGCCTTGCTCAAGGAAGGTGTTACCCACACAATAGGAAACCAAACAGATGGCTCTGGCGGGCTCAGATATCTGCCTAGATTTTGATCTGGTGCTTCCTTACACTCAGAAGTGTGGGGTAGAAATGGCTCATCTGACCTTTAGACTCCAGACTGCAAGCTGTTTTGTGACAAGACAATTAGGTAAGGTTACATCAGGGGTGTGCAGAGCTCAGAGAAACTGGGGAGTGCCAACCAGAGGCACACGCCCTGAGAACACCCCTCCTCCCTTCTCTGTGGCTAATACATAAAGCCCTGTCTTTAAAAAAAGAAAAAAACAACTACAGTGAAATATCCTCTAGAGAGATCTGTTTAGTCCTGTCTGTATTAAATACACTCTGAAACCTCTCATTCATTCATTCCTTCGGATACTTACTGAGCCCTTATTATGTACCAAGCACTATTCTAACTGCAATTCAGCCCAAGTACAAAACAAAAGACATTAAAAATCCCTGGCCTCCTGAGGCTTCTGTTCTAGTGGGAGGAGACCCGCAGTGAACAGGAGAAATAAGTGAAATACATAGCATGTTAGACAGTGAAAAGTACTAGAAGAAAATTAAGTAAAAGAGGTGGGGAGGGCTGAGGGCAGGGTTTACTATCATAAATAGGGGGTCCAGATTGGGTGTGGTGGCTCACGCCTGTAATCGCAGCACTTTGGGAGGCCAAGGCGGGTGGATCACCTGAGGTCAGGAGTTCAAGACCAACCTGGCCAACATGGTGAAACCCAGTCTCTACTAAAGATACAAAAATTAGCCAGGCGTGGTGGCACATGCCTGTAATCCCAGCTACTTGGGAGGCTGAGACAGGAGAATTGCTTGAACCCGGGAGGCGGAGGTTGCAGTGAGCCGAGATCAAGCCACTGCACTCCAGCCTGGGTGACAGAGTTGAGACTCCATCTCAAAAAAAAAAAAAAAATACAAAAATACAAAAATTAGCCAGGTGTGAGGGCAGGCACCTATAATCCCAGCTACTCTGGAGTCTGAGGTTGCAGTGAGCAGAGGTCAAACCACTGCACTCCAGCCTGGGTGACAGAGCAAGACTCTGTCTCAAAAAATAAATAAATTGGGCCAGGCACGGTGGCTCATCCCTATAATCCCAGCACTTTGGGAGGCCGAGGCAGGTGGATCACCTGAGGTTAGGAGTTTGAGACCAGTCTGGCCAACATGGTAAAACCCTGTCTCTACTAAAAATACAAAAATTAGCCAGGCGTGGTGGCCCATGCCTCTAACCCCAGCTACTCAGGAGGCTGAGGCAGGAGAACTGCTTGAACCCAGGAGGCAGAGGTTGCAGTGAGCCGAGATTGCGCCACTGCACTGCAGACTGGATGACAGAGTGAGACTCCGTCTCTAAATAAATAAATAAATAAATAAATAAGGGGTTCAAGAAAGTCCTCCCTGAGGGCGGGAGTGACATTTAAGCAAAGGCTTGCAGTCTTTTCAGGACAGAAAAGAGTGAGCTGTGCAGATATTATGGGAATGGTCACAGCCAGTGCAAAGGCCCTGAGGTAGAAGAGTGTGTAGTGTGTTCTAAGTATAACCAGGAAACAAAGTTGTTGGGCAAAGTGAGCATGCAGAAGAGTGGGAAGAGATGAGGACCCCAGGTACATGAGTCAAAGGACAGATCAGTGAAGCCTCAGAAGTCATAGAAAGGACTTAGGCGCTTATTTTGTTTGAAATGGGGAACCATGGGTAATTTGGAGCAGGCGTGATATTTTCTAACTTAATTTTAAAAACCATCAACTCTGACTGATGGATGGAGAAAAGACTGGCTTGGAGGAAGGGGAAGGAATAAGTGGGGAGACCAGGAAGGAAGCTGCTGCGACAATGAAGGTGAAGACATGCTGAAACTTCTCTTTTGGGAATAGAGAAACAGCTGGGCGTCATGCCTGTAAATCCAGCACTTTGGGAGGCCAAGGTGGGAAGATCCCTTGAGCCCAGGAGTTCCAGACCAGTCTGGGCAATATAGCGAGATCCCTTTTCCAAAGAAAATTTTAAAAATTAGCCGGGCATGGTGATGTGTGTCTGTATCCCAGCTACTTGGGAGGCTGAGGTGGGAGGATTGCTTGAGCCCGGGAGGTCGAGGCTGAAGTGAGCCAAGATGGCTTCACTGTACTCCAGCCTGAGCGACAGAGACCCTGTCTTAAAAAAAAAAAAAAAAAACCAAGGAGAAAGAAGGTGTACAGGCGTACCTGAATGCCAAACCACAGAATCAGGTGCTCTTCTTCTTCTTGAACTTGCCCAGGTCAAATAAATTTGAAAGGCTTTTGGCTTGTTACAAGCTCTCCTAATTACAAAGCCAGCTAATTATTATCTAGAACTTGGCCAATTATCCCACGGGGTCCTGAGCTGGCCACCGTTTATGATCTTGCTCATGTGGAACAGGTTCAACCCTTCTAGGCAGGCCCCATTAGGTCCCAGTAGTAACTTTCCCTCTTTCAGCAGCAAGAGCCATGCCCCAGATGCCTGCCTGGCCAAGCGGCTTGAGTAGGTCTCATTTGGAACAAGAGTTTCTTTAAGGCGGTTTCCCTGTCCCTACACTCCCAAGTCTTGAAGGCCAATATAAGTGGATTTTCTGGGACCCAGAGAGTTGAAAGAGACCGAAAGGAAGAGAAGCGCTGTTCAGCTAGCATTTATTTGGAAGTGAAGGTCAAGAGGGAAACCGGCTGAAACTGCCCATAAGCAAAAGACAAAAGAGGCCTTCCAAAGGCAAAAAAAAAAGCTGAATTCTAGCATCACAATCAAAATTAGTGAGAGGCAGGCCAGGCCTGGTGGCTCACACCTGTAATCCCAGCACTTCGAGAGGCCAAGATGGGAGGATTGCTTGAGCCCAGGAGTTCAAACCACTGCACTCCAGCCTGGGCAGCAGAGCAAGACTCTGTTTCTTAAAAAAAAAATCATAAAATAAATAAAATAAGTGAGATGAAAAAGGTACAATGACAGCTTCTCCGAAGGGAAGAAGGGAATTCGTTTCCTTTAGAAAGATGAATCAAGTCCCACTGGAGATGCTGAGTTTGGCGTTTCCTTTAGAAAGGTGAATCAGGTCCCACTGGAGATGCTGAGTTTGGCAACAGTGTAGTAGAGGGAACAGGATGAGAGACCTGGTTTTGGAAGGAGAAAGGCCTGGCCTGCAGCCCCAGCACTGCCATCACCTGGCGGGGTGACTTGGTGGCAAGCAGTGCAACCTCTGAGCCTGATTCCTCTTCCACAGTAGGGGATGATGAAAATTCCCACCTTGGACTACAGGGAGGATTAACTGTCAAGCGTGCAAGGTCACTGGCAGGACCCACTCTCTAACCCTGTGCAAATGGACACAAATAGTTGTCTTTCATCTGCTGGCCACCTTCAAGTAAACACTCTCCAAACAAACACCTTCTATGATTTAATCCTCCAGCGTGTGAGGTCTCTGAAAACTCTCTGTATCTATTGACACAAGATTAAGGAAAAAAGATCACTATCCTATACAAATCCTTCTTTAAACTGGTACTTCACATTATTCCAAGCACAGAGCTGACATTCCCAAATACCCCTTTGAAAACTCCACCTCTGTGTCCTTCAGACACTCAAACTCAACATATTCCTCACCAAAAACTAATTTTCCTCCCCTGAATTGTTCCTCTTTCTCCTCTGTTTCCAGTGTTGGTCCAAAGGAACATTCTGGAAGCTGCTGGCATTACTTCTTGTTTAGAACCACTTAGTTGCTGGAAACCTTCCCCCAAATCAAAACTGTCTATTGGTAGGGCACGGTGGCTCATGCCTGTAATCCCAGCACTTTGGGAGGCCAAGGCAGGTGGATCACCTGAGGTCAGGAGTTCAAGACCAGCCTGGCCAACTGATGAAATCCCGTCTCTATTAAAAGCACAAAAATTAGCCAGTCATGGTTGCAGGCACCTGTACTCAGCTACTCAGGAGGGTGAGGCAGGAGAATCGCTTGAACCCAGGAGGCAGAGGTTGCAGTGAGCCAAAATTGCACCATTGCACTCCAGCCTGGGCGACAAGAGCGAGACTCCGTCTCAAAACAAAAACAAAAACAAAAAAAACTGTTTTATCTTCAGACAGGCAGGCACATAACACCTCTCCCAACCTCTTTCTCAAAACCTCCACTGGGACAGTGGGAACCGACTGTCTCTAAACGCTGATGTGCAAATGGATCACAGTCTTTGTGGAAGGCAATATCTGCCAAAATTACAAATGCACATACCTGGACCCAGCAGGCTCACCTATGGAAATTCATCTTCCAGATACACCAGAATGTGTAGAAAAAAAATGTATATCCCAGGTTACTGTCTGAAATACTGTCTCCTAAAAGATAGGACACTACCCAGTGTCTATCTATCAGGGACTGGCTAAATAACCTATGGTGCATCCATACCGCATAGCTATAAAAAGAAAATAAAAGAACGTACCCCATAAATATACACACCAACTTTGTACCCACAGAAATTAAAATTAAACATTTTTAAAATGGCCGGACATGGTGGCTCACGCCTCTAATCCCAGCACTTTGGGAGGTCAAGGCGGGCAGATCACCTGAGGTTGGGAGATCAACCTGATGAACATGGAGAAACCCTGTCTCTACCAAAGAAACAAAGTTAGCCAGGTGTGGTGTAGCATGCCTGTAATCCTAGCTACTCTGGAGGCTGAAGCAGGATAATCACTTGAACCCGGGAGGCGGAGGTTGCGGTGAGCCGAGATCATGCCATTGCACTCCAGCCTGGGCAATGAGAGCGAAACTCTGTCTCAAAAAAAAAAAAAAAAAAGTAAATAATTTTTAAAAATTTTTTTAAAAATTAAAAAAAATAAAAATGGGCCAGGCACGGTGGCTCACGCCTGTAATCCCAGCACTTTGGGAAGCCGAGGCAGGTGGATTGCTTGAGCCCAGGAGTTTGAGACCAGCCTGGCCAACATGGTGAAACCCTGTCTCTACTAAAAATACAAAAATTAGCCGGGTGTGTTGGCATGTGTCTGTAGTCTCAGCTACTCGGGAGACTGAGGTATGAGAATCACTTGAACCAGGGAGGCGGAGACTGCAGCAAGCTGAGATTGCGCCTCTGCACTCCAGCCTGGACAATAGAGCAAGATTCGGTCTAAGGAAGATATGTGTGGAGAGAGAGAGAGAGAACATACAGATACGTTGCTGGGAGAAAAACAAGGTACAGAGCAGTGCTATCATATGCTATGCTTTGTGTAAAAGGATCATATGTTAGGAATTTACGCTGGCATAAAGAAAGAAGACTATGCTTGTATTTCCATAAGGAAACACTGAAAAGGATACACAAGAGACTAATGAAATCTGTTCCCTGTGCCCCAGGGAAGAACTGGGTGAAGCGTGGTTTGGGGTGGGAAGGAGACTTCACTGTCTGCCATACAGACATATATACAAGCTTTTTCATATATATATGAAGATGTATATTTAAACTTATTTTTTAACCGGGTGAATAATTTGCCTATGAAAAGCCCAGAAAGAGAAAACCCTCCATGACCCACGGCCCAAGGCCCAGAGGTACCCTGGCCCAGCTGCCTCTGCAGCCTCATCCTGGGACCCTCTCCTCCCTCCTCTTTCTGTGCCCAGGAAGGCACAGCTCCAGCCTTCTGCCTCCATGACCCTGCCACACCTTTGGGTACCCCACTTCCTCCTCCTGGAGTGCCCTTTCCCTTTCCTTGCATGGAAGACACCCTCTTACTCATCAAGGCCCAGCAGGTGAAGCTGACCACTCCTGGCATCCCCTGAACACATTCTCATTCCAGTGGCATTCTTGGAGCCTACTGGAATTACCTGCTGAGAGGTCTCTCTTGGAGATTTTCTGGAATCTCCCTGAGTGTAGGGGGTGAGTCTTAGGCCTGGGTGCACTGGATACTTCTCTGGGTCCCCCACTCCCACACCCATCCACCCCACTTTGGTGTGTTTGTTTGTTTGTTTGTTGAGATGGAGTATCGCTCTGTTGCCCAGGCTAGAGTGCAATGGCACAATCTCCGCTCATTGCAACCTCCGCCACCCAGATTCAAGTGATTCTCCTGCCTCGGCCTCCCAAGTAGCTGGGATTACAGGCATGCACCACCACGCCCGGCTAGCTTTTTTTATATTTAGCAGAAACGGGGTTTCACCATATTGGCCAGGATGGTTTTAAACTCCTGACCTCAAGTGATCCTCCCACCTTGGCCTCCCAAAGTGCTGGGATTACAGGCATGAGCCACTGCACCCAGCCTCCCATCCACCCCTCCTTGCATCCATAGAGTTCTCAATCCTGGGCATGGCAGAAGCACCAGCCTATCCCTCCCTGATCAAGGGTGTGACCTGGGATCCCTGGCCTTGGGCTGGACAACCAGGTGCCCACATCCTGGCTGGGGTATTTACTCATCAAACATCTAGCCCCTGGGATTGTCCAGGGAAATGCATTGAGTGGCAGCAGATATCTGAGGAGCTTGCTTATTTATTTTATTTATTTAGAGATGGAGTCTCGCTCTGTTGCCCAGGCTAGGGTGCAGTGGCACAATCTCGGCTCACTGCATCCTCCACCTCCCGTGTTCAAGCAGTTCTTCTGCCTCAGCCTCCCAAGTAGCAGGGATTACAGGAGCATGCCACCACGCCCAGCTGAATTTTTGAATTTTTAGTAGAGATGGGGTTTCACCACGTTGGTCAAGCTAGTCTCAAACTCCTGACCTCATGATCTGCCCGCCTTGGCCTCCCAAAGTGCAGATTACAGGCGTAAGCCACCGCACCTGGCCTGAGGAGCTTTTAAAAACATCAAATTCAAGGCTGGGTGTGGTGGCTCACGCGTGCGATCCCAGCACTTTGGGAGGTTGAGGCAGGCAGATCACCTGAGGTCAGGAGCTTGAGACCAGACTGGCCAACATGGTGAAACCGTCTCTACAAAAATACAAAAAAAATTGCCAGGCGTAGTGGTGCATGCCTGTAATCCCAGCTACTTGGGAGGCTGAGGCATGAGAATTGCTTGAAGCCAGGAGGCGGAGGTTGCAGTGAACTGAGATCGTGTCATTGCACTCCAGCCTGGGTGACAGAGCAAGACTTCATCCCAAAAAATAAATAAGTAAGTAAATGTCAAGTTCAGATCTCCACCCTTGGAGATTGGCTCTCAGTGAATCTGCAAGAGGGCAAGTCTGCATGAAGTGCCCTAGGTGATTTGATTTTTAGCCACAAGGATCTCAGGGGCTGGGACAGAGCGTTTTTGGCAGCAGGAGAACAGACAGGTATTCTTAGGCATGTGCATCATGAAATATATATACATATATATATATATATACACATACATATATATACACATATATTACACATACATATATATATACATATATATATATATTTTTTTTTTTTTTTTTGAGACAGGATCTCTATCAGCTGGAGTGCCGTGGTGCAATCATGGCTTACTGCAGCCTCGACCTCCCGGGCTTCACGCAATCCCCCCACCTCAGCCTCCTGAGTAGTTGGGACTACATGCACATGCCACCACGCCCAGCAAATTTTTGCATTTTTTTGATGCTAGTACCACAGGTGCACGCCACCATACCTGGCTAAATTTTTTTTTTAATCTTTGTAGAGATGGGGGTCTCGCCACGTTGCCCAGGCTGGTCTCAAACTCCTGGGCTCAAGTAATCCTGCGGCCTTGGCCTCCCAAAGCACTGGGATTACAGGTGTGAGCCACAGCATCTATCTGGCCTGGATAACTTTTAAAAGCCAAGCAGAAGCTGACAAGTTCAAGATCATCCCGACTCCCCCGGCCCTAGCTGCGCCTTGCCCCACTCCTCCCACTCCAGTTCTACACAACCTCCACGAGCAGGTCCCCTTTCCTAAGCCACAACAAACCCGTTCCGGTCCACCCTGAGCACCCTGCACAGTGGCAAGCAAAAAAACGCCAGTTTCTTCCTAACAAGGCACTAGGCTTAGTCACTGTTTGCAGTGCACTGTTTGCTTAACACAGAAGCAGGCAGGGTGAAGAAACTGGTTTGGCTGGTTTGCTGGGTGAGAGGGAGCGCAGGGGATCTTTTGAACCAAACGTAAAACATGGGAGACTTTCAAACAGACAGCACCAAGTCCTCCTGGGGCTCTAATATTTCATATTCACTGAACGCTTGACATACCATCCTATGATGTCTCCATGCTATTATGCTCATTTTACAGAGAGGGAAACTAAGTCCTTGGCTGACATCCCTAGGCTGGGAAGTGACATTGTCTGGATTGAAATCTAGGCAGTCTGATTCAAGAACCTTCTGAATTTGGGGAAGATGCCACCCAAATCTTGGGCAGAAGTGGAGGATTGGAGGCAGGTAAGAGGAAGGAAGGAGGAAGATGAAAAGTGCAGAAAGGGAGGAGGCCTAAACCCCAGTCCCCCAAGAGTAACAAGAACAAGCTGGGACACTGAGATCCCTGGCCTAGGGAAACTTACATTAACAAAGAGGAAGAGAGAAAGAAAGGGAGATGGCTAGAGATGGGGATAGAGAGAGAAAGAGTGAGCATGCACCACAGATTTCTTTTTATTTGACCAAAGGTGGAAAACACTTAAAAATGGCTATATGCCCTCCCATTTCCAGACTCAGGTTTGAGATCTCCCTGCCTGCCCTGCACAGCTGTTCAGAGGGAAGCTATGAACACAGTATCCCCAGCACACACAGAGCATAATGGAAGGTTCTAACCCACCAAATTCTTCCCCGCCCATTTACAATCAACCTTAAGGGCTGGACCAAGTCCATAGAGTTTGAGAGGGAAAAATATTGGCCAAGATAGCGATTTATTCATGTGTTCATTCATTTGCTCAAAATAACATTGAGAGTTTACTGTGTCCCTAAGAAATATCAACTACTGTTGAAAATATTCTCTCTACTTTCTCTCTTTACATTCCTGCCCATTGGCATGTATGTTCCGTCCAATCTGCCGTAACCTCAGGGTCTAGCCTGGTGCTAACACACAACAGGCACTCACTTTTGTGAACTAAATGAATGTACATACTTAATTCTCATAATAGATCAATAAGTATTACCGCCCCATTTTACAGGTGGGGAAACTGAGACTCATAGAAGTAAAGTGACTTATTCAAAGTCAAATAGCTAGTGGCTAAAATTCAAACCTAGTTTCCTGTACTTCCTCGCTGAAGGATCCTAAACAGCCACTGCTGAATGATTTCATTCTCCTTTTTGAAAGCCTTGTGCCCTCAAAGGAGATAGAGCTGAGGCAGGATAGAAACCCAGGAAGGGGCCCGGCTCGGTGGCTCACGCCTGTAATCCCAGCACTTAGGGAGGCTGAGGCAGGTAGACCACTTTGAGCTCAGGAGTTCAAGACCAGCCTGACATCATGGTGAAACCCCGAATCTACTAAAAATACAAAAATTAGCTGGGCATGCTTCTGCGTGCCTATAATCCCAGCTACTCAGGAGGCTGAGGCTGGAGAATCACTTGAACATGGCAGGCGGGGGTTGCAGTGAGCTGAGATCCTACCTCTCTACACTCCAGCCTGAGCGACAGAGTGACACTCCGTCTCAAAAGAAAGAAAAGAAAAGAAAGAAAGAAAGAAAGAAAGAAAGAAAGAAAGAAAGAAAGAAAGAAAGAAAGAAAGAAAGAAAGAAAGAAAGAAAGAAAGAGACCCAGCAAGGATTGGATTGGGACAGGTGCCTCTCGGGGATTTTAGGGTTTGGGCAGCTTCTGGGAGATACGAGAGCTTCAGCCTCTGGCGTATCTGGGGCTACCTTGGAAGGGAATGTGTAACAGACACAAGGTGAGCATTTTGGAAGAAAAGCCTCACCCAATAAAAAGCCCTGGAGAGCAAACAGGGATTTCCATAACCACCTGGCAGAGAGGGGCAGGCAGGGCCCCACTGGGAGGAAGCAGCAGCCTGCCTTCTTTACATGGCCTTGCCGGGCCCAAGACTTTCCACCTCCGCACCTCCAGAGACACAAAGGCAAGGCCAGGAGGGCGGCCCACTGGTCTTCTTTCCCAGTAAGCTCAGATCAACCTTTGTCACAGACATGAGTAATTGGGGAAGTGACTTTTATGAGTTTGAGGGGTAGGGGGTGGGGATCTGATGATGTAAGGTGATCCCAAAGCTGGTTTCTGGGTTTGCTTTTTAAAAGTCTAATTGTATTAGGGAGGCTGCATACTGTTTTCTGAAACGTTCAGCACATCCTTCAGAAAGGAGGGGAAATGGCCGGGCACAGTGGCTCACGCCTGTAATCCCAGCACTTTGGGAGGCCAAGGTGGGCGGATCACCTGAGGCCAGGAGTTTGCCCAGCCTGGGCAACAAGAGCAAAACTCCAGATTGTAGACCAGCCTAACCAACATGGTGAAACCCTGTCTCCCATCCAAGTACTAGTACTAACCAGGCCCGACCCTGCTTAGCTTCCGAGATCAGACGAGATCGGGCGCGTTCAGGGTGGTATGGCCGTAGTCGAAACCCTGTCTCTACTAAAAATACAAAAATTAGCCAGGCATGGAGGCACACACCTGTAGTCCCAGCTACTAGGGAGGCTGAGGCAGGAGAATCACTGGAACCTGGGAGGCAGAGGTTGCAGTGAGCCGAGATCACGTCACTGCACTCCAGTCTGGGCAACAGAGCGAGACTCCGTCTCAAAAAAAAAAAAGGAGGGGAAATGGGTGTATTTAATCCACAAAGTTTGGGTGCCTGTGAACTAGGTCAACCCCTCAAGCAGCCAAACCTCAACACTGAAATATAGGCCCTGTGTTTCCAAGGCCAGATTGCAGAGCAAGCAAAGGAAGAAAACAATCACTGGGAAAGCCTGCCAGCTTTTCTTTTTTCCGCGCCTGAGTCAACTTACAGCTGTGGTTACTAGGCTAATACTTCAGAGATCCCAAACTGTCTAATAGCCTGGGTTTCTCAGACCGGTGTGTGCTATGAAGAAGGAAAATAAGCAGCAACTCTAAAGGACTGGGTTATTAGCCAGGCATGGTGACTCACACATGTAATCCCAACACTTTGGGAGGCCAAGGCAGGCGGATCACCTGAGGTCAGGAGTTTGAGACCAGCCTGACCAATATGATGAAATCCTGTCTCTACTAAAAATACAAAGGCATGGTGGCATGTGCCTGCAATCCCAGCTGCTCAGGAGGCTGAGACAGGAGAATTGCTTGAACTGAGGAAGCAGAGGTTGCAGTGAGCCGAGATCGCACCTCTGCACTCCAGGCTGGGCGGCAAGAGCAAAACTCCGTCTCAAAACAAAAACTGGTTTATTACAGTTGAGTTTGGTTTTTTTTTTTTTTGTAAAGGTCTTCATTCTAGAAGCTGGAGATAAACCAATGGAATAAATACAAGGTTGAGATCATGGGGTCAGCCACAGCATGGGGCAGAGGAATGACCCTAGCAAACACTCCAAAGTCCCCTGAGTTAAGACCCTACAGCTGCCTGTGCACAAAAAGTGACAGGTTTCAAGTTTCAAAATTCCCATGGAGTAAATTCTCCATGAAGCCAATGTCTAAACCTGGTGCCAATGTTACATCCATCCCTTCACTTCCGTGCACTGTCCAAAGAGAGTCAGGCCACATCCCAAGTCCTAGCGGCCTTTTAAAATCACAAGCCAGTTCCTCAGATTGAACGTGTGATTTTACCAGAAGGGCACTTCCATCCTGGGGCGACTCCACATTGGACTGATACAAGGAGACCCCACAGTCCAAAAAAGCCAAAACAAATATTAAATGTCAGGAAATCTGTTGTGTGGGGGTGGGGGTCTGTGAACATAAAGGGAACTGAAACCAACCACACCAGAGGCCTGCGGATTCTGTGTGAAGGCTGCCTCTTCCCACTAAATCACCAGTCCCAGGGTCCCCCGCCACCTCCCCCGGGTCTGACCCATCTCCATCATCACCACCCCCTCTCGGAGGTCCCACCCTGTCAACACCTCCATTCTCAGCTTACTTCACATTGGACACTAATTCCCCAAACACCTTTTTTCTTTGTTTTTGTTTTTTCAGGTTATTGAGGTGAAAAACAAGGAGAAAAAGGAAGAGAAAAGACCAACTGCGGATGCTTCAGATTACAGAATTGCTTTATGCCTCAGTTTCCTCACTTGCAAAGTAGGAAGAATAACAGTGCCCACCCTCCTAACGTTCTAGTGAAGACTAAATGAGGTAAAATATGTGAAGCACTTGCCCCAGAGTCTGAGGCAAAAGTGAATACGTGTCACTATTAATTATTAACATATTAGTGTTAATATGTAATAATATTATTGGTCAAACACAGGAGCTTAGAAGGGAGAAATAAAAACCAGACCAACCCACCCTTGGTGCTACCAAATATCTTGGTGCAGGAAAACAAAGTCACCAGCCTTAGCACTGGGACACCCCAGACGCATGCTCAGATACAAGCTTGTTTCTAGCCCCTGCCTTGCTCTCCAAGACTGGATCAAGTTTGCCTTCCCCGAGAAGCCACTCCTCAATGCCCACTGACATCAAAATATCCAATCCCCAGCACTCTGGGAGGCCAAGGCGGGTGAATCACTTGAGCCCAGGAGTTAGAGATAACTTCTGATCCAATAGAAAGCTCTAGAGCACACAGAGCAAATATACTTCATCAGTCGAGCTGTAGTTTCTCTGTAAAAAACTTCGAATGACTTCCAAAGTTCAAAAAAAAAATGTAAAGACAACAGCGTGATTGCTAAAGATTCATGTGGTCAAAGACTGGAAGAATGACACAGTGGAGGTGTTCCCTCAGGGGAATTGTGGGTGATTTCTCTTAAAAAAAAAATGCCTCTTATTGTGATACCCAATCAAGTAAAATCATGAGAGAGGAGAAAGTGGTTTGATATAAAGGAAGCACTTGGGATTCAGTGAAACCAGAAGAGAAACTAGCCCCTTCCCTTGCTCCCTGGACAACAGTCAAGTGGAACAAAGCAAACTCTAGATTGTCACAACGATAAGGCCTAGAAGTACATTGGGTGTATGCATTTTCATCCTGAGTCAGAACTACCATGCTTTTTTTAAAAAAAGATCATTATTCCTGGCCAGGCGTGCTGGCTCATGCCTGTAATCCCAGCACTTTGGGAGATTGAGGCAGGTGGGTCACCTGAGGTCAGGAGATCCAGACCAGCCTGGCCAACATGGTGAAACCCCTTCTCTGCTAAAACTACAAAAAATTAGCTGGGCATGGTGGTGGCACCTGTAATCCCAGCTACTCAGGAGGCTGAGGCAGGAGAATCACTTGAACCTGGGAGCCAGAGGTGGCAGTGAGCCGAGATCACGCCATTACACTCCAGCCTGGGCAACAAGAGTAAAACTCCATCTCAAAAAAAAAAAAAAAAAAAAAAATCATTATTCCTTGGGGGAAACAGTACCTGTATCAAGATGTTTTGGTCCAGGCACAGTCTCTCAGGCCTGCAATCCCAGCACTTTGAGAGGCTGAGACAGAAGGATCCTTTGAGCCCAAGAGTTCAACACCAGCATGGGCAACATGGAGAGACTCCTGTCTCTAAAAAAAAATTTATTTTTTATTTATTTTTTGAGACGGAGTCTTGCTCTGTCACCCAGGTTGGAGTGCGGTGGCACTATCTCAGCTCACTGCAACCTCTGCCTCCTGGGTTTAAGCAATTCTCCTGCCTCAGCCTCCTGAGTAGCTAGGATTACAGGCACACGCCACCATGCCCGGCTAATTTTTATATTTTTATTTAGTAGAGATGGGGTTTCACCATGTTGGCCAGGCTGGTCTCGAACTCCTGACCTTGTGATCCGCCCACCTCGGCCTCCCAAAGTGCTGGGATTACAGGCGTTAGCCACTGCGCCCAGCCTAAAAAAAAGTTAAAATTATCCAGGTGTGGTGGCACATGCCCATGATAACCAGCTACTAGGGAGGCTGAGATGGGAAGGATCACTTGAGCCCAGAGGATGGAGGCTGCAGTAAGCTATGATTGTGCCACTGCACTCCAGCTTGGGCAACAGAGCAAGACCCTGTCTTTAAAAAAAAAAAAAAAAAAAAAAAAAAAAGCTTTTATATCTGTAAACAAAAGCCACAGCCCAGTAACCAAGAGAGGGCTGCTCTTCAGTCATCCCAGAGATGGTGCTTAATGGGGCCTGGGAGTCAGATCCCAGTTCAGATATCTGCTCTGCTGACCCTGAGCAAGTGGACGTCACTCTCTTAGCCTCGGTTTGCTCAACTGTAAAACGGGAATACTCCTGCCAGGCCTTCCCACCCACCAGGTTTTTGCAGTCTGAAATGAGAGACTGTCTCTACAGTGCTGAGGGCAATAAGAGAAATACGAAGGCTTCTAGTAAGTGCCCTCAACCTCCTCTTCTTTATAACATAGTCAACAACCAGGCAGGGTTACCCCCTCCACCACAGTGTTCAGTCGTAAACGTTTGGATCCCCAAATCTGCGTAAATTCCAAGGGGTGTCGTTTGAGCCAAGGAGGGAGCTTGCCCATTGCAACCCAGGGGTGTGGGAGTGCAATTTCTCGGCCCCTTTCCAACCCCTCCCTACTCCGCCCAGGGACACCGGCAGCGCGCCCTCACCTCTGCCCAGGACGCGGCCTCTCTCCAGGTGGCGCCGGGGCACCGTGAACGTGTAGCTCTCGGCGTCAAAGCCAGGGTGGCAGGGCTCCGGCTCCTGGCAGAGCCAAGAGGAGACCTGGGGTGGGGGAAAGGTAGATGGAACCGGGTGACTCGGAGGGTTCCCTCCTGCTCACCGAAACCAACAGCGCCGCCCCTCCCTCGCTCCCGGCGTCGGGATTGGGGGAGGACCCCAGCCCGCAGCCCCGGGACGGGCGGGCAGCGACGTCACCCTCCCCCACCCCGAAACCTACGGCCGCCGAGCCCCCAGGAACTCCCGGGAGGGGGCCGCCGAGTCACCCCCTCAAGACCTAGCCCACCGTTCCCTTTCAGTCTCCTTTCTCATTTTATTGGAGATGTCTTTATTCTCCAGTACCCCACTTTCCTTAGACCGGGAATGCACCACTCCTCAGAGCGAGGGGCGCTCCCACCTCCTCCGACCTCACTTTCTTATCCCCGGGACCCTCACTCCTATTTACGACCTTTCTTGGCATGGCAGGTGCCTTTATTTCTACGGATGCCCCTCTCCTTCCCTCGAAGATCGTCCCCACGACTCCTGGCTCCCCCTCGACTTGCACCAGGGCACCCCTTCTCCACACCCCACCCCCTACACCCCGCTTCACGCCCCCACCGCCCGCGCGAGCCCACCCCGCGGACTCCGCGGCCAGACGCCCCCGCCTCGGTCTGCGCTGGAGGGGGCAGGAAAGCCGCGCTCGCCCCTCACCACCCACCCCCCACTCCCATCACTGGGGGGTCCGGAGCGCGCGAGGCTTCCAGGCCGCTCCGCTCCTCAGGACCCGAACTTTCTTGGAAGAAGGGAAGCGGTGACGACGGGAGAGGAAGGGGCGCAGGGCTGGGGCGCGGAGCTTGCGGCCCGAATGCGTCCCTCGCAAGTCAGGGGATCCGGGGTACCTGCAGCAGCAGCAGCAGCGCCGAGAGGCTGCGGCTCCAAGGGCCCATGGCTGGCCGGGGACGCCGAGCGAGGGCAGGCGCCGGGTGCGGTCGGGTCGGGCCGGGCTGGAGCGGGCTGGAGTCTGAACTGACTTCCGCAAGCTCACAGGTGCTTTGCAGTTCCGACGCCACTGAGAGGGGGTGCGTGGCTGCAGCCAGGTGAGCCCCGGAGGCACCGCCCCCCGTACCGCTGATTGGCTGAGGGTTCACCTGCCGGCCACAGCCAATCAGCAGCGCGGACCCCTCCCCAGGGCGGAGCTGACGGCCCGCCCACCCGGCCTCGCATAGACGCGGTGACCCTCTAGCCTGGAGTTGCTAGGGTCTAGGTGGGTTATGGGACCTGCACGGTTCTGATTCCACTGGGTTCGAATCCCAGCCCCGCCGGTGGCTCACTAAGACCTGGGATCAGAAAGGGCTTTTACACTTGGCTGAGTTCTTTTGTTTTTTGGGATTTTTTGTTTGTTCGTTTTGGAGATGGGGTCTCACTCTTTCACCCAAGCTGGAGTGCAGTGGTGCGATCACAGCTCACTGCAGCCTCGAACTCCTGGGCTCAAGCGGTCCTCTGGCCCCAGCCTCTCTAGTAGCTGGGAGTACAGGTGCACACCACCACGCCAGGCTAATTTTTTTTTCTTTTGCCTTTTTGTAGAGAGACAAGTCGGGGCGGACAGGGGCAGTGGGGGCGCTGTGTCTCCCTGTATTGCCCAGCCTGGTCTCGAACTCCTGGGCTGAAGCGATCCTCCTGCCTTGGCCTCCCAAAGTGCTAGGATTTCAGGTGTGAGCCATGAGCCACTGAGCTAGCAGCCTAATTTTTTGTTTGTTTGTTTTGTTTGTATTTTTTGAGACGGAGTCTCGCTCTGTCTTGCCCAGGCTGGAGTGCAGTGGCACGATCTCGGCTCACTGCAACCTCCGCCTGCCGGGTTCAAGAGACTCTCCTGTCTCAGCCTATTGAGTAGCTGGGACTACAGGCGTGTGCCACCACACCGGCTAATTTTGTATTTTTAGTACAGACGGGGTTTCACCATGTTGGCCAGGCTGGTCTGGAACTCCTGACCTCAGGTGATCCACCCTCTTCAGCCTCCTGAAGTGTTGGATTACAGGCGTGAGCCACTGCACTCTGCCTCGAGCGGCCTAATTTTTTAAAAAATTTTTCTAGAGAGGGGATCTCACTATGTTGCCGAGGCTGATCTCAAATTTCTGAACTCAGGCGATCCTCCTGCCTCAGCCCCTTTACTGAGTTCTCATTTTTTAATCTAGTCTTTTTTAACTGTAGAGCTTCATGGGTTAGTGAGTCAGCAAATTGATTCCCTAGGTCAGGACCACCTCCCAAAGCCTCAGTTTCTCCACCCTCCTAATGGGAATAATGATCAGAAATGTCTCCCTATGCTGTTGTGGGACTCCCATACAATTAAAATGACAAATGTTTCTTGAGCCATAAATGCTCTGTACAGAAGTGAGGGGTAAAAATAGTAACAATAGGGCCAGGCATGGTGGCTCACGCCTGTAATCCCAGCACTTTGGGAGGCCGAGGCGGGCAGATCACGAGGTCAGGAGATTGAGACCATCCTGGCTAACGCAGTGAAACCCCGTCTCTACTAAAAATACAAAAAATTAGCCAGGCGTGGTGGTGGGCGCCTGTAGTCCCAGCTACTCGGGAGGCTGAGGCAGGAGAATGGCATGAACCTGGGAGGTGGAGCTTGCAGTGAGCCGAGATCGCGCCACTGTACTCCAGCCTGGGCGACAGAGCAAGACTCTGTCTCAAAAAAAAAAAAAAAAAAAAAATAGTAACAATAGGTGCTGGACATTGAAGATTACTGTGCCAGTCTCTGTGCTAAGCATTTGACACTGACCAGCTCTTTTTTTTTTGAGACGGAGTCCTGCTCTGTCGCCCAGGCTGGAGTGCAATGGTGTGTTCTTGGCTCACTGCAACCTTCGCCTCTTGGGTTCAAGCGGTTCTCCTCTATCAGCCTCCTGAGTAGCTGGGATTACAGGCATGCGCCACCACGACTGGCTAATTTTTGTATTTTTAGTAGAGACAGGGTTTCATCATGTTGGCCAGGCTGGTCTTGAACTCCTGTCCTCAGATGATCCACCTGCCTCAGCCTCCCAAAGTGCTGGGATTACAGGCATGAGCCACCGTGCCCAGCCACTGACCAGCTCATTTAAGCTCATTTCAAAACAACCCAAGAGCTGTATTATTATTCCCATATGATAGATGGGCAACTGAAGCTTAGAGAGATTGAGGCCAATGAGAGGTGGCGCAGGACTGGAACCAACCTCTCTGATTCCAGGGCCTTTCTTCTAACAATCAGCTTCATCTCATGTGGTCCCAGTCTTCCAGCTGGAGCTGCAGTTTTCAGTCTGTTTTTTGATGTTGACCTGGAAGAGACCTTTAGAGTTCACCCAAACCTATGATTTGCAAATAACTTGTTCAATGTCACATAGGCAGGTCAATGTCAAAGCCAAAGACCAAAACCCAGGATCTTCTGACCCCCAGAGTGGGGCTTTTAATGCCACAGCCACACCATGGCCACCATCACCTTCTCCAGAGAATTCTGTCCCCAGTGAAATAATTTTAGGATCAAAAATAGAATAGATAGGGGCCAAAGGTCTCAGGTCCTGGGCCAGTGGCCCTCCAGCACCCGCCGTCCTCCATCAAAAGACAAAAACAGAATAGACAGGCAAATGTTAGGTTAGACAACTTCCCTGTCTGACTCCCTGTGGCCAGCCACGTCTGGGTGGCTTGTCTACCCCGACAAGGGCACCTCCTTTCCCTTTATCCTTCAAGCATGGTTAGAACTACACAGCATTAAGTGGAGTCAGCCACTCACTAGCCCTGTGACCTTGGGGAAGTCAGTGTTCTCCTTTGTATAAGTGAATTGGCATGAGCTAATACAAAAACAATCGCTAAGCAGAGTTCTTGGCTCATCATAGCAACTGCTCAATAAATATTTGGAGTAGGGGTTACTCTTTCAAAAGGCCCAGCCCCTATTTCGCTTCCTCCTGGGGAAAGCCATGTTTGGAATATTTCACCCAGAGCTAAAGGTGCCTCTGAGTCCATCAAGTAATTTCTCAAATGCAGACGATTTCTGGGCAGCCCAGCACCGCCCCCCCCAACAACCTGTCCCCTCAATTTTAATGAGTTTCCAATCAGGTCTTTTGGATGTCGTATTTTGGCTCCCTCTGCTCTTAACCCACCAGGAGGCTCAGAGGGAGAAGGCTCCGGTATTTCCTTTCCCACTAGGATCGTGCCTTGAACAAGATAATGGAAATACAGAAAGAGGCGTTTCCCCCATGGGGCTGTACTGTCTGCTTATTTTTTTCCTCTCAGTTATGTAAAAATACATATTTTATACCATCGCTGGGCCCTGGGAGCCTTTAGGGCTTTACTTTCTTCTACCCAGCAAGCCTTGGCCTCGTAACTCTGCAGCGACTCTCATCGACTCTTCCATTACACTCTGATAATTCAATAAAAAGGATTTTAGAAAACAATTAGGGGCAGCAAAGTCAGGTCAGGCCTGATGCATTCTTCAGACTTCTCGGCAAGTCCTTCTCCAAGCTCCAAAGACAGTAGATCAGGTGTCCAGGGTGAGGCGGGAACACAGAGGGGCTCCTTGTGGAAGACAGGTGCTGTGTGACTTTCGCAACACACTGAATTGCTTCTCTGTTTCCTATTTATTTATTTAGTGACAAGGTCTTGCTCTGTTGCCCCGGCTGGAGTGCAATGGCGCGATCTCGGCTCACTGCACTCTCTGCCTCCCAGGTTCAAGAGATTCTTGTGCCTCAGCCTCCTGAGTAGCTGTGATTACAGACACACGTCACCATGTCTGGCTAATTTTTGTATTTTAGTAGAGACGGGATTTCGCCATGTTGGCCAGGCTGGTCTCAAACTCCTGACCTCAAGTGATCCACCTACCTCAGCCTCCCAAAGTGCTGGGATTACAGGTGTGAGCCACTGTGCCTGCCCTCTGTTTTCTCTTGTATCAAACAGGGATACCTAAGCAGGCCTGGTGGCTCACAACTGTAATCGCAGCACTTTGGGAGGCTAGTTGGGAGGTGAGAAGATTACTTGAGCCCAGGAGTTTGAGACCAGTCTGGGCAACATGGTGAAACCCCATCTCCCCAACAAATATTATTTTGAATTAGCTGGACATGGCAGTGCATGCCTGTAGTCCCAGCTACTCTGGAGGCTGAGGTAGGAGGATCATTTGAGCACTGGAGCCACTTCACTCCAGCCTGGATTCACTTCTGGCTCTGCCATTAGTTGAGAAGCATAAGTCATTTTATCTCCACCATCTTGGTTTCCTCATCTGTAAAATGGGAATGTTGATAGCACTTAATTCATAAGGTTCTTGTAAACACTCTGCAAAGGTGAGTGATTAGCCCTCTTGGCCCAATACATTCCCTTTCCAGTTCTAGGAAAAATTGTGAGCTGCCTGGAGCCTCCCCTCCCCCAGGCTCTCCTTCCCCCACCCCCGCCACTAAAGCTCCTCAGGTTATCTCTTGCATCTACTGGAGAAAATTCTTTCATGCCGGCCAGCTCATCATTTCGAACCTCCCAGGGCCATTTGCACTTTAAAGAGGGCTCTAGAGAAAGACTTTTCTTCTTTCAAAGGAGTTGTAAATGCTGTCCAGGGCTTTTAACCTGGTGTCTGTGGATGGGCTCTGGTGGGGTCCCTGAATCCCCTGAGACTGTACACAAACCTGTCCGTGCAGGTGATAAGGCCCATTGCTTTCCTAACATCTCAACTGGGGAAAACCCAAACTCCAGGAGTTGAGCTTTCTCTGAGATCTTGCTGAGATCCAGCGCTAACAGTGGAATTTCAGGCATCACTGGGGAAAAGAAATGTTTGGCCAGAGGCCTTGCCCTTCAGATCACCGCAGATAGATAAGAGACCCTGTCACCTGGCAGATAACAGACCCCGCATGATGGGATCACAGACTCCAGGTTTCCTTATGGCAGAGGACAGACTTTCACTTCCTGGGTGTTTTGGCCACTGGCCTGCCTGGAGGCTAAAGATTAATCCTTCAGGCAGTCTTGTCCCTTTCATCTCCTGGCAAGGGGTGCAGTCATAGGGTTCAGATTGGGGTGGGAGGTGCCCCTCTCCAGACCTCTGCTGAGAAGAGTCCAACCGCCAGCCCACTGGGGAGGAATCCCCAGAGAAACTGGAATTGCTAGGGATTACAGCCTGATCAGGCTCCTGGCTAGGTAGGGTAGAGGAGGCTCCCTTCCTGCTGCTCCTAGAGGCTCCTGAAACCTCTGCTGGGCTGGGCTGCCTGCCAGCATGGAGGGGCGGGAACTGGCTATACCGCCTCCAGTTGAAACGGTGCTAACTGATAGGGGTGCCGCCCTTCCAGTCTGCAAAAAAAAAAAAACAGTTTTATTTCAAACACAAAGTAAAGAAAATAGTGTAACACACACTACATATAGTATAATGAAACCACAGGTATTCATCACCCAGCCCCAACAGTAGTTTTTTGCAATTTTTAAAGTTTTTGTAAACTTTGTAATTGTACCAAATCTTCTTTCATCTTTCTACCTTTGCATTTTTATTTTTGTCTTTGCAGAATTTTTTGTTTGTTTGTTTTTGAGACAGGATCTAACTCTGTCACCCCGGCTGGAGTACAGTGGCCCAATCTCGGCTCACTGCAGCCATTACCTCCTGGGCTCAAGCCAATCCTCCCACCTCAGCCTCCCAAGTAGCTGAGAAGGCAGGCATGAGCCACCACACCAGGTTAATTTTTGTATTTTTTGTAGAGACGGGGTTTCATCTTGTTGCCCAGGCTGGTCTCAAACTCCTGAGCTCAAACAATCCACCTGCCTTGGCCTCCCAAAGTGCTGGGATTACAAACATGAGCCATCACGCCCAAATTGTATATATATATATGTGTGTGTGTGTGTGTGTGTGTGTATATGTGTGTGTGTATATATATATGTGTATATACGTGTGTGTGTATATATATATGTGTATATACGTGTGTGTGTATATATATGTGTATATATGTGTATATGTATATATATATATATATATTTTTTTTTTTTTTTTTTTTTTTTTTTTGAGACGGAGTTTCACTCTTGTTGCCCAGGCTGGAGTGCTGGAGTGCAATGGCGTGATCTCGGCTCACTGCAACCTCTGCCTCCTGAGTTCAAACCATTCTCCTGCCTCAGCCTCCCAAGTAGCTGGGATTACAGGCATGCGCCACCACACCTGGCTAATTATTCTATTTTTAGTAGAGACAGGGTTTCACCATGTTGGTCATCCTGGTCTTGAACTCCAGCCCTAATATATATATATAATTATTTTTTATAATTATATATGTATTTTATAATTATATATATTTTTATAATTATATATATATATATATATATATATATATATTTTTTTTTTTTTTTTTTTTTTTTTTTTGAGACGGAGTTTCCCTCTTGTTGTCCAGGCTGGAGTGCAATGGTAAAATCTTGGCTCACCACAACCTCGGCCTCTTGGATTCAAGCCATTCTCCTGCCTCAGCCTCCTCAGTAGCTGGGACTACAGGCATGCACCACCACACCTGGCTAATTTTGTATTTTTAGTAGAGACGGGGTTTCTCCATGTTGGTCAGGTTGGTCTCGAACTCCCGACCTCAGGTGATCCGCCCACCTTGGCCTCCCAAAGTGCTGGGATTACAGGTGTGAGCCACCACACCCGGCCCAAATAATATTTTAAAGCAAATCCCAGATAACATTTCTCCTGTAAATATCTCAGTCTGCATATCTGAGAAAGACATCTTTTAAACATGATCCCATGCCATTAGTAAAGCACCTAATAAAATTCACAGTAGTTCCTCAATATCATTGAATGGCTAAGCCACATTTTAAAAAATGTCTTTTAAACAATTTTTTTTGTTTGTTTGTTTTTGTTTTTGAGACAGAGTTTCACTCTTGTTGCCCAGGCTGGGTGCAATGACGTGATCTCGGCTCAACGCAACTTCCGTCTCCTGGGTTCAAGCAATTCTCCTGCCTCAGCCTCCTGAGTAGCTAGGATTACAGGCATGTACCACCAAACCCAGCTAATTTTGTGGTTTTAGTAGAGACGGGGTTTCTGCATGTTGGTCAGGCAGGTCTCCAACTCCCGACCTCAAGTGATCCGCCCGCCTCAGCCTCCCAAAGTGCTGGGATTACAGGCATGAGCCACCGTGCCCGGCTTTTTTTTTTTTTTAGGTGGAGTCTCTCTCTGTTGCCCAGGCTGGAGTGCAGTGGTGCAATCTCAGCTCACTGCAACCTCCGCCTCCCAGGTGCAAGCGTTCCTCCTGCCTCAGCCTCCTGAGTAGCTGGGATTACAGGCGCATACCACCAAGCCCAGCTAATTTTTGTATTTTTAGTAGAGACAGGGTTTCACCATCTTGGTCAGGCTGGTCTCGAACTCCTGACCTCATGATCCACCCGCCTCGGCCTCCCAAAGTGATGGGATTACAGGCATGAGCTACTGCACCTGGCAAACAATTATTAATAGTTTGGGTTGGGCGTGATGGCTCACACCTGTAGTCCCAGCACTTTAGGAGGTCGAGGCAGGAGGACTGCTTGAGCTCAGGAGTTCAGACCAGCCTGAGCAGCATAGGGAGACCCCATCTGTACAAAAAATTAAAAAAAAAATAGCCTGGTGTGGTGGCGCACACCTGTGGTCCCAGCTACTAGGGAGGCTGAGGTAAGAGAGTCACTTGAGCCCAGGAGGTCGAGGTTGCAGTGAGCCGAGATCACGCCACTGCACTCCAGCCGGGCAAGAGAGGAGACTCTGTCTCAGACAAATAAAAAAATGTGTTTGAATCAAGATCCAAGCAAGAGCCACATTTTACTTTTGTCTGTTATGCCCCTTAAGACTCTTTTTACCTATAAGCTTCTCCATCCCTTTTTGTTCATCTTTTTTGAGGTATAATTGACTACATATGTTTAAAGTATACAATTTGATGAGTTTTGGTATTTGTATACACTGTGAAACCACAACTATGATAGTGAATGTATCCTTTGTTTGTTTCTATTTTGATGTAATTCCAGACTTACAGACTTCTTTAAAAAACAAAACGAAACAAAACAAAAAACACACAGGGTCATTTGTTCTGTAGGATGTCCGGCATATATATATTTTTCTGAGACGGAGTCTCACTTTTTCGCCCAGGCTGGAATGCAATGGCGCAGTCTCAGCTCACTGCAACCTCCGCCTCCCGGGTTCAAGCAATTCTCCTGCGTCAGCCTCCCCAGTAGCTGGGACTACAGGCCAGCACCACCATGAGCAGCTAATTTTTGTATTTTTAGTAGAGACGGGGTTTCATCATGTTGGCCAGGCTGGTCTCGAACTCCTGACCTCAACTGATCTGCCTGCCTCAGCCTCCCAAAGTGCTGGGATTACAGGTGTGAGCCACTGTGCCCAGCCCTGCATTTTGTTTTTGGTTGAATGCATCTTTGAGGTGTCCTTAAACGCGTTCCTCAATCCCACATGTAACATGAACTACTACTGAGATATACAGGCTTGCCTTGATTCAGATCAGTATTTTAGGCAAAAATATTTTATAAGTGTTGCCGGGCGCTCCCATAGCATTGTATCAGGAAGCAAGAAGCTCTCTTGCTGATTCACTTTCAGGATGCTAAGCTTCTGTAGGTGTCAGCAGATCTCTCCATTATCAAATTCTCCATCAGCCCCTTCACCTTGTGGTTTTAGCACTGTGGATGATGGCTGTTCCCATCCATTAGCTCAAACAACAAACATTCATTAACCACTCCCATGTGCCAAGCATTCTGTTTAACACTAGGAACAAAGAGATAAACAAAATACGGTCCCTGCCTTTAAGAAGCTCATAAGGGGCTGGGCGTGGTGGCTCAAGCCTGTCATCCCATCACTTTGGGAGGCTGAGGCAGGCAGATCACTTGAGGTCAGGAGTTCGAGATCAGCCTGGCCAACTTGGTGAAACCCCATCTCTATTGAAAATACAAGGCCAGGCGCGGTGGCTCACGCCTGTCAATCCCAGCACTTTGGGAGGCCGAGGCGGGCAGATGACGAGGTCAGGAGATCGAGACCATCCTGGCTAACACGGTGAAACCCCTTCTCTACTAAAAATACAAAAAATTAGCTGGGCGTGGTGGCGGGCGCCTGCAGTCCCAGCTGCTCCGGAGGCTGAGGCAGGAGAATGGCAGGAACCCGGGAGGCGGAGCTTGCAGTGAGCCGAGATCGTGCCACTGCGCTCCAGCCTGGGTGACAGAGCAAGACTCCGTCTCAAAAAACAAACAAACAAACAAAAAACCTCATAAGGTACTGTGGGATGGAGACAAGTAAACACTTATCGTTTTATTTATTATTTATTGAAAGCCAATTATGTATCAGGCTTTGTGCTGGATGCCAATAATTGCATTATAATGTATGATAAAAGTGATAGCTACTATTTATTGGAGTGCACTATAGTACGCCTTGTCTCACCAGTCTTCATACAGCCGTTTGCTATAATACATACATACATTGTACAGATTTTGGGGTTTTGTTGTTGTTGTTTTTGGAGATGGAGTTTTGCTCTTTCTCCCAGGCTGGAGTGCAGTGGCGTGATCTCGGCTCATTGCAACCTCTGCCTTCCGATTTCAAGCGATTCTCCTGTCTCAGTCTCCTGAGTAGCTGGGATTACAGGCATGCACTACCACGCCTGGCTAATTTTTTTATTTTTAGTACAGATGGGGTTTCACCATGTTGGCCAGGCTGGTCTAGAACTCCTGACCTCAGGTGATCTACCCACCTTGGCTTCTGAAAGTGCTGGGATTACAGGCATGAGCCACCGCACCGAGCCCTGTTTGTTTTTTATTAGAGATGAGGACTCATTATGTTGCCTAGGCTAGTTGTGAACCCCTGGCCTCAAGTGATCCACTCGTCTCGGCCTCCCAAAGTGCTAGGTCTACAGGCGTGACCATTTTACAGATTTGGAAGCAGAGACTCACAGAGAAGTAAAGGGATTGGCCTGATGTTACACAGTGTATTAGTCAGGGTTCTCCCAAGAACAGAACAAATAGGATATATACAGAGAGAGATGAGAGGGGACTTATTAGGGAAATTGACTCATGGGATTATGGAGGCTGAGAAGTCCTAGGATAAGCCATCTACAAGCTGGAGAACCAGGAAGCTGGTAGCATTGCCCAATCCAAGACTTTCAGTCCCAGGCTGAAGGCCTGAGAACACTGGGGGGCTGCTGGTACAAATCCCAGAGTCAAAAGGCGAGAGACCCTGGAGTTCTGATGTTTAAGGGCAGAAGGCAGGTGTCCCAGCTCTAGAAGAAGAGAGAGAGAGAAAGTGAGTGAATTCACCTTTCCTGCCTGCCTTTTTGTTCTATCCTGGCCCTCAGTAGACTGAATGGTGCCCATCCACGTGGGTGTGGGTGACTTTTCCTCACTCAGTCCACTGATTCAAATAGCAGTCTCTTCAGGAAACGTCCTCCCAGACATACACAGAAATAATGCTTTATGAGCTATCTGGGTATCCCTTAATCCAGTCAAGTTGACACCTAAAAGTCACCATCACACACAATAAAAATGACACAGCTGGGGCGGGCGCGGTGGCTCATGCCTGTAATCCCAGCACTTTGGGAGGCCAAGGCAGGCAGATCACAAGGTCAGGAGATCGAGACCATCCTGGCTAACCTGGTGATACCCCGTCTCTACTAAAAATACCAAAAAATTAGCCAGGCGTGGTGGTGGGCGCCTGTAGTCCCAGCTACTCAGGAGGCTGAGGCAGGAGAATGGCGTGAACCCGGGAGGCGGAGGTTGCAGTGAGCCAAGATCACACCACTGCACTCCAGCCTGGGTGACAGAGCGAGACTCTGTCTCAAAAAAAAAAAAAAAAACAACCAAAAAAATGAAAGAGCTGGAATTTGAACCCTGGGCCACTGCCCTCTGCAGTCTCTTAATCTCTGTGCTATTCCACTAAGATCAGGGTGGGGTTTTGTTTCTGGGTGCCATTTGAACTGAGTGGCAAACCTTGCTTAATTTAGCAAGAAATAGTCTTTTGCGGGGACCTGAAATTCCAGACTCCGGGGCAGCCAAGAGAAGGAAGGCAAGAGGATGGCCTGAGCTCCCTGTTGTCCAGCCCAGCAAGAGCTCCCATGACAGCCACAGGTCAGGGGAGCAGGTGACCAGGGCTGGAACCAGAGGGGCATTTGGTCCTCTGGCCAGCCTATAGAGCAGACACAATCATCCCCATTTCCCAGAAGAGGTGACTGAGGCTTAGAGAAATGAACGACCAGTTTCATGGCAGAGGCAGGGAGGCTGGTGTTCTGGCTTAAGACCATCCTGGCACAGTGGTTCCCAGCATAGACTTCAGTTCCTGACTGCCTGCTTCTGAATTCTGCCCTTCTTTTTTCTTTTTCTTTTCTTTTTTTTGAGACAAGGTCAGGCTGGAGTGCAGTAGTGCAATCTCAGCTCACTGCAACCTCCGTCTGCCTCCTGGGCTCAAGCGATCCTTCCACCTCAGCCTCTTGAGTAGCTGGGACTACAGGCATGTCCCACCATGCCCAGCTAATTTAGGTATTTTTTTGTAGAGACAGTATTTCACCATGTTTCCCTGGCTGGTCTCCAGCTCCTGGGCTCAAGCAATCCACCCACCTCAGCCTCCCAAAGTGCTGGGATTACAGGTGTGAGCCACCATGCTGGCCTGAATCCTACTTTTCTACCTGCTAGTAATAAGCCTTTGAGTCAGAGCCACAGACTCTTTGGACTTCTAATTTCCTTATCTGTACAACTGAGAATAATAATGGAACCTACTTTGTTGAGTGATTTCAAGAATTAGGTGAAGGGCCGGGCGCGGTGGCTCACGCCTGTAATCCCTGCACTTTGGGAGGCCAAGGCGGGTGGATCAGGAGGTCAGGAGATCGAGACCATCCTGGCTAACATGGTGAAACCCCGTCTCTACTAAAAATACAAAAAATTAGCCAGGCGTGGTGGCGGGCGCCTGTAGTCCCAGCTACTCCGGAGACTGAGGCAGGAGAATGGCGTGAACCCTGGAGGCAGAGCTTGCAGTGAGCCGAGATCGGGCCACTGCACTCCAGCCTGGGCGACAGAGTGAGACTCTGTCTCAAAAAAAAAAAGAATTGGGTGAAATAACCTAACTAAACATGGCAGACGGGAGTGCAAATCAACGTGAACTATTATTTCCATATTCCACATTACTCAGGGGACAAGATTTTTCCTGAACCAAGTCCATGGGCAGCAGGCCCCTCCAACTTAAGTGGAGTGAGTTAAGCCCCCTGGAAAGTGGGGCTGCTGTCATGGAGCCCTGTGGCTGACTGGGTGTCCTCCCACTGCTCAGATACCTTTGGACCTGGCATCTCAAGAACAATAGATAAGGTGCTGCAGTTCATAACTGTGGAGGCCCAGGGACCTGTTGCTTCCTGTCCCCCGCTTCCAAGCAAAGAAGGCCCCACCCTCTTCTCAGAGCAAGGGAATCAGGTGCCAGAACTCTGTCTACTTGGGACGGAGAGATAAACCCTTCCCCAACCAACCCTCTGCTGGCTCGGCAGCCAATGAAACCACTCCCTGCCAAGTTCAGCCTAGCCCCACACCAAAGATGTTTGGAGACAAAGGGCTCTCTGATTTTACCTGCTGTCATTAAAATACTTCATTTTCTTAGTGTATGCCCGTTGAATCCTTGATGTGACATCCATATAGATTAATTCCCTTTCAAAAAAAGGGACTTTGTGGCTAACACCATTTATTTATTCATGTATCACATCCCAGGAGGTGGCCAGACAACGTAGTGTGGGGAATTGACAGGTCTCGAGACCATTTTTTTTTTTTTTAAATAATAGGGTCTCGCCTCTGTTGCTCAGGCTGGAATGCAGTGGTGGGATCATAGCTCACTGCAACCTTGAACTCCTGGGCCCAAGTGATTCTCCTGCGTCAGCCTCCCGAGTAGCTGAGACTAACAGGTATGTGCCACCATGCCTGGCTAAGTTTTTAATTTTTTATTTTCTGTACAGTCAGGTGCTCACTATGTTGCCCAGGCTGGTCTTGAACTCCTGGTCTCAAGTGATCCTCCTTCCTTGGCCTCCCAAACTGGTGGGATTACAGGTGTGAGCCAATGTGCCCAGCTGTAGGTCCTTGAATCCTTGATGTAAAGTCTATATAGTCTAAATTCCCTTCAAAAAAGGGACTTTGCAGCTAACATCATTTATTTATTTTTATTTACTTTTTTGAGACAGAGTCTTGCTCTGTCGCCCAGGCTGGAGTGCAGTGGCGCAGTCTTGGCTCACTGCAACCTCCACCTCCTAGGTTCAAGCGATTCTCCTGCCTCAGCCTCCCAAGTAGCTGGGATTACGGTGTGCGCCACCACACCCGGCTAATTTTTTTTTTTTTTTTTTGAGACGGAGTCTCGCTCTGTCGCCCAGGCTGGAGTGCAGTGGCCCGATCTCGGCTCACTGCAAGCTCCGCCTCCCGGGTTCACGCCATTCTCCTGCCTCAGCCTCCCAAGTAGCTGGGACTACAGGCACCCGCCACTATGCCCGGCTAATTTTTTGTATTTTTAGTAGAGACGGGGTTTCACCGTTTTAGCCGGGATGGTCTCGATCTCCTGACCTTGTGATCCACCCACCTCGGCCTCCCAAAGTGCTGGGATTACAGGCGTGAGCCACCGCGCCCGGCCTCACACCCGGCTAATTTTTGTATTTTCAGTAGAGACAGGGTTTTGCTATGTTGGCCAGGCTGGTCTCAAACTCAAGTGATCCACCCACCTTGGCCTCCCAAAGTGCTGAGATTACAGGCGTGAGCCACCGTGTCTGGCCTCATTTATTTACGAAATCCCAGGAGGAGGCCAGAACATAGTGTAAGGAATTGACGAGTCTTATGACTTGAAGCAAAATTTATTTCCTTCTCTAACTCTCAATTTATCTTCTGTAAAATGACTCAGTTAGCTAGAAGGAGGCTTGAGATCTCTTCTGCCTCTAAGAACCATGATATTGAGCTTCTTGAGATTGAAAACTGGCACTGCACAGGATCCCATTTTTTCCTTTTGGGGACCAGGAGTTCTCAAGCAAGGGGTGTTTACGGAATCATGATGCTGTTTATTGCTTTTCAGTATTTAGACTCAACCTCCAGACAAAGTACAGAAGATTTAATTATAGCTATAGAACAAAATGTAAATGTTATGAATAATATATAACTATTAAAAATTGGGAATTGCTTGAGAGGGAAGCCAGGAAGCTTGAGAAGGACATTAAATTCCTCATCTTCTAACAAGTACTTCTCTGGAGAAGGAGAATTGGGCTGAGTGGTGAGTTCATAATTATTCGCTATATTATTATACTTTATAATTTATATATGTGATACATTTATTCTCTTTATATGTCAAATATTATCTCTAAAAGATAAAAAAAAAAAAAAGTAATAGAGGCAGCGGATCACCTGAGGTCAGGATTTCAAAGCCAGCTGGGCCAACGTGGTGAAACCGTGTCTCTACTAAAAATACAAAAATTAGCCGGGCCTGGTGGTGGGTGCCTGTAATCCCAGCTACTCAGGGAGCTGAGGCAGGAGAATCCCTGGAACCTGGGAGGCAGAGATTGCAGTGAGCCGAGATCACGCCATTCCATTCCACTCCAGCCTGAGCAACAAGAGCGAAACCCGTCTCAAAAAATAAATAAATAAATAAATCTGTGTTGAAGGTCCCACTCCCTCCACTGTCCACAAAGATGACCCAACAAACCCGGTGCTACCAACTGCCCCTATTTGTCTGGGATCCTGGGTCTCTGGGGGTGTAAGACTTTCAGTGCTAAAACCATGAAAATCCCAGGTAAACTGGGAGAAGTTTGTTCCCTTACCAGAGTCAGTGAGGACTGATTGGATGGCTTGTCCACCCCACGTGCTCATGTACTCATGTATTTGTGGAAGGGCTGTGTCTTGGTCTTGCCAGGTGTTGTAGGTGGGAAAGGTGGAACTGGCCAGGCTGGATCCAGACTGTAGCCGGTGGCAAGAGCTTCCTGCCAGGGTGGAGACCTGCAGAGCAATAAAACCTGGGCAAAGGACAAGGGTTCCAATGAGGCCTAGAAAATTCCAGAGTCCAGATACAGGACGAGGCATCTATAATTCTCCAGAGTAACTGTCCAACTTTTCAGGCCACATTAACTCACTCACTCACTCGTTCATTCATTCATTCATTCATTCAATAAACACTCACTGGCACCTAGCATGCACAAATGCTTGGCTGGTGACAGGGGCCCCTCCCTATCCTGAAGAAGCTTTTGATCTGATGGAATAAACAGACAAGGGAGCCAGGGATTTACAACCCAAGGATTTACAACCCAGAGCAATAAGCAAGGATAATCCTTTTGTTGTTGTTGATGTTGTTGTTGTTGGTAGTCTTGCTTATCACCCAGGTTGGAGTGCAGTAGTGCCATCTCGGCTCACTGCAACTTCTGCCTCCCAGGTTCAAGCAATTCTCCTGCCTCAGTCTCCTGAGTAGCTGGAGTTACAGGCACCCGCCACACACCCAGCTAACTTTTGTATTTTTAGTAGAGATAGGGTTTCACCATGTTGGCCAGGCTGGTCTCGAACTCCTGACGTCAAGTGATCTGCCCGCCTCAGCCTCCCAAAGTGCTAGAATTACAGGCGTGAGCCACCACGCCTGGCCAACAAGGATGATCTTAACAATTATGTATTATTATTTTGTTTTGAGACGGAGTTTCAGAAATATGATGGGGAGCAAAGTGACATTTAAGCTGAGTTAACCAGTGTTTCTGGCAGAAGTCACCACCTGGGCAAAGGCCCAGAAGGGAGAAGAGCTTAGTCTAGCCAAGAAGGGAGAGGCAGGAGGTTAGACCCAAGAGCAGGGAAGGGGCTGGGCATAGTGGCTCACACCTGTAATCCCTAACTGCTGAGTACCCGCAGTTAAAAGACTGAACTGTGGCCGGGTGCGGTGGCTCATGCCTTTAATCCCAGCACTTTGGGAGGCCAAGGCGGGTTGATCATCTGAGGTTAGGAGTTCGAGACCAGCCTGGCCAATATGGTGAAACCCCGTCTCTACTAAAAATACAAAAATTAGCCAGACCTGGTGGCAGACACCTGTAATCTCAGCAACTCGGGAGGCTGAGGCAGGAGAATTGCTGGAAACTGGGAGGCAGAGGTTGCAGTGAGCCGAGATCGTGCTACTGCACTCCAGCCCAGGCCGACAACAGCGAGACTCCATCTCAAAAAAAAAAAAAAAAAAAAGACTAAACTGCATAAAGGGTAAGGTCCAGGAACACTGAGATGCTGAGAGGATGTCACACAGCTTGTCTCCAGGAATGTCACATGATTTAGTATGATGATTAGGAGCATGGGCCCTGAAATGAGAGGGCTGGATCAAATACTGGGGATACTGGGCTATGTTGACCTTGACAATTTATGAAACCTCTGCGCACCTAGGTTCTTGTCAATTAGTAAAATAGAGGTAGTGCTAGTTCCTACCATCTAGGAGTGGTATAAGGATGAAATGAACTAATACCTGCAAAGTGCTTAATACATCTAAATGCTCAATAAAGGCCTGACATGGTGGCTCATGCCTGTAATCCCAGCACTTTGGGAGGCCGAGGAGGGTGGATCACTTGAGGTCAAGAGTTCGAGACCAGCCTGGCTAACATGGTAAAACCCATCTCTACTAATAATACAAAAATTAGTCGGCGTGGTGGCAGGCTCCTGTAATCCCAGCTACTCGGGCTTGGGAGGCTGAGGCAGGAGAATCGCTTGAGCCTGGGAGGCAGATGTTGCAGTGAACTGAGATCGTGCCACTGCATTCCGGCCTGGGCAACAGAGCGAGACTCCATCTCAAAAAAAAAAAAAAAGACTTAATAAAGAACATTTAAAACACTATTGTCTTGCCCTACCCTTCTGATGTGAAAAAACACATGTATGGGTAGCCTGGCAGTGACTCAGTGCTCAATAGATGTCTGTGCCTTGTTAGAGATGTTTAGAGCTCTCTCTTCCCTTTCTGGGCTAAGAAACTATGTTTCTGGGAGGCAAAGGTACTTGCCCAAGGTCACCAGCAAGTCCCAGACACAGCTGTCAGGCTGGGCTTGACAAACTTTAGATTTTAAGAGGTTCTGCAAAGATCTGATTCAGGGTATGCATGGGGAATTCCCTTGCTACCCAGAATTTCACAGATCTCACGCTCTCTTTCTTTCTCTTTTTTTTTTTTAGCCTCCCCTCATGTTAAAAAAAATTAGTTTGCATATGGTAAAATTCACACTTTTTGGGATTCAGTTCTGTGAGGTTTTTTGTTTTGGTTTGGTTTGGAGTTTTTTCTTGAGACAGGGTTTCACTCTGGCACCCAAGCTGGTATGCAGTGGTGTGATCATGGCTTACTGCAGCCTCGACCTCCTGGGCTCAAGAGATCCTCCCACCTCAGCCTCCCAAGTAGCTGGGACCACAGGTGGGCATGCCACCATGCCTGGCTAATTTTGTTCATTTTTTGTAGAGAAGAGGTTTCACTATGTTGCCCAGGCTGGTCTTGAACTCCTAGGCTCAAGGGATCCTCCCTCCTCAGCCTCCCAAAGTGTTGGGATTACATGCATGAGCCACTGCATCTGGCCAAGTTCTGTGAGTTTTGACAGACACAAGCAGTTGTATATCCACCACTATAATCAAGATGTAGTACAGTTCCATCTCTGGGTGTGGTGGCTCACGCCTGCAATCCCAGCACTTTGGGAGGCCAAGATGGGCGGATCACGAGGTCAGGAGTTTGAGATCAGCCTGGCCAATATGGTGAAACCCCGTCTCTAATAAAAATACAAAAATTAGCTGGTGTGTGCCTGAGGTCCCAGCTACTTGGGAGGCTGAGGCAGGAGAATTTTGCTTGAACCCGGGAGGCAGAGGTTGCAGTGAGCCAAGATGGCGCCACTGCACTCCAGCCTGGGTGACAGAGCGAGACTCCCTCTCAAAAAAAAAAAAAAAAAAAAAAAGAACAGTTCCATCATGCCAAAAAATCCCCCTGTGCCCTTGTAGATGACCACACCCCTCATTCCTGGTCCCCGACAACCACTGGGCCCTTTTCTGTCCCCAGAGTTTTGCTTTTTCTAGATTGTCATATAAATGGAATCATACAGTATGTGGCCTGTTGTATATGTTTCTTTCACTTAGCAAAATGCTTTTGAGCATATTGTTGTGTATGTCTGTAGTTCATAGTTCGTTTTTTATCTTTTTTTTTTTTCTTTTTTTTTGAGACGGAGTCTCACTCTTTTTTGCCCAGGCTGGAGTGCAATGGCACAATCTCCACTCACTGCAACCTCCACCTCCTGGGTTCAAGCAATTCTCCCTGTCTCAGCCTCCCAAGTAGCTGGGATTACAGGCGTGCACCACCACGCCCAGCTAATTTTGTATTTTTAGTAGAGACGGGGTTTCACCATGTTGGCTAGGCTGGTCTTGAACTGCTGACCTCAGGTGATCCACCTGCCTTGGCCTCCCAAAGTGCTGGGATTACAGGCGTGAGGGAGCCACCGCGCCCGGCCCCGTTTTTTTTCTTAATAGTCTTCCATTATTGTATAGCTACACCACAATTAATTGTTGTATCCATTTACCAGTTAATGAGCACTTGGGCTATTTCCTCTTTGGGGCTATTATAAATAAAGCTTCTAGGAACATGTATGCGTCTTTGTGTGGACATATGTTTTCATTCTTCTTGGGTAAATACCTAGGAGCAGAGTTACTAAATCATATGGTTAGCATATGTTTATGCTTTCTAAGAGATTGCCAAACTGTTTTCCTTTTTTATTTTTATTTTTTTGAGACAGAGTCTCATTCTGTTGCCCAGGATGGAGTGCAGTGGAGCAATCTCGGCTCACTGCAACCTCCACCTCCCGGGTTCAAGCGATTTTGTTGTCTCAGCCTCCCGAGTAGCTGGGGTTACAGGCATGCGCCACCACACCTGGCTAATTTTTTTGTATTTTTAGTAGAGATGGGTTTTTGACATCTTGGCCAGGCTGGTTTTGAACTCCTGACCTCAGATGATCCACCCGCCTCGGCCTCCCAAAGTGCTGGGATTATAGGCATGAGCCACCACACCCAGCCAGCCAAACTGTTTTTCAAAGTGGCTGTCTTAGTCTGTTTTACGTTGCTATAACAGAATTCCTGACACTGGGTAATTTAACACACAAAAAAAGTTTAGCCAGTTCGGTGGCTCACACCTGTAATCCCAGCACTTTGGGAGGCTGAGGTGGGAGGATCACTTGAGCTCAGAAGTTTGAGATCAGCCTGGGCAACATGGCAAAATCTATCTCTAGAAAAAATACAAAAACTAGCCAGAGTGGCACGTGCCTGTAGTCCTAGCTACCCAGGAGGCTGAGGTAGGAGGATCACTTGAACCTGGGGGCAGAGATTGCAGTGAGCCATGATTGTGCCACTGCACTCCAGTCTGGGCAACTCCAGCCTGGGCAACTCCAGCCTGGGCAACAGAATGAGACTCTGTCTCAAAAAGAAAAAAAGAAAAGAAAAGGAAAAAGAAAAAGTTTATTTAGCTCATGATTCTGGAGTCTGGGAAGTCCAAGACTGGGCAGCTCATATAGTGAAGGCCTGGTGCTGCTTTAACTCATGGGGAAAAGTGGAGGTGGAAGCAGGCACAATAACCCAGTCTCTGAGAAAGATATAAATCTATCTTAATGACCTAATCACATCTTTCTTTTTTTTTTTTTTCTTTAGAGGATGTCTCGCTCTTATCCCCCAGGCTGGAGTGCAATGGCGCCATCTCAACTCACTGCAACGTCTAACTCCCAGGTTCAAGCGATTCTCCTGCCTCAGCCTCCCGAGTAGCTGGGATTACAGGTGCCTGCCACCACGCCCGGCTAATTTTTGTACTTTTAGTAGAGACGGGGTTTCACCATGTTGGCCAGGCTGGTCTCGAACTCCTGACCTCAAGTGATCTGCCCGCCTCGGCCTCCCAAAGCGCTGGAATTACAAGCGTGAGCCACCGCGCTCGGCCTGACCTAATCACAACTTTAAGGCACTGCTTCCTAACACTGTTACACTGACAACTAAATTTCAACATGAGTTTGGTTGGGGACAAACACATCTAGGCCACAGCTGTGGCCATACCATTTTATAATGCCGTCAGCAATGCATGAGACTTCTAGTTGCTCCACATCCTTGTTAGCCTTTGGTATGTTGCCAGTCTTTTCAATTTTAGCCATTCTAATAGGTAGGTAGTGGTATCTTATTGTCGTTTTAATTTATCTAATCATGAATATTGAGCACTGTATATTTTCCTTTGAAAAATTATACAAGTAATAAAGATCTGCAATAGAAAAAAATTTTAAATGCAGATAAGCAAAAATAAGAAAAATACAAATCATCTGTCACTCTAGAGATAATCACAATTGACATTTTGAGCTATATCCAACCTTTGTCTCTTCAGACAAAAACATATAATTGTATTTTATTGGCCAGGCCTGTTGGCTTATGCCTATAATCCCAGCACTTTGGGAGGCCAAAGTGGGAGGATCACTTGAGCTCAGGAATTTGAGAGTAGCCTGGACAACATAGTGAGACCCTGTCTCTACTTAAAAAAAAAAAAAAAAGAAAAAAATCTGGGCATGGTGGCTTGTGCCTGTAGTCCCAGTTACTTGGGAGGCTGAGGCAGGAGGATCACTTGAGCCCGGGAGGTTGAGGCTGCAGTGAGCTATGGTCACGCCAAGGCACTCCAGCCTGACAGACAGAGTGAGATCCTGTCTCCAACAAAACAAAGAAACCAAAACAGTAAGTCTTACTGTACCATCCCGTGCTACCCTCCTTCCCTCCCCAGAGGCAACTACTGTTATCAGTTTTTTTCTTTTCTTTTTTTTTTTTTTTTTTTGAGCCGGAGTCTCATTCTGTCACCCAGGCTGGAGTGCAGTGGCATGGTCATAGCTCATTGTAACCTCAAACTCCTGGGCTCAAGTAAATTTCCCACCTCAGCCTCTGGAGTATCTGGGACTACAGGCAAGAACCACCACACATGGCTGATTTTTAATCTTTTGTAGAGATGAGGGTCTCGATATGTTGCCCAGCCTGGTCTCGAGCTCCTGGGCTCAAGCAATCTTCCCACTTTGGCTTCCCAAAGTACTGGGATTACAGGAGTGAGCCACTGTGCCTGGCTGCCTCAATAGCACTTTAATGTCAGTATGATTTTCCACGATTTGAATGCCTACAATTTATTGAATCAATTCCCTTTTTGAAGAACCTGGGTTTTTTCCAGTGCTTAGTCTTTTTTTTTTTTTTCTCTCACTGCAACCTCCGCCTCCCGGGTTCAAGTGATTCTCCTGCCTCAGCCTCCCAAGTAGCTGGGATTACAGACATGCACCACCACACCCAGCCAATTTTGTATTTTTAGTAGAGATGGGGTTTCACCATGTTGGTCAAGCAGGTCTCGAATTCCTGATTTCAGGTGATCCACCCGCCTCAGCCTCCCAAAGTGTTGGGATTACAGGCATGAGCCACAGTGCCTGGCCAATGCTTAGTCTTACAAGCAATGTTGCGAGGAAATCCTTAATCTGTACACCTGTGAGAAATTGTATGGGCAGGTCTTTAAGATGAACTTCTCCAAGTGGAGTTACTGGGTCAAAGGTCATGTGCTTGTTTCAGGTTTTTGAACCATATGTTGTGCCCACCAGCAAGGAGAGGGGTGGTCCAGGGATCTGGCAGCAGGCCTGGTACTGTGAGGTCTTTTGTTTCTTACGCTACTCCAGAGGCTATTCATCAGCAAAGCAATGTTAACCATTCCCAGGACCTCCCTGTGGGGTGGCAGGAAGTGGGGCGGCTTCTCAGGGCAAAGAACAACATGTCTTTATTAAAATGCTGTGCACCAAGAACGCTTTATGAGTACAGACCTTGGCCTTGCTATTGGGCAACTCCCTGCAGGCTGGAGTGGGGCTATGTCTCTGGGAGAAGATGAGCAGGACTCCAGGGTGTGCCCGGGCTACTTGAACATCGCCCCAGTTCCTCTCACTCAGTTATGCAATTAATACTACTGTGGAGTGGGCAAGAGCTGGATTCAAATCCTTTCTTTTTTTTTTGAGAGTCGTGCTCTGTCGCCCAGGCTGGAGTGCAGTGACACCATCTTGGCTCACTGCAACCTCCGTCTCCCAGGTTCAAGTAATTCTCCTGCCTCAGCCTCCCGAGTAGCTGGGACTACAGGGCTGCACCACTATGCCTGGCTAATTTTTTGTATTTTTAGTAGAGATGGGGTTTTGCTATGTTGGCACGGCTGGTCTCGAACTCCTGGCTTCGAGTGATCTGCTCACCTCAGCCTTCCAAAGAGTTGGGATTACAGGCGTGAGTCATGGCGCCCGGCCTCAAATTCCCTTTCTGCTACTTCCTGGGTGTGTGGCATTGGGCAAGTTTAGAACTTCTCTGACTTTGGTTTGCCCCTCCGTAAAATGGAGCTAATAGTACCTCTCTTATGAGGTTGTCCTGATACTTTTTATTTTTTGAGACAGGGTCTTGTTCTATCGCCCAGGCTAGAGTGCAGTGGCCCAATCATAGCTCACTGCCAGCCTCAAACTCCTGGGATCAAGTGATCCTGCCTCAGCCTCCCAAGTGGCTGGGACTACAGACACGGGCCACCATGCCTGGCTAATTTTTAAATTTTTGTAATGATGAAGTCTTGCTATGTTGACCCAGGCTAGTCCTGGCTTCAAGCAATCCTCCTGCCTCCGCTTCCCAAAGCGCTGGGATTACAGACAAACCACTGAACCCGGCCTTGTCTTGATACTTAAATGAGGTAGTACACATAAAGTGCTCGGAATACATTTGGTAGCTGAAAGTGCTCTACAGCTATTACCTATCACCAGGGACCTTCGGTGGGCGAGATCACAGTCCCTCAGACTGGTTGGGGAAATGGACAGGTAAAGAGACAATTACAATTCTGTGTGCTGGGTGTATTCATACAGATGCTAAGAAAACTCTAGGGGAGGAATACTAAATCCAGAAGGCTTCCTGGGGAAAAAAATGACATTTTGGCAGGAACTAAGCTGCTTGTAGGCTAAGGCAGAGGCAAAGTCGTTGAGAGACTAGAGACCAGCCATTAACTCCCTTTGCTGGGAATGTGGTGATGGAATTCACAGAAGGTTTTCAGTCCTGGATTTCAATTCCGATTTCTCAGCACCTGCCTGGGTCTCAGGTCCTGTGCTTGGTGCTGGGGTGAGGGTAGAGGCTGAACATAATTAGGCAAAGGTGCTCAGTGAGCTCAAGATCTAACTGGGGGGCTGGGTGCGGTGGCTCACGCCTATAATCCCACCACTTTGGGAGGCCAGGGTGGGCAGATCACCTGACGTCAGGAGTTCGAGACCAGCCTGGCCAACATAATGAAACCCCGTCTCTACTAAAAATATAAAAATTAGCTGGGCATGGTAGCGTGTACCTGTAATCCCAGCTACTTGGGAGGCTGAGGCAGGAGGATTGCTTGAACCCAGGGGGCGGAGGTTGCAGTGAGCTGAGATCGAGCCACCGCACTCCAGCCTGGGTGACAGAGCGAAACTCTGTCTCCAAAATAATAATAATAATAATAATAATAATAAATAGAATAAAAATTGATCAGATTTGGGCAGGGATGGGGTGAGAAGAAAAGGCACACCAGGTAGGGGAAACAGCACAAGCAAAGGTAAAGCAGCAGGAAGGCCTATATTCCAGGAAGGGTGCATTGCCCAGTGTGGCTGTGTGGTCTGTACCTGGGGAGCGGGACAGTGGGCAGGAGCCAGGGCTATAAGGTCAACCTAGGCTGGGATTTGAAGGGCGTCCAATGACATGCTGCTTGGCCCTTGTCCAGTAGGTCATGGGAACAGAACGGAAGTGTTTAAGCAGAGAAGGGATGTGATGGGATCTGCGTTCCGGAAAGGTCACTCTGGCATAGCTGGAGGAGGAGTCCTTGGGAAGCAGGGAGCACAGCTGGGAGGCTCCTGCAATCATCTCAACAAGAAATCTGGGGGTTTGGCCTAGGTCAGGGGAGGTGGGCACCGAGAGGAGGGGTGGAGGGTTTGTAAGCAGACTCTGAAACACTTGAAATCAACACCTTGACACTATTCCCTGGCAGCTCCAGGGTCGGGATGTCTAAAATCCCTGGAAAAATAAACTTGCTCCCGCCTCAGCCAGCAGGAAGAAGAGCAACCCGATATGCTTGTTGATTAGGATTAGGGAACTTTTTCCCCCTTTATTGAGGGTCAACTGAATTATTAGTGGGGCAAAAGAGACAGGGGGAGACATATAAAAGTGAAGCGACTTAATTTTATTGTTTTTCCTTGACGGAAACAATGTATGAGATAGATCAACATTTAAAATGTTTTTCAAGGGTCATAAAGAGTAGTCAACCAAAAACAATCTTGACTTCATTTCCATAGAGACACAGAGAGTGGGGAGAGGAGGGACAGAAGGGCGGGGAGATCACAGGAGGAGGGGAGACAGATCAGAAAGGGAGGATGCTGCACTGGCTGCGAGGGGGCTGCTTAAGAACCTTGGAATTGACCAGGCACGGTAGCTCATGCCTTTAATCCCAGCACTTTGGGAGGCTGAGGCGGGTGGATCACCTGAGGTCAGGAGTTCGAGACCAGCCTGGCCAACATGGTGAAACCCCAACTCTACTAAAAATACAAAAATTAGCTGGGCATGGTGGCACAGGCCTGTAATCCCAGCTACTTGGGAGGCTGAGGCAGGAGAATTGCTTGAACCCGGGAGGCGGAGGTTGCAGTGAGCCAAGATCGAGCCACTGCACTCCAGCCTGGGTGACAGAGGGAGTCGCCATCTCAAAAAAAAAAAGGAACCTGGGAATTGAGAGGTCCTGAGTTCAAATTTCAGCCAAGTTCTCCCACCGTTCTCCCATATCTGTCAAATGGGGATTATAACATCTTCACCATCTGCACAATGTTATGGTATTGGATTTTCATCTTAGAAAGATCAGATCACTCTGGCCACCTGATTGGAGCCAGATAAGAGAAAATGTACCCATAGACTACCCGCTCTTAGAATGCTTTTAAGACAAGGTTATTATAATTATTATGACCATTATTATTATTGTTGCTATTATCGTAGCTTTATTATTATTTTCTTTTGAAATTCTGCTTGGCCACTGTTTACTCCCAGCTCCAGCTGCTCTTGTTGAAACCTCTCTGGGCCGGGTGTGATGGCTCACGCCTGTAATCCCAGGATTTAGGAGGTCAAGGTGGGAGGATTGCTTGAGCCCAGGAGTTGGAAACCAGCCTGGATAACATGGAGAAACCCCATCTCTATAAAAAGTACAAAAATTAGCCAGGCATAGTCACATGCACCTGTAGTGCCAGCTACTCGGGAGGCCGAATGGGAGGATTGCTCGAGCCTGGGGGGTTGAGGCTGCAGTGAGCTGGGATTGTGCCACTGCACGTCAGCCTGGGTGACATCGCGAGAGTCTGTCTCAAAAAAAAAAAAAAAAAAGAAAACAAAAAAACCCAAGAAACAAACAAAACACAAGGAACATCTCTGGACTCCTAGCTTCCTAGGATCATGCAGGGTGGAGGGTGCACTCTCAAAACTTCCATCTTAGGGCTGTCCTGGGAGCACTGGCTGCTCCTCCATCCCTGGGCTGCACCCAGAGTAGACAGGGCTGCCTTGTTCCTCTTATCCTCCCACTCCACTGTCCGATACTGAAAGGTGACACAAGCAGGGTTCCTCTGCTCCTCTCTGTGAGTCAGTGCCCATGCCCTCGCCCTCGTGCCCCCTACTCAGGCCTCACCCCTCAGCTTTTACTTCTCTTCCTGGGAAACCACCCCAGTGGGGAGGCAAAGAAGATGAAATAAAGGATGTAAGTTCCCACGGGACCACCACTTCCCCTTTCCCTTCCTCTCCAGCTGCTGGCCACTTCCCCGTCCCCTCTCCAGTGGGAAGCAGAACAGAGGCTGTGGGAAACCGGCACCATACCGTCCCTGGCATGGGCGCAGCCAGCCCTGCGTGCAGCCAGCCCTGTGTGCAGTTCCTCACCTGTGTAACCTTGGGTAGCCCTGCTGCACCTGAACTTCCTCACTCACAGGTCCCCCAGCCGCCTCCAAGTGTTCAAAATGCCCAGAACTCTGCACTGCCCTCCTCACACCTGCTCTTTCTCTTTCTTTCTTCTTTCCTTTTCTTTCTTTTTCTTTCTTTTTTTCTCTTTCTCCCTCTCTCTCTCTCTGCTGGAGTTTCACTTTTGTTGCCCAGGCTGGAGTGCAATGCCGCAACCCAGCTCACGGCAACCTCCGCCTTCTGGGTTCAAGCGATTCTCCTGCCTCAGCCTCCCGAGTAGCTGGGATTACAGGCATGCGTCACCATGCCCGGCTAGTTTTGTATTTTTAGTAGGGACAGGGTTTCTCCATGTTGGTCAGGCTGGTCTCAAACTCCCGACCTCAGTGGATCCGTCCACCTTGGCCTCCCAAAGTGCTGGGATTACAGGCATGAGCCACCTCGCCTTCTCTCCTCCCCTCCCCTCCCCTCCCCTCCCCTTTCCTCCCGTCCCCTCCCCCCTCCCCCCTCCTTCCCCTCCCCTCCCCTCTCCTCCCCTCCCCTCCCTTCTCTCCTTCCCTCTCTCCTTTCTTCCTTTCTTCTTTTCTTCTTTCTCTCTCTCTCTCCCTTTTTCTCTTTCTCTCCTTTTTTCTTCTGAGACAGAATCTCGCTCTGTCGCCCAGGCTGGAGTGCAGTCACTCAATCTCGGCTCACTGCAACCTCTGCCTCCTGGGTTCAAACGATTACTCCTGCCCCGGCCTCCTGAGTAGCTGGAATTACAGGCGCCCGCCACCACACTCGGCTAATTTTTGTATTTTTAGTAGAGACGGGGTTTTGCCATGTTGGCCAGGCTGGTCTCAAGCGATCCGCCTGCCTCGGCCTTCCAAAGTGCTGGGATTACAGGCGTGAGCCACCGCGCCCAGCCATAGTTTTTCAATCTAAGCTCTATTGACTTTTCAGAGGGAGGATCATGTGCTGTGGGGGCTGTCCTGTGCATTGTAGGGGGTTTAGCAACATCTCTGGCCTCTACTCATTAGATGCCAGTAGCACCCCCACTCCAGTGGTAACAACCACAAATGACTCCAGACATTGCCAAATATCCCCTGAGATGGCATAACTACCCCTGGTTGAGAACCACTCGGTTAGGGTGACCAGCTGGGATGGCGAGGCATCCTCAGACTAGCAAATGGGAAGCCAGGGCAGCCCTTAGTCCTAACAGGGCAAGTGCAGAAACTGCCTTTCAGACCCCAGGGAGTGTTGGAGCCATGGAAGAGGGTCCACATGACAGGAGCTGTGGCCATAGAGGGTGCAGAGCGCAGCCAGTGCCAAACCCAGCCCGGCAGGGAGGGAGCAGGCGGAGGGATACTGCCACTTCCCCTCCTTCCCGCCCCATCTCCTGTGGGTTCCTTCCCCCAATGTAACCAACCTAATCCAGAACACAGGGCAGCTAGGGCTGCCTCCTGGTTGCAGAGCAGCGGGAAGAAGGGAAGAGAGTGGATCTGGGGGAAACGGGGAATTAACCAGCGCAGAGGCCATTGTGGCCATCCCAGTTGGGGTGCTGGTGGCTGGGACAAAGGTGGTGGTGGAGAATGGACAGAAGTGGTTGAATTCCAGGATATCTGGGAGGACTCCATGGATGATCAGCATGGGCAGTCAATAAAAGGAAGGAGTTGAGGACAAGGTGTTTAGGTTTCTGGTTTGGGCAGCTGGGCTGATGATGGTGCCGTCTTTAGAAATGAAGGAGACAGAAAAAGGAGGCCAGGCGCGGTGGCTCACGCCTGTAATCCCAGCACTTTGGAAGGCCGAGGTGAGTGGGTCGCTTGAAACCAGCCTAGCCAATATGGCGAAACCTTGTCTCCACTAAAAATACAAAAATTAGCCGGGCGTGGTGGAGGGCGCCTACAATCCCAGCACCTTGGGAGGCTTAGGTAGTAGAATCGCTTGAACCTGGGAGGCAGAGGTTGCAGTAAGCCGAGATTGTGCCACTGTACTCCAGCCTGGGTGACGGAGGGAGACCCTGCAACCCTGCTCACCCCACTGTAGACTGCACCTCCATGAACCCTTCTCCGGTCACCTTTTGAGCTTGCCTCTCTTGCTTGCCAGCACTCTAATTGACAAGAGTGCTTCTGCGCCGGGTGCAGGGGCTCGTGCCTGTAATCCCAACACTTTGGGAGGCCCAGGAGGGAGGATGGCTTGAAGCCAGATCGAGACCAGCCTGGGCAACACAGTGAGACCCCTTCCTTACCAAAAACAAAAAATCAGCTGGGGGTGGTGGTACACACCTGTAGTCCCAGCTATTCAGCAGGCTGAGGTGGGAGGATTGCTTGAATCCAGGAGGTCAAGGCTGCAGTGAACTGTGATTATACCACTGCACTCAGCCTAGTAGATGGAGTGAGACCTTGTCCCAGAAAAACAACAAATAGGCTGGGTGCAGTGGCTCACACCTGTACTCCCAGCACTTTGGGAGGCTGAGGTGGGCAGATCACCTGAGTTCAGGAGTTTGAGACCAGTCTGGTCAACATAGTGAAACCCAGTACCTAATTAAAAAATACAAAAATCTGCCAGCATGGTAGCTCACACCTGTAATCCCAGCACTTTGGGAGGCCGAGGTGGGTGGATCACCTGAGGTCAGGAGATTGAGATCAGCCTAACCAACATGGTAAAACCCCGTCTCTACTAAAATACAAAAATTAGCCAGGTGTGGTGGCAGGTGCCTGTAATCCCAGCTACTCAGGAGGCTGAGGCAGGAGAATCGCCTGAACCCGGGAGGTGGAGGTTTCAGTGAGCTGAGATCATGCCGCTGTACTCCAGCCTGGGCGACAGAGCGAGACTCGGTCTCAAAAAAAAGAAAAAAAAAAAGAAAAAGAAAGAAAGAAAAGAAAAGAAAGAAAGACAGAAAAGATAAAGCATTGGGGGGTGCAGGGCTGCAATTCTAAGGAGGATGCAGTCCCCTTCAGGGCTGGCATCTCTGACAGGCTGACATGTGGGTGATGCCTGAAGGACGTGAGGGAGCCGAGAGAAATCTAGGGGAATGGCATGCCAGGCAGAGGGCACAGCAAGTGCAGAGGCTCTGAGGAAACGTGGTTTGATTTGGAGTGAAACTTCAGCGTTTTACCTGGCACATGGTAACTGCTTAATTTGTTCAAGTCCTACTAATTATCTTTTTTTTTTTTTTGAGATGGAATTTTGCTCGTCACCCAGGCTGGACTGCAGTGGTGGGATCTCGACTTGCTGCAACCTCCACCTCCCAGGTTCAAGGATTCTCCTGCTTCAGCCTCCGGAGTAGCTAGGGTTACAGGCGCCCTCTACCATGCCCCACTATCTTTTGTATTTTTAGTAGACATGGGTTTTCACCTTGTTGGCCAGGCTGGTTTTGAACTCCTGGCCTCAAGTGACCGGCCCGCCTCGGCCTCCCAAACTGCTGAGATTACAGTCTTGAGTCACTGCGCCCAGTCTATCATTCTTGTAATTAGTGGGCATCGTCTTCCTGGAGTGCCTGGGTCGTCAGGTTCCTGGAGGACACACAGAGGTCTCAGCGCCCTGCCCTGTCAGCTGTGGGCTGGCCGTGGTTTACCGGATGGACAACAGTGGGGACAGAAGTTGGAACGGAGCCCAGGCATTCCTGACCCGCCCCGCCCCTCTCAGATTCCTCCCCGGCCCGCCACACCCCTGCCGCTTGCTGGGCAGTGGGTACAGGGAATGCAGGGGTGGCTTCCCACCCCACCTCTAACTTGGAGAGGGCCTAATACCAAGCGAGGACAAGGCTGGCAGTGACCACCTGGCGATCCCCAACTGCACTGCAGGCTCAGCGCTAAACACTGAGTGCTTTTCCACCATCGCCTCCTAGGGGTCTCCTTTCAGCCCACTGAGAGGCCAGGGTGGTGAGTCACTCCCACATCTGCAGCCTTTAGGGGCTGCTGTCTTAGCCACCGCCCTACCAGACTACAGGGCGCTCTCAGACAGGCTCCCCGGTTCCCCGAGAGAGGAATCTCCTAGCTCCCGCCTGCCAGCTCTGCAGCTGCCCACAGGCCCCGACAGGCCCTGCCGCATCCTCAGGGACTGAGGATACAGCAGAGGAGGAACCAGGTTCTGCCAGCCCCGGGATGGAGCTGAGTCAGGCCTTTTTCAGGGCTCCTGGGACTGGGCCTTGCCCTGAACTCAGCCTCCAGCCCAGGCGTGAAGGAGGACACCCAGGACTGGGCGCCTTGGCCCCCCGCTCCTTACCTGTCCAACCTCATCTCTGCACACACTCTCGACCCATCTCAACCCGTCCCTCTGCTCCAGCCACACTGGCCTCCCTGCTAAACCCTGCTGAAACCTGCTAAACCCTTAGCCCTTGCCATTCCTTTTATGTAGACAGGACACTGCATACTTGCTCCCTGATAGCCTCCAGTCTTTGTCCAAATGCCACCTTCCCAGCAGTGCCTTCCCTGGCTCCTAGAACTGAGCCCTACCCCCAGGCCCTTCCTCCCTAGGCCCCATCCCAGCTCCATTTTCCTCCATGCTTCACTTTTACTAGACCACGTATTTTACTGATTTGTCTTGTTTATGGACTGTTTCTCATTGAAAACTCCCTTAGACTGGGCAGCAAGGGCCTCTACCCTGCCCTTCTGCCCCTCCTCATAGAGCTAAGGAAATGTGACTACTGGCCGGGCACAGTGGCTCACGCCTGTAATCCCAGAACTTTGTGAGGCTGAGGCAGGCGGATCATTTGAGGTCAAGAGTTCGAGACCAGCCTGACCAACATGGCGAAATCCTATCTCTACCAAAAAATACAAAGATTAGCTGGGTGTGGTGTTGTGCACCTGTAGTCCCAGCTACTCAGGAGGCTGAGGCACGAGAATCGCTTGAACCTGGGAGGCGGAGATTGCTGTGAGCCAAGATTACACCACTGCACTCCAGCCTAGGCAACAGAGTGAGACTCTGTCTCAAAAAAAAAAAAAAAAAAAAAAAAAAGGAAATGTGACTACTAGAACCAGCATCTTTGTCCCTCAGGCCTTCCCCAGTTCTGTCCCCAGGCAGCCAGCACAGCCCAGGTGTGTACTCCAAGGCCCATGGGGTGGTCAATGGAATGCTGTGCTGGGGGACAGTGGAGGGAGCTGGGACACATGGGTTGGGGTGCCACACAAGGAGCCTGGTGGTGCTGGATGGTGCTTGGGCTGGGTAGAGCAGGGCACTGGCCGCTGCTCCTGGGCTGGGACTCACCCTCCCCACGGAGGCACACTCTAGCCCAGTATTCTAGGTGTCTGTGAATTCAGATTTAAATCTGGCTCTCCCAATCACTGTGAGGATACACCTGTCCAAGTAGAAAGATAGAGTATCTTTTACTTAGGAGTTTGTGATGTCGATCTTGACACATTTGGTATGTGGGCCCTACACATATATCTACCTGCAGCCCCCATGTTAGTGCTGGGCTCTTTTTTTTTTTTTTTTTTTGAGACGGAGTCTTGCTCTGTTCCCCAGGCTGGAGTGCAGTGGCATGATCTCGGCTCACTGCAAGCTCTGCCTCCCAGGTTCATGCCATTCTCCTGCCTCAGCCTCCCGAGTAGCTGGGACTACAGGCACGTGCCACCACGCCGCGCTAATGTTTTGTATTTTTAGTAGAGATGGGGTTTCACCGTGTTGGCCAGAATGGTCTCGATCTCTTGACCTCGTGATCCACCTGCCTTGGCCTCCCAAAGTGCTGGGATTACAGGCGTGAGCCACCGCGCCCGGCTCACTGGGCTTTTTTACTGTTTTCTGCATTGCTATAACCCTAGCACCAAGAACAGTGTCTTGGGGCTGGGCACGGCGGCTCACGCCTGTAATCCCAGCAGTTTGGGAGGCCGAGGCAGGTGGATCACCTGAGGTCAGGAATTCAAGACCAACCTGGCCAACATAGTGAAACTCCGTCTCTACTAAAAATACAAAAGTTAGCCAGGCATGGTGGCATGCGCCTGTAATCCCAGCTACTCGGGAGGCTGAGGCAGGAGGATCACTTGAACTCGGGAGGTGGAGGTTTGCAGTGAGCCAAGATCGCGTCACTGCACTCCAGCCTGGGGGATAGAGCGAGACTGTATCTCCAAAAAAAAACCAGTGTCTTGCACAGAACAGGTGCTCAATGAAGTTGTTAAACGAATGAATAAAAAAGCCTTAGATGATGCCACATACTCAAGGGGACCCCAGAAGTGGCTGGGAATGCTGTGGCTTTTGTGCTTCAGGGCTACAGAGTCTCAGAGTCAGTGAGGCCAACTCCACCTTGCAGGAAGCCATAAGCATTACCTGAAGGGCACCTTCTACGGCCTGCCTGCCCCACGGCCCCATCTGCAACTGGAGTTTATATCCTTAATTGTAAAAAGAGCCCACCTGGCAATCAAGGAGATCTAGACCCCAAAACTGTCTCTGCTGCTTCCTGATCGTATGTGGCCATTAACCTCTCTCTCATTTTTTCGTTTTTTTTGAGGCAGGGTCTTGTTCTGTCACCCAGGCTGGAGTGCAGTGGTGTAATCACGGCTCACTGCAGCCTTGACCTCCTAGGCTCAAGGGATCCTCCTCCTCAGCCTCCCGAGTAGCTGGGACCACAGGTGTGTGTCACCACACTCAGATGAATCAAAAAAAATTGTTTTTTAATAGAGATGGGGTCTCACTATGTTGCCCAGGCTGGTCTGGAACTCCTGGGCTCAAATGATTTTTCCCACCTTGGCCTTCCAAAGTGCTGGGATTACAGGTGTGAGCCATCACGCCTGGCTGCAATTTCCTTTAAATAAAAGGGAACCATCGAAACTCTCCCCAGGGTTGTGAGGCGGGAGAACATGTAACTGACTCCATATTGACTGTCTTCATCAGTGTCCAAGGCCGTTCCGGCCACCCAGCTGACTCCCTGTGTGGCATGTGGCAGCCAGTGCCACTGTTCCCTTCCTCTCTCCCTCCCTCCCTGCAGACCTGGCGCTTGGGCTGGGAGTTCTATGCGCTGTGGTGGTGGTTTGAGTGAATGGTGCCCTCTGCTGGGCGTGGGGAAAGAGCCTTCAGGGAAATCATACCTGACACAGGCACTCCCTGCAGGTTGGGGAATCTCAGGGAATTCCTCCTGCTGGGAAGTGCAGTTTCCACCAAGGGAGCGCTAGCAGGCCTTGTGAGTCCCTACACTACCACAACAGTAGTGACAACACACAGTATCCTGTGCGCCAGGCACCCTTCCAAGCCCTTACAGATATTAACCCTTTTTTTTTTTTTTTGAGACGAAGTCTCGCTCTGTGGCCCAGGCGGGAGTGCAGTGGCGCAATCTCGGCTCACTGCAAGCTCTGCCTCCCGGGTTCACGCCATTCTCCTGCCTCAGCCTCCTGAGTAGCTGGGACTACAGGCGCCCGCCACCACGCCCGGCTAATTTTTTTGTATTTTTAGTAGAGACGGGGTTTCACCGTGTTAGCCAGGATGGTCTCGATCTCCTGACCTCGTGATCCGCCCGCCTCGGCCTCCCAAATTGCTGGGATTACAAGCGTGAGCCACCGCGCCCGGCCAATATTAACTCTTTTACTCGCCCATTTTATTATTTATTAATTATGATTATTATTATTTGAGACGGAGTCTCGCTCTGTTGCCTAGGCTGGAGTGCAGTGGCACGATCTCGGCTCACTGCAACCTCTGCCTCCCAGGTTCAAGAGATTCTCCTGCCTCAGCCTCCCAAGTAGCTGGGATTACAGGCACGCACCACCATGCCCAGCTAATTTTTAAATTTTTAGTAGAGATGGGGTTTCGCCATGTTGGGCAGGGTGGTCTCAAACTCCTGACCTCAGGTGTTCCACCCGCCTCGGCCTCCCAAAGTGCTGGGATTACAGGTGTGAGCCACCATGCCCAGCCTACTCCCCCATTTTAGATGAGAAAACGGAGACAGAGAGGTTATGTGGTTTGTCCAGGGCCTCATGCCTAGAAGTGCCGGGATTTGAACTTGTACTCTGCTGGGGGGATTGTTTTAACGGGAGGCCAGAAGGTGGGTTCTGCCTTTAGCCTGGAGGGAGTCGTTCCCTGGAGCTCTCCAGCAAGCTTCGAACTGGACACACAGGGTGTGGGCTGTAAAAGGGGCTTCCCAGGGTGACTGCTCCCACACTTTCAATGGCAGGCCCATCGCCTCAGGGCCCTTTCCTGAGTGGCCACCCCCCAGCAGTCCCCGGGCTGGGTCTTCTCCCTGAGTCCCTTTGTGGGCCCGGAAGTGAGTGAGTGAGGTCCATGCCTAGAAATGGGGGGCCGGGAATTCGGGGCCCCAGCTCCTCACCAACTGTCTAGGAATGAGAGCATGCCACCCTCCTCAGGCCTCTCTAGGGACTGGGAAAGCGCACTGTGGGGACAGGGCCTATCTGTAGCCCCTTTAGTCCCTTTGGGAAGAAAAAAAGATCGTTGGGTCAGTGACGAGGGAAAAGGCATGGTATGAAGTGAGGCCTGGCCGCTGGCCCATCTCTGTCCCCACTGGAGGGGCCATAGGGAGTGCCATCTTTTGAGCCTCTTTTTCCATCTGTAAAATGTCAGGGAGGGATTGGGGCACTTTTCAAAATGCTCTGGATTTGGGGGTTCATAAGAATACAAGCTGGGAGGATGAGGCTAGAGAGAAGGCTCTCTGGGTACCCCTGACCCCTTCTTCCAGTAAGCCTCCACTTTTTTTTTTTGAGATGGAGTCATGCTCTGTTGCCCAGGCTAGAGTGCAATGGCGTGATCTCGGCTCACTGAAACCTCTGCTTCCTGGGCTCAAGCGATTCTCCTCCCTCAGCCTCCCGAGTAGCTGGGATAACAGGCATGCCCCACCACACCCGGCTAATTTTTATATTTTTAGTAGAGACGGGGTTTCACCATGTTGGCCAGGCTGGTCTCAAACTCCTGACCTCAGGTGATCCTCCTGCCTTGGCTTCCCAAAGAGCTGGGATTACAGGTGTGAGCCACACCTGGCCAAAGCTCCACTTTTCTTTTCTGTTGGACTTGGATTCTGGGACTTTGCCTTTTAAAAGTCTGGGAGAAAAGATCACTTAATAGAATGAGTGCCAGGGGTGCTTTCAAGGGCCAGTCATCCAAGAGTGAACCCCACATTCAAGGAAGCCCTGATCTCAACCGGGACCACGATCCCCATCTCCTGCCCCCGACCCCACCGTAGAATGCAGGACTGGCTTTGAAGCATCTGCACAAGTGGATGCTGCAAGTTGTTTGACATTGTTAAGGGCAAAAAATTAGAATGACCAATATCTATGGATTGTGGTGACATTAAATAACACATCCAAACTGGATGTGTTGGGGACAGTAAGTCAATATGCCATGTTATGAAAAGGTATAATGCAAAGCATGTGTGTAGGCTGGGCACAGTGGCTCACGCCTATAATCCCAGCACTTTGGGAGGCCGAGGTGGGCAGATCACTCGTCGAGGTCAGAAGTTCGAGACCAGCCTGGCCAACATGGTGAAACCCCGTGTCTACCAAATATACCTATCTATAGATATATCTATAGATATATATATTTTTTAGATGGAGTTTCACTCTTGTTGCCCAGGCTGGAGTGCAATGGCACAATCTTGGTTCACTGCAACCTCCGCCTCCCGGGTTCAAGTGACTCTCCTGCCTCAGCCTCCCAAGTAGCGGGGACTACAGGCGTAGGCCACCACACCCAGCTAATTTTTGTATTTTTAGTAGAGACGAGATTTCACCATCTTGGCCAGGCTGGTCTCGAACTCCTGACCTCATAATCCGCCCGCCTCAGCCTCCCAAAGTGCTGGGATTGCAGGCGTGAGTCACCGCGCCCGGCCCAAAAATATTTTTTAACTAAAATACAAAAGAATAGCTGGGCATAGTGGCAGGCGCCTGTAATCCCAGCTACTTGGGAGGCTGAGGCAGGAGAATCACTTGAACTTGGGAGGTGGAGGTTGCAGTGAGCTGAGATCGTGCCACTGCACTCTAGCCCCGGGGGGAGAGTGAGACTCTGTCTCAAAAAAAAAAAAAAAAAAATTGTGTGTAATGCACAGGAGAAACAGATCCTGGAAGGAGGCACACCAAAGTGTTGAAACACAAAATTCAAAGGACCGATGGTCCTCATCATGGCCAGCACATCAGTTGTTTCTGGTTAGTGTCCACTCTGCGTGGTTAGCGCTGGTGTCTTACCAATGCAAATGTTTTTACTTATTACAGGCACTAAGGATCAGAGTCCTAAGCTTCTGTTTTGCAGATGAGAAGCAGGCCCAGAGTGAGAGAGTGACTTAATATTGTCCCCATCACAGAGCCCAGGCTCTGATTCTTTCTAAACCTCTCGGGGGCTGGTGACTGGTTCCATTGCCAGGGGACTCTACATCCATCCACCGAGGCCAGTTGAGGCTGGGAAAGGCTGTTTTTCCTCCAAATATCTCAGGGGAGGAAGGCCAGCCTAAACAGGGGCTGCTTGGTTTCATGATTAGCCTCTGCTGAAGATAGAGTTTCTGATTTATCCAGGCTTCTCTGAAGGGAGTTGAAGATAACGGGCAGCAGGTGTTTGCTAGCAGAGACACCCAATCCTCCCACACTCCCTGTCAGCAAAGACAGCCCTGGCAGAGGGGAATCTGAGGCCCCAGCTCAGTGGGAGAGGCAGGAGGCGGCTTTGTCCTGAGGGTGCCATGGACCAAGGACAGGTGAGCTTTCTCATCCGACTTCATACCCTTTTGTTGTTGAGATAGGGTCTCACTCTGTCGCCTGGGCTGGAGTGCAGTGGCGTGATCTCGGCTCACTGCAACCTCCACCTCCCGGATTCATGAGATTCTTGTGCCTCAGTTTCCCAAGTAGCTGGGATTATAGGCGCCACACCCAGCTAATTTTTGTATTTTTAGTACAAAAATGTGTGTGTAGGCCGGGCACGGTGGCTCACGCCTATAACTCTGCACTTTGGGAGGCCGAGGCGGGCGGATCAGGCCAGGCTGGTCTCGAACCCCTGACCTCAAGTGATCCACCCACCTCAGCCTCTTAAAGTGTTGGAATTACAGGCGTGAGCCATGGTGCCCAGCCCCAACTTCATTTCCTTTTGGTTTCTCCATCCAAAGTCTGAGGCTTCAGGCTCCTTGGCCTCATCCTTCAGAGTCTTGGCAGCAAACCTGAGTGTGCAGGAGCATCCCACGGAGGGCTTGTCAACCCACAGCAGGGCCCTGCCTAGAGGTTCCGATTCAGCAGGTGGCACCGATAACTCCGGTTCAGGGTCTGTGCTTTGAGCAGAGACGCTTTACAGAATTAGTCATCCTCATGGAAGGAAATGTTTATTTCAACATCAGCAATTTCCTCAGCTTCACTTCAGATTCTTTTGGCTAATTGCAAAGATGACTTTGAACTTCACGTTAACAAGGGCACAAACAGAATTGTTCTATCACTGCTGCCTATTCCTGATTCCTGCATTTATGCCCTGGTATTGTCAGGAATGTTCCAATTTCACTGACATCTTGGGTAGGTTCTCTTAATTTTGTTTTGCTTGATTTCGATGATGACCAGATGTCATTTAAAAAAACAAATACAATGTGGCCATTCTTTAAAGGAGAAAGTCCCCTCAGAGGGTGATTGTGAGGATTTAGAGGAAATAATCGAAGTCCTGTCTGGCCTTTAAAAGTACTGAATAAATGGTAGCTGTTACCAACTAACAGATTGCATGGACCATGTGCCAGATATTAATTCACTTAATCTCCACAAAAACTCCCCATTTTGTAAATGTAAAATCTGAGGCAACTGGAGGTTAAATGATGTGCCAGCGCTGGGCGCGGTGGCTCAAGCCTGTAATCCTAGCACTTTGGGAGGCCGACGTGGGCGGATCACGAGGTCAGGAGATCGAGACATCCTGGCTAACACAGTGAAACCCCGTCTCTACTAAAAAAACACACACACTCAAAAAAAATTAGCTGGGCATAGTGGCAGGCACCTGTAGTCCCAGCTACTCGGGAGGCTGAGGCAGGAGAATGGCGTGAACCCAGGAGGCAGAGCTTGCAGTGAGCCAAGATCACACCACTGCACTCCAGCCTGGGCGACAGAACGAGACTCCGTCTCAAAAAAAAAAAAAAAAATGTGCTAGCAAGTAGCAGAGCTGGCTGTTCCCCAACCCCTGCCTTTCAACAGGGACCCCTCCAGCATAGAAGAGGAAGTCGTCACACACTGTCCTGCAGGGAGGGCAGCCGCTGTTCCAGAAGAGACCTTGCTGGGGCTGTGGAGGGGCTCAGCCTTGGGGTAAGAGGTTAATGGTTCTCTCTCATGGAGCAACTGACTTTGCAAAGGAGGGCAAGTCTCCCCTCCCTGAGCCCACTTAGGCATGGAAGCTGACCCTGAGTATCCCCTGCCATTGAGAGGAAGCTTGGGTGAAGCCAGCAGGGTAAACAGAGCCCACTCTTTTTGCAGAACTCTGAAAATTCTAAAAACCATTGAATTGTAAACGTTAAACAAGTGAATGGTATGGTATGTGAGTTAGATGCCAATAAACCTTCTATTTAGAAAACAGTTCACTCCCCAGGCACCTCTGGGAAAAGTTTCTTTAATAAAAAAGTTCTAGTACATATACACGATTGTCCTCACCCTTCATCTATAGCAACGCAACAGGGAAAATAAAAAATAAGGGGCAACCTAGGCACACTCAGTATAAAAACGCAGAGATCCATCCGAATGGGAGGCATTGGGGTCTGGAAACCAGAAATGCAGGACGGCCAGTGGGCCCAGCAGCTCTGGGCTGCACTTTTGAAGAACTTTCTCTAACGTTTTGAAGATAGCATTAAAAAAAAAAATTAAGTTGCACCAGGAGGCCTAAGAAGGTTCCATTCCAGAGAGAAAGTCCACTGTAGGTCAGTCACAGCAGGCCCAGGCCCAGGACACAGGGTTGAGCATTTTACGGCAGGTAAGAGGCTTCTGGAAACTTGGCCTCTGAGGCAACCCTGGCCCAGGTGGAGAGGTTTTCAGTGCTGAAGTCAAACTGCCCACATTCCTCCATCCTGAAAGGCTAAGGAAGCCACCACTCTAACGTCAGACTCATAGCCTGTCTCCGCCAAGTTGCTACGGCCACTTCCTGACAAGCTCCGAAGTCCTCAGCTGAAGGGGGAACTGAGACCCCTTGGAGATGCTCTGTGGCCTGACGTTTGGTCCCCAGCCCTGCAGGCAGGCCGCCTAGTCGTCCTCCCCGCCACCGTACATGTCTGCCAGCTTCTTGAAGCGGCTGCCCCACTCGTTCAGATAATCGTAATCTTGGTCTTGGTCGGAGGCGGAGGAGGTGAGGGAGCTCAGGGACGCGGCGTCGGAGCCGCTGCCCTCATAGTCGAACACCAAGAGGGTGTCGTAGGGCGGGGCTGTGGGGTCTGTGTTAGCCGCCTTCAGGTTCTGCGGCAACAGAGAACAGGTAGTTAGGAGCGGCGGGTCCTGCCTCTTGCCAGCTGCAAGCCTCCATTTCCTCTCTGTGAGCCCCTCTCTCCCCTCCCCTAAAGGTTTTGGAGGTAGAAATGAAAGAATGCGTTATTCATGCAGAATTCATTCACTCAGGGACCAGCAGACAGCAAGTGCTCAGTGCAACACAGGCCAGGGGGTAAGGGCAAGGACTGAAATCAGACAGCCCGGGCCAGAACTCACACCACACACTAGCTTTGTGGCCTTGGGCGAGTCCCTTAACCACTCTATGCCTGTTTCCTTGTCTGTAAAATGACAATAGTTTTTTTCTTCCTTTTTTAAAGGATGCATGCCTGTGACACAGCCTCGGGAGGTACTGAGGACATGTGCCTCCGTATAGTTTTAAAGGAACAGATGAATGAGTAAATGAGTAAATACCTGTAAAGCAGTTATTAGAATAGCACCTCGCAACAATAGCTATCATTATCTAATAAGCGCTACATGCTAGGTCAGTAGTTCCGAAACTTAAATTATCTGGAGAATCTTTTATAAATTCTGAAGCCCAGGCCACACCCAGTTCAATTATATCACAATCTTTGGAGGTGAGCTGAGGCATCAGTGGTTTCTGAAGGTGCCCAGGTGATTCCAACACGCAGGCAGGGTCGGGAACCACTGTGCTGGCACTGTCCTAGCTGCCTGCTCGTTCAATCCTTGAAGTCTTCTACAGCAGAGGCTCCAAACTTTGCCCCCCAGGTGCAATCACCTGGGATCTATAATCCAAACCCAGGTAGTCTGGCTCCAGAGTATTCAACTGCTATATGTGTTGAATAAATGAATAAATCATTCCTAATTTTTTTTTTTTTAAAGATGGAATCTCCCTTTGTTGCCCAGGCTGGAGTGCAATGATGTGATCTCGGCTCACTGCAACCTCCACCTCCTGGGTTCAAGCGATTCTCCTGCCTCAGCCTCCTGAGTAGCTGGGACTACAGGCGCCCACCAGGACGCCCAGCTAATTTTTTGTATTTTTAGTAGAGACAGGGTTTTACCATGTTGGCCAGGATAGTCTCAATCTCTTGACCTTGTGATCTGCCCGCCTCAGCCTCCCAAAGTGCTGGTGGGATTACAGGCATGAGCCACTGTGCCCGGCCTTTTTTTTTTTTTTGAGATGGAGTCTCCCTTTGTTGCCCAGGTGTGGGGGGCGCACGACAAGACATTCAAGCCTATGTAAGAGGCATGTGAGGTCGAGGCATGGAAAAATATTGAGGCGCTGTGTGCATGTTGTTTGTACACAAGACTAGATCTCCTGGACCTTGAAAACAGGACAGGGAGTAGTATGTGTGATAAGGAGCGCTGAACACAGCCTCCTAAAAATGTGGTTTGAGTGTTTTTTACAAGGCCATATGTGCCTCATACCCGACCGCCAAGAGCCACCTGGTGGATGTCTCTTGTTTGTCTAAATTGTAGTTTAAACAAGCTCTCTCAATAAATACCTGGCAGACAGATCTTAGAGTGACGCTCTCTCAAAGGAACTGCTCCCCGCCCCGCTCAGCTAGAATTGTCTGAGTACTTCATTCTCGGCATTCACTACAGCCATAAGTTGCACCCAGGTGCGATCTTGGCTCACTGCAACCTCCACCTCCCACCATGTTGGCCAGGCTGATCTCAAACTCCTGACGTCAAGTGATCTGCCCACCTTGGCCTCTGAAAGTTCTGAGATTACAGGCGTGAGGCACTGTGCCCAGCCTCCTAATCATTTTTGTTGTTGTTGTTGAGATGGAGTCTTGCTCTGTCACCCAGGCTGGAGTGCAGTGGCGTGATGTCGGCTCACTGCAACCTCTGCCTCCTTGGTTCAAGCGATTCTTGTGCTCAGCCTCCCGAGTAGCTGGGACTACAGGTGCCCGCCACCATGCCTGGCTAATTTTTGTATTTTTAGTAGAGATGGGGTTTCGCCATGTTGGCCAGGCTGGTCTTGAACTCCTGACCTCATGATTCACCCGTCTCAGCCTCCCAAAGTGCTCAGATTACAGGCGTGAGGCACCGTGCCCAGCCCCTCCTAATCATTTTTAACCACTCTGCAAGTGAGTTCTATGGAGGAAGAAACAAACCCCAGAAGTTACTCAAATAAGCCAGAGGTCAAAAGCTGGTTGGTGGTGGAGTCAGAATTTGAACCCAGACCCAAGACTCCAGGCCCATGCTTGTTCTCCTGTGTGGCTGGTGCTGGGCTTGAATAAAGGGTGGCCCTCGACTGGCCTGCCACGCCTCACCTCAATTATAAAGTTGCCGATTTCATCTGGGTTGGCTGGCCGAGGACGGTACATGGGTGTCGGGATGATGGTTGGTGCCACGTCATTGCGGAGAACCACCTCCGGCCTGGCCTCCAGACCTCGGTGGAGCTGGGTGATGTCATAGTCCTGTGGGGAAATGCAGGAGAGCAGGTGACTGAGGACTCCTGTCCCCCACTCCCCTGCCACTTACATCTCACCCCACACCCCCTACCCTTTGGATACTCTGGCTCATGGGGAGGTCTTACAAGACAGATGATGTCACAGATTTTGGAAAACCCTCGTTTCCATCCTCCCTTGTCCTAGCAAATTAAACATAGGCTTGAGGTTAACTTGGCTAGGGCCAAAGAGACTACAGCAATGGACCAGAGAAGTGCTGGAGGATGTTAGAAAAGGAAGACGCATGCTTCATGCCAGGGCCTGGTCAACACAGCTAACTTGGTCAGTTGGTTGACCCAACAGCCCTGCCAGTGGCCTTAGGGGCATCCACCTCCCAATCCCAGAGCCCCCAGTGCCCCACCTGGTCCTCTTCGCCACCCCCCTCTTCGCCATAGTAGAAGACGTTGTCACGGGTGTCATCTTCTGGGAGTAGGAGGGGCTCCTTGATCTTCCGCTTCTTTCTCACCAACAAAAGCAGCACCAGCAGGAGGACTGCAAGGGTTGGGGAGTGTGAGTGCTCCCTCTGTAACCACACAGTGGGCCAAGACCCCCAGGCCCTCAGAGCCCCTCTAACTGCAGATGTCCTCACTCAGTAGCCAGAGCTTAACATGCTACAATGGCTTTACTTGCACCTAGGAAAACTTCAACTCTTTATCAAGGCTGGCAAGATTTGGTCCCAGCCTATGCCTCCAAGTCCCCCTACCCACTAAGGTCTAGGCACATTGGCCTCCTCTGTGTTCCTTGAATACCCCCAGCAACTTCCCCTTAAGAACCTTCATACAGGCTCCTTCCTCACCTGGCAGACTCTATGCATACACATGGCTCCCACATGTCAGCTCTCAGCTTATAACACCTCCTCCTAGAAGATTCTGACTTCCTTCTCCTCACCCATAATGCTGTCAGTCTAACCAGATTGGTGGTACTGATCCTTAAGAAAACCTTTCGTCGGGATGTCGGGATGGGAACCTCCCAGCAGATGTTGTCTTTCAATGAGACTCTCTTTTAGTCACCAGATGTCCCCTAATTAGCCACAGACTTCAAGAACAAGATAATGCAACTTTCATAGGGTACAGTAATCTAAACTTACGTGGAATGCAGTGTTGGAATTTTTTTTTTTTTTTTTTGAGACAGAGTCTCACTCTTGTCGCCCAGGCTAGAGTGCACTGGTGCAATCTCGGCTCACTGCAACCTCCGCCTCCCAGGTTCAAGCCATTCTCCTGCCTCAGCCTCCCCAGTAGCTGGGATTACAGGTGCCTGCCACCAAGCCTGGCTAATTTTTGTATTTTCAGTAGAGACAGGGTTTCACCATGTTGGCCAGGCTGGTCTTGAACCCCCACCCTCAAGTGATCCAACTGCCTTGGCCTCCCGAAGTGCTGGGATTACAGGTGTGAGCCATTGCGCCTGGCCGGAATTTTTTTTTTTTTTTTTTTTTTTGAGAGGGAGTCTCGCTCTGTTGCCCAGACTGGAGTGCAGTGTCAGGATCTTGGCTCACTGCAACCTCTGCCTCCCAGGTTCAAGTGATTCTCCCACCTCAGCCTCCTGAGTAGCTGAGATTACAGGGGCCCATTTATTTATTTATTTATTTTTGAAACAGAGTCTCGCTCTGTCACCCAGGCTGGAATGCAGTGGCGTGATCTCAAATTTTTGTATTTTTAGTAGAGACGGGGTTTCACCATGTTGGCCAAGCTGGTCTCTAACTCCTGACCTCAGGTGATCTGCCTGCCTCAGCTCCCAAAGTGCTGGGATTACAGGCATAAGCCACTGTGCCCAGCCCCAGTGTTGGAATTTTAAAAGGGCCTGGCTTCAGTGATGTGGTCTGAAAGGCTGGCAGGCTATTTGGACATGGGGGGAACTGGCCAACTGGGGATCCTGGCTGCCTTCTCTCTCATGCCTACACACAGTTAACCCTGTATTAAGAGGGGACCCTCTAGCCATCTCTCTATGGCAGTTCGATTTAAGAGCATACACCACTGCTCAGGATCATTACTTTTTTGCCTGCTGATGGAACTGCTGTCTGTCCTTGGCCAGACAAAACAGACCCAACCTTCCTTGGGAGTCCACGGGTTCTGAAGATGCATGCACATGTGGGCTAGACAGTAACCTCTCCTCTCCCGAGTCTGGGGGAAGGCAAGACGCCAAATGGACTTCTCTGAACCCAGGTCTAGCTGCCTACTGACACCTCCACTTGGACTGGCCTGGCAAGTCTCTTCCCATGGTCCTTCCCAAAACGGCAAATGGAAATGCCATGTTTCTCCTTAAGCCGAAAGCCTTGCGATCATCCATGGGTCTTACCCTAATTCCACACATCAATCTGAAGGGACTCTACCTTGAAACATGACCACCTCTGACCACCTCAATGCTGCCATCCTAGCCTGAGCCTCCCATCACCTTTTTACCCCTGGATTATGGCTACAGCCTCCTAGATGGTCTCCCTGCCTCCACCTTCGCCCCCATATAGTCTGCTCAGCAGGAATCTTGCAAAACTTAAGTCAAATCACATCACCCCTCTGCTCAAAACCTTCTGATAACTTTCAGTTCTACCCAGAGTCTTCACAATAACCTATGAGGCCTGACATGATGGTACCCTGTGCCTGTCACTGCTCTGACCTAATTTCCTACTTTCTTTTTTGTTTTGTTTTTCTAAAGACAGAGTCTCGCCCTGTTGCCCAGGCTGGAGTGCAATGGTGTGATCTCGGCTGACTGCAACCTCCATCTCCTGGGTTCAAGTGATTCTCCTGCCTCAGCCTCCCAAGTAACTGGGATTACAGGCATGTGCCATCATGCCTGGCTAATTTTGTATTTTCAGTAGAGACAGGATTTCACCACATTGGCCAGGGTGGTCTCAAACTCCTGACCTCAAGTGATCCACCCACCTTGGCCTCCCAAAGTGTTGGGATTACAAGTGTGAGCCACTGCGCCCAGCAAAGAGCATGTTCTTGTTGTATTCATATGATTGATCTCTGACTGACGATGTGTGTTGTCTATATTAAGACCAAGTCAAAATGTGGAAAAAACAACTGTGATAGGTTCTATCTTTAGAGCCAAGAAATTTGTTTTTAACTAAACATTTCCTCCCACTAGACCAGTAATTTGCAGACTCTAGCATGTATCAGAATGCCTTGGGAGCTTGTTAACATGCAGATTACTGGGTTCTATTCCTAAATTTCTGAATCAGTAAGTCTGGAGCAGGGCCTGAGAAATTGCCTTTCTAATAATAGCAAATTCCTGGTGATGCTAATGCTGTTGGAAACCACCCTTTCAGAACCACTGTGCGGGCCCCTCCAGATGACCTGATGGCAGGGCCGAGTCTGTTTGCTCACCACTGTATCCCCAAAGCCTGGTACATTCCACAAGCCCCAGAAAGACCTACTGATTGACTGATGCTCCTAGAATTAGGAGTTTAAGGAGTGGACCGGGCGCAGTGGCTCACACCTGTAATCCCAGCATTTTGGGAGGCCAAGGCAGGTGGACTGCTTGAGCCCAGGAATTCAAGACCAGCCTGGGCAACATAGTGAGGCCCCATTTTTACAAAAAATACAAAAATGAGCTGGGCGTGGTGGCCCACACCTGTAGTCCCAGGAACTTGGGAGGCTGAGCTGGGAAGATCATTTGAGCCTGGGAGGCAGAAGTTGCAATGAGCCGAGATCATGCCACTGCATTCCAGCCTGGGTGACAGAGTGAGACCCTGTCTTAAAAAAAATGTTTAAGGAGTGGACGGGCAATGTTGGTGGCCTCTTAGTTCCAGGAGTTAAAGCTCAAGGTAGAATCCAGTCTTTCAACTCCCCCATCCTCAGGGAGGGGGTGGGGGCCTGGTACTCACACAGCAGAGCCAGGACAGCCCCCAGCACAGGGAGGATGAAACCTCCCTTCCAGGGTCCAGGGCAGGTTTCGACATGGCCATGGCAGTCGCACACAGTGGCCCTGATCACCGTCAGCTGCTCTTTGTTGCCATGGTCAGACAGAGAAAGGTGCACGTCATATGTATCCTGCTTCAGGAACTTCTTCAGGGACAAGACCACTGTGTCACCTGGAGTGAACAGATCATTGATTAGCTGTGGGAACCATCAGTGCGGGGATCTGAGTACACCATGAAGAAAGTTTGAGAATACGGCTTCCACATGTGGGCAATGCAGAGAAATACTCCACAAGCACACTTTGGAAAATAGCAGTAAAAGCTGATCTTTGGCTAAAGCAAAATTCACCATAATGAAAAGGATTATTGGGATAGAAAAATTAATTTGTCATTTTACTTTTAAAAAAATCAATAATCACAGTATTTTTATAACATGAAGTTTTAAAAGCCATGTCATGCAGGACCAATAACTTCTTTGCATCATTGGCTGCTACACTGTTTTTTTGCTTCAAAAAGAATATTCTTCCTAAAAGATAGCTAACCCATTTTTTTTTTAAAGTAAAAGCAACTTTATTAAGAAAGTAAAGGAGGGCTGGGCGCAGTGGCTTATGCCTGCAATCCCGGCACTTTGAGAGGCCGAAGTGGGCAGATCACGAGGTCAAGAGATCGAGACCATCCTGGCCAACATGGTGAAAACCCGTCTCTACTAAAAATACAAAAATTAGCCAGGCGTGATGGCACGTGCCTGTAGTCCCAGCTACTTGGGAGGCTGAGGCAGGAGAATCACTTGAACCTGGGAGGTGGAGGTTGCAGTGAACTGAGATCATGCCACTGCACTCCAGCCTGGCGACAGAGCAGGACTGTCTCAAAAAAAAAAAAAAAGAAAGTAAAGGAATAAAGAATGGCTACTCCATAGACAGAGCAGCTGATAGCTAGCCCAATCTTATATGAAACACCCATATTTCCAACTGAGCATTCAATTTTTTTGAGACTAAGTCTTGCTCTGTCACCCAGACTAGAGAGCAGTGGCGTGATCTCAGCTCACTGCAACCTCCGCCTCCCACGTTCAAGCTATTCTCCTGCCTCAGCCTCCTGAGTAGCTGAGATTACAGGCACCCGCCACCATGCCTGGCTAATTTTTGTATTTTTAGTAGAGACAGGCTTTCACCATCTTGACCAGGCTGGTCTCAAACTCCTGACCTCGTGATCCACCTTCCTCGGCCTCCCAGAGTGCTGGGATTACAGGCGTGAGCCACGGTGCCCGGCCTTCAATTTTTTTTTTAGACAGAGTCTTGCTCTATCACTCAGGCTGGAGTACAGTGGCGCGATCTCAGCTCACTGCAACCTCTGCCTCATGGGCTCAAGCGATTCTCCTGCCTTGGCCTCTGGAGTAGCTGGGACTACAGGTTTGCGCCACTACACCCAGCTAGTTTTTGTATTTTTAGCAGAGGTGGATTTTGTGTCAGGCTGGTCTCAAGCTCCTGACCTCAGGTGATCTGCCCCACCTCGGCCTCCCAAAGTGCTGGGATTACAGGCCTGAGCCACAATGCCAGGCCGCATTCAATTATTAATAAAACTAAACGCACATGACTTGGTTATGTAAGTGCTAATGTTGAGCAGATCCGATCAGATGCTAACCTGTGTTATCACAGCATTAGTGATCACACAAATGCAGGAATGTCAGAAATGAGGCTGCAGCAGGTATTGGGCTAACTGGCCTTCCAAGGCCCAGGGGGTGGCAGGCTAACCACAGAGCAGAAGCCAGGCCCAGCCCAGCCTGCACACTGGGCACCACTCGGGGGAGACTGCGTGGCAATCCCAGAGTGGAGAAGGGGCTATGTGTGTGGGTGACGAACATAATATCAGTGGCCTCTTTAAAGAAAGGCCTTTGGTTTAGACTCAACTTTCTCAAGAAGGGAGCTGTTAGCCTGTGTGGAAGTTTTTTCATCATGCAGGATTTGCCACAGCATTGCGGGTTTCTACCACTAAATGCCCGTAGTGCCCCCAATCACTGGGGCAATCAAAAACAACCCCCACGTTTCTACCCCCACCCCCTCCCCGGGTTGTCAGCCTATCTCAGCACAGATTTCAAGTTAAAATGCTCTGCACTCTCGCTGGGCTCCTCTTAGTCAAAGGGCCAGAAGGCAGAATCCACTCTGTCCCCATTTAGTGCCAGGAGGCAGAGACAGCTCTCCAGTCTGAACAACTAGTCGACCATGTGGAGTGGCCAACATGGGGTATATGTCACTAAAACATCTCTGCCATCCTATAAGGCTGATTTCTCAGTTGTTGATGACGATGGCAGTGGTGACTAAATGGGCACTTTTTCTTTCTTTCTTTTTTTTTTTTAATTTTTCTGAGACAGAGTCTCGCTCTGTCACCCAGGCTGGAGTGCAGTGGCGCGATCTTGGCTCACTGCAACTTCCACCTCCCAGGTTCAAGTGATTCTCCTGCCTCAGCCTCCTGAGTAGCTGGGATTACAGGCATGTGCTACCACGCCTGGCTAATTATTTTTTATATTTTTAGTAGAGACAGGGTTTCACCATGTTGGCCAGGACAGTCTTGACCTCTTGACCTCGTGATCCGCCCACCTCAGCCTCCTAAAGTGCTGGGATTACAGGCATGAGCCACCTTGCCCGGCTAAATGGGCACTTACTAAGTGCCAGGCCCTACCCTGATCCTCACCATTGCTTTAAGAGGTGGGAACTGCTGTTATCCTCATTTTACAAATGCAGAAATTGAGGCTTAGGGAGTTAGGTAACTAGCCTGAGGTCACATGGAGTAGAGTCTAGATTAATTTCCCTGACAACAGAACAAGGGCAAACAGAAAAATGAAATTAAAGCCAAGAACCAGGTTATCAATACTGATCAATACTGTTACAGGTATTAATAACACTGGGTTTTGGCCATAATGCTTATGCTTTTTATTTTCCACACCATGGTGAGTGAGACTGCCTAGATTAAAATCCTGATAGGCCAGGTGTGGTGGCTCATGCTTGTAATCTCAGCACTTTGGAAGGCCAAGGCGAGAGGATCACCTGAAGTCAGGAGTTCAAGACCAGCCTGGCCAACATGGCAAAACCATGCCTTTACTAAAAAATACAAAAATTAGATGGGCATGGTGACAGGTATCTGTAATCTCAGCTACTCAGGCAGGGATAATTGCTTGAACCCGGGAAGCGGAGGTTGCAGTGAGCTGAGATTGTGCCACTGCACTCCAGTCTGGGAGACAGAGTGAGACTCCGTCTCAAAACAAAAACAAAAACAAAAACAAAAAACCCTAGTGACATTTTAATTTTATTTTATTTGAGACAGTCTCACTCTGTTGTCCAGGCTGGAGTACAGTGGCACAATCACGGCTCACTGCAACTTCCGCCTCCCGGCTTCAAGCGATTCTTCTGTCTCAGCCTCCTGAGTAACTGGGACTACGGGCACATGCCACCATGCCTGGCTAATTTTTGTATTTTTAGTAGAGACGGGGTTTCACCATATTGGCCAGGCTGGTCTCGAACTCCTGACCTGGTGACCCGCCCGCCTCAGGCTCCCAAAGTGCTGGGATTACAGGTGTAAGCCACTGCGTGTGGCCATGACATTATTTTTAAAGCCATAACGCAGCCGGGTGTGGTGGGCATCTTGTGGGCCACGGGGGCAACGGTCTCCTCTAGAACCTCAATCAGATGCTATTTATTAACCTGGTGGAGGTCTTTGGAATTCCACAGGACCCCTAAAAGACCATTCTAGCCCAACCGCCTTCCTGTGTAGATGGAAAAACTGAGGCCTCGAGAGGGAGGGAGTGACTTGGCCCATGTCACATAGCGAGAGTCAGGACCCAGCACAGTGATCGTAGCCAACACTCACTGAGCATGCTCTGTGCCAGGTCCACTTCACATGCTCTACATAGGTTCGATTCCTCGAGGCCTCAGTTTTTCCATCTACACAGGAAGGCGGTTGGGCTAGAATGGTCTTTTAGGGGTCCTGTGGAATTTCAAAGACCTCCACCAGGTTAATAAATAGCATCTGATTGAGGTTCTAGAGGAGATCATTGTCCCCATGGCCCACAAGATGCTAGGATAGGAACGTGTGCAGAATCCTGGTGTGGGGCAGATGCCCACCAGTGGGGCTGGCACCCCACCCGCTACCACCACTCACTCAGGTACCTTCCTCGTTGACCTCTGCCGTCCAGTAGATGTCTGAGTCATCTGTGAGCTGGGCCTGGAAAGGGGAGGTGTGGGGAGACAGGTCCTTGTCCGTGATGTTCAGCACCTGGCGCACAGGGCTTTGGTTGCAGATGGTGATCTGACGGGGCTCAGGGACTGGGCCATGGTCATTGACATCAATCAGTGTTAGCAGAAGGGTTCCCGTGCCAGTGGTGGGAGGGCTTCCTGTTTGTAATGACACATATGATGAGCTCCCTGTGACCCACCCAGTCAGCCTCAGGGGGGCTCCTCCTGTTTACCGCCCAGCTCTCACCTCTCAAGACCTTCCATGCCCTTGCTTCCAATACATGGCACATACATGCCAGTTGAGCCATCATTCTCATTTCTGTCCACAGCAGACATTACTAACTATCATGACACAGTTGCAGCCACTTCATCCAGACAGCCACTATAACCACAAGGCGAAACCTACCGGCTACTTCAGGGTTACTCCAGTGTTTGTCGATCAGCTTCAGGGAAGCTTCCCTTCACAGCCCTGCTGCAACCTCTCACCTGCCTGCAGGTCCTGGTTCATTACATGTCAACCAGAGGTGACAACTACGTCATAACCTCCCATCTGTTATGGTGTGGCATCACTAATCTGTCATGGCACTTTCCAGTCAGCCCCTATCAATCAATCACAAGGGAAAACTGACAGGCCAATTCAGGACCCAGTGAACCAAAAACTAAGGCTGAAGGGACTTTCCTAATGCTGATGTTTTATTTACTTATTTGAGAGTCTTACTCTGTTGCCCAGGCTGGAGTGCAGTGGCACAATTTCGGCTCACTGCAACCACCACCTCCTGGGTTAAGGTGATTCTCGTGCCTCAGCCTCCTGAGTAGCTGGGACTACAGGCGTGTGCCACCACACCCAGCTTATTTTTTTTGGTCATTAGTTATCATTAGTTTATTATAAGAGAGAAATATGGAAATTATTTACATGATGAAAGGTTTCAGAACTTCAGTGGAATGGGCAGCTTCACGTTGATGCCATTCCAATAGTGACTTATTTCAGTCTACGTACTTTCCAAGAATGTCACCATCCCTAAATAGGAGATAATCCTTGTCATCTAGAACTACTTTGGTGCCTCCATATTCTGGAAGAAGAACTTTATCTCCAACTTTCACGCTAACTGGTTGAATCCCTCCACCCTTTCCTTTAGAATCCGATCCAACAGCAACTACTGTTGCTGCAATACTTTTCCTTGAGATTTTTCTGGACCCATAATGCCTCCTTTGGTTACAGTTTCAGCGGCGCTCCTTTCAACCAATACTCGGTCAAAGAGTGGAAGAAACTTTCTAAATGCTTGTCCTGCCATGACTCCCTCCACCTCAGACTCGTACTCTGCTCTTGTGTAGCGCCGCAAGGAGAGACATGCGGTCTGACCCTGGCGACACGTGAAAAGACCGCCTGGGTGCAGGTGCACTCACCCCAGCCCTTGCCGCTCGCCCCGAGGCGTGCTGCAATTCGCCCCAAGGGCCCTGTGCAGGCCACTGATGCGGGAACTGGGAGGCGGCACACTCAGCTAATTTTTTATGTTTTTAGTAGAGACAGTGTTTTGCCATGTTGGCCAGGCTGGTCTAGAACTCCTGACCTCAGGTGATCCACCTGCCTCAGCCTCCCACAGTGCTGGGATTATAGGCTTGAGTCACCATGCCCGGCCCTAACTCTTATTTTTTAATTTTTCATTTTTTGTAGAGACAGGGTCTCTGTATGTTTCTCAGGCCAGCCTTGAACTCCTGGGCTCAAGTGATCCTCCTGCCTAGGCCTCTCAAAGTGCTAGCATTACAGGCCTGAGTCACCACACCTGGCTCCCTCCCAACTCTTGGGTTTTAGGGAAATTGGAATCATGGCCAGTCCCTAGGATCAGTCTTTTGTTGTTGTTGCTTTTTGAGATAGTCTCGCTCTGTCACCCAGGGTGGAGTGCAGTGGCACGATCTTGGCTCACTGTAGCCTCCACCTCCCAGGTTCAAGTGATTCTTCTGCCTCTGCGTCCGGAGTAGCTGGGACTACAGGTGCACACCACCACACCCGGCTAATTTTTTGTATATTTAGTAGAGACGGGGTTTCACCATGTTGGCCAGGCTGGTCTCGAACCCCCGACCTCAGGTGATCTACCTGCCTTGGCCTCCCAAAGTGCTGGGATTACAGGCATGAGCCACTGCATCCGGCCTAGGACCAGTCTTTAAAAGACTCCTCTGAAAGACCCCTTTGACCGTCTGGATTGGTTTGCAAATAGCCCTCCTCGACACATGTTCCCACCTGTGGAGGAAACATGCTGTGCTGTGTCATGTGACCTGAGAACCAAAAGTGGCCCTTGTGGGAGGGCTGGGAGGATGCTCTCACCATTGTCCATGGCCAAGACCATGACTTCATAGATGTTGTTCCTCACAAACTGCTCATCCTCACGGTCGAGGGTGCCCACAGCTGTGACCTGCCCACTGTCTGGGTCCATGGCTAGCCACCCTGCTGGGTCTCTCAGGATGCGGTAGCTGGAGAGGAAAAGTTGAGACGAGTACATCCAGAATATTTAGAATTCTGATGTCATCATTCAGGGCCTCCTCATACCAACTGGCAGATGGCCTCTGGGCTCCTAAGCAGGATCATATGGAAAATGCACCTCGCCCATAAACGGGGACCTAAAGCAGCAGGTGCAGGAGTCCCAGGAGGGATACATGACAGAGTGAGAAATACCTGCCCCCAAACCCCTATTCAGTCTTCAGCCTCAAAGAGGGTAGGAAGAAGAGAACCTATGCAGGAGGGATATTCCTATTTAACAATCTCTATGGTAATCAGAACAAACGTTGGCCATGATCACCCACCCACCAACTGTACCAGTACGTGCTGCTTACTGAGCCCAGCTCCTGAGTACCTGATCTTTTGATTCTCCTTGTCAGGGTCTTCTGCAGTGTAGACACACACAGGCTCCCCAGTGGGGATGCCCTCCTGGACCTCAACGACTTTGGAGGGTGGGACAAACACAGGTGCCTCATTCACATCCTCCACGTGGACCACTATGGTGGCTGTGGAGGTTGGGAGCTTCAGCACAAAAGGGGCCTCGTTGGTCACTTCAACGTACAGGGTGTGCTGGTTTTTGGCCTCAAAATCCAAACCCTAGGAGAGAAGAGGAAGAAGGACCTGGACCACCATTTTGAGAGGAGGTCCTGTGCAGGACAGTTGAGATGTGAGAAGGAAAACACCAATACTGAGGGGCTTGAGGCCCTCACTAGCAACAGTGCTGCCCTTTCTCTGTAACATAAACACTCCCGTGTTTCCTGAGTGCACATCTAATGGGGCCTCTCAGACCATCCTAAAAGTAACTGTATTAATAAGCCCTAGATCAATGGTTCCCAGTGGAGTGGTGGTGATGTTTGAGAAAACTGGGGGGCCTGGCATTGTGGCTCATGCCTGTAATCCCAGCACTTTGGAAGGCCAAGGCTGCTGGATTGCTTGAGACCATTATTTGAGACAGGATCTTGCTCTGTCACCCAGGCTCAAGTGCAGTGGCTTCATTATGGCTCACTGCAGCCTCGACCTTCTTGGGCTCAAGCTATCTTCCCACTTCAGCCTCCTGGGTAGCTGGGACTACAGGTGTGTGCCACCGCACCCAGCTTTTTTTTTTTTTTTTTGGAGACGGAGTCTCGCTCTGTCATCCAGGCTGGAGTGCAGTGATGCGAACTCAGCTCACTGCAACCTCCGCCTCCCGAGATCAAGCGATTCTCCTGCCTCAGCCTCTCGAGTAGCTGGGACTACAGGCATGTGCCACCACGCCCAGCTAATTTTTGTATTTTTAGTAGAGACGGGTTTCACCACGATGGCCAGGCTGGTCTCGAACTCCCAACCTCAGGTGATCTGTCTGCCTCGGCCTCCCAAAGTGCTAGGATTACAGGCATGAGCAATCGTGCCCGGCCCCAGCGAATTTTTTATACTTTTAGCGTAGACGGGATTTCTCCATGTTGTCCAGGCTGGATTTTCTTTTTTTTTTTTTTTCTCCATGTTGTCCAGGCTGGATTTTCTTTTTTTTTTTTTTTTTTTTTTTTTTTTTGAGACAGAGTCTTGCTCTGTCACCCAGGCTGGAGTCCAGTGGTGCGATCTCGGCTCACTGCAAGCTCCACCTCCCGGGTTCACGCCATTCTCCTGCCTCAGCCTCCCAAGTAGCTGGGACTACAGGCGCCTGCCACCACGCCCAGCTAATTTTTTTGTATTTTTAGTAGAGACGGGGTTTCACCATGTTAGCCAGGATGGTCTCGGTCTCCTGACCTCGTGATCCACCCACCTCGGCCTCCCAAAGTGCTGGGATTACAGGCGTGAGCCACAGCACCCGGTCTGGATTTTTTCTTTATTTTAGTTAGGACATTCTCTATTTTTAGAAATAATGAGTTAGGTTAGTTATATTATAAATGAACTTCATTTCACATCATTTAACAATGTCGAAGTGGCATTACAAAGTATTTGTTGCAGAAAACAGGACAGCAAACCCCAGTCTTTAAAATATATTATTTCATACAATATTTTATACCCTGCTTCTCAAACCACACCATTCTTCATAGTAAACCAGGAAGTAAAAGAAACTGATGCAAGATTAGGCCCATCTTCATTTTTTTCTTTTTTAGTGCTGATGGGATCTTGCTATGTTCACCAGGCTCATCTGAAACTCCTGGCCTCAAGTGATCCTCCCACCTCAGCCTCCTAAAGTGCTGGGAATAAGTGTGAGCCACTGCGCCCAGCCTTATTCAGACTTTTTGACCCAACCCACGTCCTATACCCCAATAAAAACAAAAATACATACACACAAAAAAGAGACTTTTTGAGAGGCAAGAGTGTGCCTCAGTGATTCAAAACATTTTATTATCTAAACACCTAGACATGAGTTTTAGAGTAAATGCAAAGTCAACATGGATTTCAATAAGATGGACTCTCTATGTGAGACTGATTCGGGGCAGCCATTGGACACTGTGGTCTGGGAGGAGGCTCCACTGATGTGCTTCAATTAATCAGTGACTCTTACCTATTTATGAAGTGGGCTCCTGGGTAAGATTTAGTTTGAACAAAGGGACTTCCCAACACAAGAGTGGTAGAACAGTGTTGGGAGCCACTGGGCTGGTACGATTCCTGGACTAGCCCACGGTAGACAGTGGCTCCTCATCCTGAAGGCTGCAGACCTGACTGCCCCAGGTATAGCCATTGTCTGAGGCCCGAACTGACTCACCTTCCTGGTTGTCAGGATGCCCTGGTTGCTCTCAGGGTGGGTGGTGATGGTAAAATGGTCCCCGTCGTCACCGCCCATGATAAGGTAGGTGGCACGCCACGCTGGTGAGTTGGGGGCGTCCAGATCAGTGACCGTCAGCCTCTGCACCTCATGGCCCACTGCATTCTCAGGCACATGGGCCTCGTACTGTCAGTGTGAGAAGCACAGCACTATCAGAGCAGAGAATGACTGTCCTACTCCAGAGGCTGAGAAGCCTCCATCCAACCTCAGGGGATCCCCATGCCTTTACCCTTTCCTGGACCACCCACCCACTTTGCGGGGTTTCAGGGTATACACAGCGGCAGGATGTCCCCAGCAGCAGCCTCACAGCTGCTGGCACAGACCACACCAATCCTGTGCCTGCTTTCCCTACACGCAGGGGCCTGATGTTCCAGAAATCTCACGGGTTTGCATGCCCAAGCCCCTGCCACGTGTAGCTATCTATCCAGCTGAGATCAGAAAGGAATAAGGAAGGTGGCAAGAAGGGCTAGGTGCCTGAATGGGCTGGGGCACTGAACAGAAATTTTTTGGAGGTTCTGGGACATGTGACAAAGACTGGAAAATCAGTTGCTCGGAACAAAAAATTTATTTATTTATTTTTATTTTATTTTTTTAGACAGTCTCAGTCTGCCGCTCAGGCTGGAGTGCAGTGGTGTGATCTCGGCTCACTGCAACCTCCACCTCCCAAGCTCAAGCGATCCTCATGTCTCAGCTTCCCAAGTAGCTGGGACTACAGGTGTATGCCACTGCACCTGGTTAATTTTTGTATTTTTAGTAGAGACGGGGTTTCGCCATATTGGCCAGGTTCGTCTTGAACTCCTGGCCTCAAAAGTGTTCTGCCCGCCTTGGCCTCCCAAAGTGCTGGGATTACAGGTGTGAGCCACCGCCCCTGGCGTCATTACAAATTTTTATTCAGACCTAATTAACGTTCAGAGTTGTCTAAAGATGGAAGGGGGAGGATGTAATTGGCACCTTGATTGGCACTGAGTCCTCTGCCTTGGAGGTACACAAGCATTCACTGGGAAAAGATGGGCAGGTGTAGGTACAAGGAAAATATGTTTTCAAATCAACAAAGATTTTCATATCAAGCACTTCTTTTAGGGCATCGTGTTAGGAAACGTACATAGATTATTTCATTTGAAACTCAGAACAATGCAGCAGGTATTATCATTATCTCCTTTTCACAGATTAGGAAATGGGGCACAGAGAGGTTAGGTAGTTTTCCTAAGGTCACACAGCCATAGTGCTGAGACTGGCATTTGAAGCAATATAGACTGGTTCCAGTTTCCTGAGAAAGGCAAACTTTGGTCCTTCATTATCTGATGAGGGACTGAGTGAGGAAGGGGCATTACCTTCTGGGGGTCAAACATGGGAGCATTGTCATTGGCATCAAGGATCTCCACTACTGCCACTGCCGTGGTGGTGGAGCCGTCCCCATCCATGTCTGTGGCCTGGATGGTCAGTGTGTACTCAGGGACTTTCTGGGGAGAAAGGAGAGGGGAAGCCCATTGTGAGTTTAATCTGAAGGGTCCCTCCCCTGACCTCCAGGAAGCACTGGCTCATGGGTGTGTGGATGGAGAGGAGGATCTCTCCCTATCATAACGCTGACTCCTTGACCACCCCTCACCCACTGCCAGGAGAACAGAAGCAGAGGATGCTGTTGGAGAGGGAACGAGTGATCCAAATAGTTCTCCTGGGCCTGTCCTAGGGAAGCCTTGGCATCGCCCCCTGACCCTTAACTGCTCCAGAATGAGTCTTGCTTTTGTTTTTGAGACAGGATCTTGCCCTGTCGCCCAGGTTGCAGTGTAGTGGCGTGATCTTGGCTCACTGCAAACTCCACCTCCCAGGTTCAAGTGATTCTCCTGCCTCAGCCTCCCAAGTAGCTGGGATTACAGGTGCCTGCCACCACGCCCAGCTAATTTTTGTATTTTTAGTAGAGACAGGGTTTCACCATGTTGGCCAGGCTGGTCTTGAACTCTTGACCTCAAGTGATCCTCCCGCCTTGGCCTCCCAAAGTGCTGAGATTACATGCGTGAGCCACTGTGCCTGGCCTCAGAAAAAGAGTTTTGAGTGAGGATTTGGATAAAGGTATCAATTAGGAAACAGGCAGCAAATCCAGTATCCATGGAGCTAATTCTACTTTGTGGCACATAAGGGACCAATTTGGGTAATGTGCACACTAAGTGAGCCACTCTGAGAGGAAATGAGAAAACCTACAGAAAATACCAAAAGTAGGCATTTTACAGCTGCCTCCCAGCCCTGGAGGAGATTTAACGAGATTGGCTGGCAGCGGGCCACAGGCCCAAGGAACCAGGGGCATGGCATGTGAACCCAGCAGTGGCCATCCCAGCTGACGTGGGTCCTCACTGTTCTGCCTTGGGCTTTGTGGGCAGGGATAGGAGCTTCTGCTCTCAGAGTCAGTTCCCAGCCTGGGCAAGTCTGGGTAGGCAGTACTTTCCCTAAGGGCCACTCACTTCCCGGTCCAGGCCACTGGAGATGACGCTGATGGTGCCTGTGCTCCGGTGAATGGTGAACATGAGGTCGTGTGGGTCCTTTGGTTCTTGGCTATGGATGGAGTAAGCAACCACCCCATTGTAGGTGTAGATGGCATCATCCTCATCCGTGGCTGTCACCTGCATCACAGAAGTACCTGGAGAGAAGGGATGAGTATCTTTTCCTCCCAGTTCCAACTCCAGCCCTGTCTACTTCTGGAACTCTTTTTTTCTTTTCTTTTTTTTTTTTTTTTTTTTTTTTGAGATGAAGTCTCACTCTATCACCCAGGCTGGAGTGCAATGGTGTGATCTCGACTCACTGCAACCTCTGCCTCCTGGGTTCAAGTGATTCTCCTGCCTCAGCCTCCTGAGTGGCTGGGATTACAAGTGCCCGCCACCACGCCCGGCTAATTTTTTAATATTTTTAGTAGAGATAGGATTTCACCATGTTGGCCCAGCTGGTCTTAAACTCCTGATCTCAAGTGATGTGCCTGCCTAGGCTCCTGAAGTTCTAGGGTTCCAGGCGTGGGCCACCGCGCCCAGCCTCCATCAGCCATGTTCTAACACTCCAGTCTTTGCTGCATTCCCTGTGGCTGCCATGCTCTCAAGAGCTTCGCATTAGGCGCTCTGTATTACCTAACAGTCTGCACATGGTATTTCTAATCTTCACCACTCTTCAAAGTTGATATTATTCCCATTTTTAGATGTGAGAAGTGAGGCTCAGAGGTCAAGAATATGCCCAGGATCACAGCCGGTAAAGAGGGCAAAGCCAAGATTCAAATCTAGGTCTTTGAAGCTCCAAAGCTAGTGGTTCCCAAGCTTGGCTGATCATCTGAAGCTTTAGGGAAAATTTCAAATATACAGATTCCAGAGCTCTGCTCTAGGATCATTCTTATTCAGGAACCTTGGGATGGAAGGGGGGAAATCTGGATTTTTAAGAAGATCCCAAGTAATCTGATACACAGCCAAGGAAATCAGGTATGGTGGGATCTTTTAGCATTTAAGGGTGTGGGCCCAGCCCCGTAGCAGTCCCCTTCCCAGTCCTCTTACCTGGTAGGACTCCCTCTAAGACACTCCCTCGGAAGGTGTCCTGGGTAAACTTGGGCTTGTGGTCATTCTGGTCGGTCACGATGATGGAGATGTTCATGGGGTCCTCCACTGAGGCACCATTCTCTGACACAGCGTGGCCAAAGAGCTGTGGGGTACACAGCTCTGGGGTCAGCCCGGTGCCACCCACCTCACCAGGCCTAGGATCCCACTTCTGAGGGGACATTTACAGTAGACACTAAAGGCTACTTGCCTCATACTTGGCAATCTCCTCCCGGTCCAGTGGCTTATTCAACAACAACCAGCCTGTCTCCTTCTCTACAGCGAAGACACCCTCAGGGGGGCTGTCTGCCCCCGGCCCCGTGATGCTGTAGAAAATCTTGGTGTCTCTATCTTTATTAGACTTGAGCTGGAGGGAAAAGAAAATGGCAGCTGACAAAGTAACAAATATCCCATGACTGTGACAAAGAGTCCTCTGTGAAGAGGGGCACTGCCATAGGAGAATCTGCTCACTGAACAGGAGAGGTTTTTCTGTCTCAGCCCCCACATTCAGTAGCAAGAAATCTCATGCAGGCCTTTGGATGGGGGTCCCTGGAGCCACCAATGCTTCCCAGGAGAAGGCACAGTCGTACCTGATTCAGTCTCTGGGGGAAGGGACCCTTGCCATTTTCAGGGACAGATATTGGAGCAACCACCCAATCTCTCTTGTGTCTTCGTAAGATACGTTTGGATGGGAAGATCTTCAATGGATTCCTTTCCTTCAGTGACCTTCTTTCCTGCAAGGAGAGAAACTCCTTAACCCAGATGTGCAAATAGCTGGGACATGCTCAACATCCTCTCACCTATAAGAGTTAAAAGGGTGGCTGGGCATGGTAGCTCACGCCTATAATCCCAGTACTTTGGGAGGGTCACTTGAGCCCAGGAGTTCCAGAGCAGCCTGGGCAAGATAGCGAGACCCTAAGTTAAATTAAAAAAAAAAAAAAGTTAAGGGTGAGGAGACCTAGATGAGCCTATTGCAAGGGAAACTCGGTGTTTACTTATACAGGAGGACCAGTGAAATATACTACAGCACATCCATCTAGTGGAATACTATGCAGCTCTAAAAATAAGAATGAGTATGCTCTCTATGTGCCAAAAGGGAAAGATCTTTTTTTCTTTCTTTTCCTTTTTTTGAGACGGAGTCTCGCTCTGCCACCCAGGCTGGAGTGCAGTGGCACGATCTCAGCTCACTGCAACCTCTGCCTCCCAGGTTCAAGTGATTCTCCTGCCTCAGCCTCCTGAGTAGCTGGGATTACAGGCATCTGCCACCACGCCCAGCTAATTTTTGTATTTTTAGTAGAGACAGAGTTTCACCATATTGGCCAGGCTGGTCTCGAACTCCTGACCTCAAGCAAGCCACCCGCCTCGGCCTCCCAAAGTGCTGGGATTACACGCGTGAGCCACCGCATTCGGCCTGATTTTTGATTTATGCTGTCAAATGGAAAGATTAAGGTATAGGGCAGCTTAATAGAGTTTAGCATTTTATTTAACAAACACATTGTGCTTAATATGTGCCAGGTACTGTTCCACCTTTTGTGTAAAAGGGTAGGAAATAAGACCATATAGTCATATTTTCTTGTACATGGATGAAGTCAGGGAGAATACAGAAAAAAACTAATAGTGGCTATCTGTGGAAAGAGGGTAGACATTGTGCTGTGCTGATACACTGTTAAGTAGAAAAAGAAAGGTGCAGACATGTGAACAGCATCTTAGCTTTTGCATAAGGAAAAGAATCTGTTTTTATATATGTATATATACGAAATAGGTAACATGTAAAAACATGTACAATATAAATAAATATGTAACACATGTAAGTATAGACTATATATAAACTCTGGAAGGAAAGAAACTGGGAACAGTGGTTAACTGCGTGAAGGGGTGAAGGGGGCTTTGGGCAAATGGAGGCAAACAAGGGGAGATTATTTATTGTATAGCTTATTATTATTTTTTATTTTTGAACCATGTGGCTATATTAGCTATTCAAAAATTAAAACGAAGTGTGGCCAAGCACCCCAGATGTATCTTCCTGGAGGCTCATGGGATTGGCAGGCCTGCATTTAGAGCTGCTTTCAGTTGGGGTTAACATGGATGATAAGGGAAGGAAGTAAAGGAAGGTGGGAGAGGGAATCCGAGGGACTCAGTACAGTGGGTGATTACTCACAAGGCAGCTCTTGGCTCCACTGGCCTGACCTCAGGCACCACTGTTGGGTAGCTGCAAGCACTACCCCCCTTAGATCAGTGCTCACACCCAAGCTGTGGACAGCTGAGGACTAACACTACCTCCTCTGAAGGGCTGACTTGGCTCACAATGGCCACAGCAACCAAGGGCTCCTGGCCAGCAATTTGGGCATGCACAGAGAACATCTTTCTTTTGTCCTGCAGGTGGACATGGTATTTTACCTGGACTGTCTCGCCATTCCGCACAGTGAAGTCATCATTATCAGTGCTAAACAGAGCTGGCTCTTGCCCAGGGCAGCCCATGAATACTGTGGGGAAGGGGAAGAGAGAGCATTAGGAAGGCAGGAGTATTCTGGAAGTTGCCCCAGGAAAACAAGACTGACAAGAGTCCTCTGACTGGATCCAGGACTGCTAAGTGGCTGCAGAAGGGAGACTTGGCTTACTTTCTCTGACCAGGAGTGTGACTAATACAAGTTTCAGAGGAGGCTTCCAAGTTTGGTTTCGAGAGGGAAGATCGCCTGGTGGTCAGTTTGTGGGTCAAACTCTTCTTTGTTCTTGGTCCCAGAGGACCAAGATCATAGACATTCATGGACATTAGCCCCAGGTGGCCTCATGTGACATGGGGTTGACTAAGGTCATAGCTAGAGGCAGAAGATTTTCTGAAGGCTGTGAGAGTCTATTTACACACAATATATATGCCCACAGGATCACCTGGACAACCTTTGGTTGTTTCAGTTCATTTCGCTCCTTCTGAATCCCCAATGCTTGGCTACTCTTTAAACAAGCACTCCGAGTTAGTAACCACCATTCACCAGCTGGAGGTGAATTTCATCCCTATAACTATGATACCAAGGTAGGTATTATCCCCCACTTTTTTTTCTTTTCTTTTTTTTTTTTTTCGAGGCAGAGTCTTGCTCTGTCACCAGGCTGGAGTGTAGTGGCACAATCTCAGCTCAAAGCAACCTCCACCTCCTGGGTTCAAGTGATTCTCCCGCCTCAACCTCCTGAGTAGCTGGGGTTACAGGCGTGCGCCACCATGCCCAGCTAATTTTTGTTTTTTAGTAGAGATTGGGTTTCCCCATGTTGGCCAGGCTGGTCTTGAACTCCTGACCTTGTGATCCACCCGCCTCGGTCTCCCAAAGTGCTGGGATTACAGGCATGAGCCACCGCGCCCAGCCGCCTTTCCAAAGATTAGAAAACTGAGGTTCAGAAGCCAGGTCTACCCGACTCCAAGACACACACTAGAGAATATTCACAACCAACGTTGTTACCTACTCTTCCTTATGGCCAACGCAAGAAATCAGGGAATCTGCCAGGGGCTATACCCTGGGTCCTGTCAGCACCATGCTCTGCCCAGTGCTCCCATTTTTGCTAGGCTGCAACATAACAAAGACCACAAGGACGGCCCCACGCCTGTCCATAGGTATGTCAGGCGAGGGCACAAACTGTCCTTTCAGAAAGCCTGTCTTTTAGTTTCAGATTATTATTATTTTGGTTTAAAAATACCTTTCCTTAAAATAAGAAAGGATAACAGATGAGGGTTTTTTTTTTCTTTCAATTTTTACTTTTTTTATTTTTTGGAAACAGAGTCTCACTCTGTCACCCAGGCTGGAGTGCAGTGGCATGATCTCGGCTCACTGCAACCTCCACCTCCCAGGTTCAAGTGATTCTTCTGCCTCAGCCTCCCGACTAGCTGAGACTATAGGCACGCACCACCATGCCTAGCTAATTTTTGTATTTTTAGTAGAGATGGGGTTTCACCATATTGACCAGGCTGGTCTCGAACTCCTGACCTTGTGATCTGACCGCCTCGGCCTCCCAGAATGCTGGGATTACAGGCGTGAGCCACTGCATCCGGCCCAGATGAGGTTTTTAAAATAATGAAAGTAATATGGACATGACAAAGTATTCACATAGTATATAAGAGCACAATATAAAAAAGTAGAATTCTTTTTTTTGAGACAGGGTATCACTCTGTCACTTAGGCTGGAATGCAGCAGTGCAATCATAACTCACTACAGCCTCAACCTCCCAGGCTCAAGGGGTTCTCCTGCCTCAGCCTCCTGTGTGGCTGGGACCACAGACGCATGCCACCATACCCGGCTAATTTTCCTTAATTTTTTGTAGAGATGGGGCCTCACTTTGTTGCCCCAGCTGGTCTCGAACTCCTGGGCTCAAGCACTTCTCTTGCCTTGGCTTCCCAAAGCACTGGGATTACAGATACGAGCCACCATGCCTGGCCGAAAAAGAAGAATCCTAAACGATTAATATCCAGAATATGTAAAGAATTCATAAAACTCAACAACAACAAAACCCAATTTTAAAAAACAGGCAAAGGACTTGAAAAAACCTTTCTCCAGAGAAGATACACAATGGCCAATAAGCACATGAAAAGATGCTCAATATCATTAGTTAATAGGGAAATGCAAATCAAAATCACAATGAGATACCACTTCACATGCACTAGGATGGCTATAAAAGAAAAAAAAGAAAACAACAAGTGTTGGCAAGGATAGAGGGAAATTGGAATTGTCGTACACTGCTGGTGGGAATGTGAAATGATGCAGCCACTGTGGAAAACAGTTTGGCAGTTCCTCAACGTGTTAAATGTAGAATTACCACATGACCTAGCAATTCAATGCCTAGGTATATACCTGAAAGAACCAAAAGGATTCAAACAGATACTTATGCATTCATTTTTACAGCAGTGTTATTCATAATAGTCAAAAGGTAGAAACAACCCAAGTGTCCATCAAGAGATGAATCTTTTTTTTTTTCTGAGATGGAGTCTCACTCTCTTGCCCAGGCTATGGTACAGTGGCTCACCGCAACCTCCACCTCCTAGGTTCAAGCGATTCTCATGCCTCAGCCTCCCGAGTAGCTGGGCCTACAGGTGTGCACCACCATGCCCAGCTAATTTTAGTATTTTTAGTAGAGATGGGGTTTCACCATGTTGGCCAGGCTGGTCTCGAACTCCTGGCCTCAAGCAATCCACCCGCCTGGCCTCCCAAAGTGCTGGGATTACAGGAGTGAGCCACTGCACCCGGCCTCTATACGAATTTTTTGAAAATCATCTGGGCATGGTGGTATGCACCTGTTCCAGCAACTTGGGAGGCTGAAGTGGGAGGATCATTTGAGCCCATGAGTTTGAAGCTGCAGTGAGCCATGACTGCGCCACTGTACTCCAGCAAGACCCTTTTCTCTAAGAAAAAAAAAAAAGGAATTGACCAGGGGCTAGAGAGAGAGAGAGGGGAGGGGAACTACTACCTAATGCCTAATGAGTACAGAGTTTCTGTTGGGGATGATGAAAAAGTTCGGGAGATAGATAATGGCGATGTTGCACAAACTGTGGATGTACTTAGTGCTACTGAATTATTTACTTAAAAATGGTTGAAATGGTACATTTTATGTTATGCCTATTTTAACACACACACAAACAAAAGTCTGATATGGGAAGACAATCACTTTGGAAAACAATTTGGCAGTACATATTGATATATTAATTCCCTAAGACCCAGAAAGTCCACTGTGATGTACAGACCCAACAAAAATACATTTGCCAAAACCTATGTATTATAATGTTCATAACAGCACTATTCATAATAGCTAAGCCAGAATCGGCCCAAACAATGAGGGAGAATGGGTAGAAACACTGGGTATATTCACATAATGAAGTGAATGAAGCACAAGGACAGGCAACTACATGGGAAATTTAACAAACATAAGGTTGAGTAGTAGAAGCCAGATATGAGAGGACATATGCAAGATTCCACTAACAGGAAGTTCAAAACCAGGCAAAACTCATCCAGGCAAAGGAAGTTAAGACACTGGCCATCTTTTAGGCAGTGGACTCAGTGAATGGGAGAGGACAGAGGGGCTTGGGGACCCTAAAGAGCTGCCTCAGAGCCCAAAAGCTTACCACACACAGAAGGATCCTCTGTGGGAAGGCTGGAATGTGATCACAAGAAAGAGAAGATCGCTTAGGAACCAGCCCTGCCTCCTTGACGACATCCCCGCCGAGGAGTGCTGGGCTGTGACGTGCTTGGCCAGTGGGAGGAAGGGGAAAGGAGATCTGGGCCTGATTCAGTTCCAGAGGGTCCCAGGGGCCACACGATCCCCAGGTGGCCCTGCCCTTTATTGCCAGCACACAGCTTTGTAGACTCATCTTCTGTCCTCAGAAGATGAGTGCTTTGCCTTAGTGCTAGAAGGACCAGGAACGATAATGTGGCAAAGGTTAAATCATCTTCAATATAGGGCAAAAGTCAAATAATCTATGGGGGCACTTACTCCATAGGTTATTTATCCAGCTATGCAATATAACACTTTATATAGGGAAGTTCTTATACTATGATAGTAAAACAAAATAAGAATGCAGAACTACTATATAATACATGTAACTATGCACAGAAAAATGACTGAAATGACCTTTCCCAATGATGAAGGTCATCAGAAACTTATTTTCTTTTTTTTTTATTTTTTATTTATTTATTTTTTTTTTTTTTGAGACGGAGTCTCGCTGTCGCCCAGGCTGGAGTGCAGTGGCGCAATCTCGGCTCACTGCAGGCTCCGCCCCCTGGGGTTCACGCCATTCTCCTGCCTCAGCCTCCCGAGTAGCTGGGACTACAGGCGCCCGCCACCTCGCCCGGCTAATTTTACAGAAACTTATTTTCAAGTTCACTGCAATAACCATTTGGCCATGACTACCTGTTGGCAACTTATTTTCTCAATTTTTCTGCAGGTCCAAGTTTTCCCTTAACACGAGTTGTGTCCCTCCAAAATTCTTATGTTGAAGTCCTAACCACTGGTACCTAAAATGGCCATTAAATGTGAAGACAGGGACCTTAAAGAGGTAATTAAGGTAAAATGAAGTCAGCCAGGCATGGTATCTCACGCCTGTAATCCCAGGACTTTCGGAGGGCAAGATGGGCGGATCACCTGAGGTCAGGAGTTTGAGATCAGCCTGGCCAACATAGTAAAATCCCGTCTCTACTAAAAATACAGAAATTAGCTGGGCATGGTGGCCTGCGCCTGTAGTCCCAGCTACCCGGGAGGCTGAGGCAGGAGAATCGCTTGAACCCAGGAGACAGAGGTTGCAGTAAGCCGAGATCGCACCACCTCACTCCAGCCTGGACAACAGAGCAAGATCCATCTCAAAAAAAAAAAAAAAAAAAGGTAAAATGAACTCATTAGGCTAGGCCCTAATCCAGCATGACTGGTATCTTTAGAAGAGGAAGAAGTTTGGTTTGGACACAGGTAGTTACAGAGGGAAGACTATGTGAAGCCACAGGGAGAAGTTGTCCATCTACAAGCCAGAACTATAAGAAAATAAATTTCTGTTATTTAAGCCACCCCAGTACCTGGCACTTTGTTATGGCAAACCTAGCAAGTGGGCATCAAATCTCAGCTGGGCATGGTGGCAGGCACCTGTAGTACCAGCTACTTGGGAGGCTGAGGTGGGCAGATTGCTTGAGCCCAGGAGTTTGAGTCCAGCCTGGCCAATATAGCTAGACCCTGTCTCTTAAAAAAAAAAAAAAAAAGTACATCAATCTAAAATCCCTCCCCTTCTAAATTACTATTAATAGATAATATTTATGTACTACTTTTTTGTTTTTGTTTTTTTGAGACACAGTCTCGCTCTGTTACTCAGGCTGGAGTGCAGTGGTGTAATCTCAGCTTACTGCAACCTCCACCTCCCGGGCTCAAGCGATTCTCTTGCCTCAGCCTCTTGAGTAGCTGGGACTACAGGAGTGCACCACCACGCCCAGCTAATTTTTGTATTCTTAGTAGAGACAGGGTTTCACCATGTTGGCCAGGGTGGTCTCGAACTCCTGGCCTCAAGCGATCCACCCGCTTTGGCCTCCCAAAGTGCTGGGATTACAGGCATGAGCCACTGTGCCAGGCTGATTCAGTATTATTTAAAGCTGGGCTGAAGACCCTGTGAAAGTCCCTCAAGAATCCATTAATTGGAAATATCACTGCTGATGTAGAACTTGAATTAACTTATTAGGTATTTATGCTTTCTCATTTGGAAGATGGATATTACACTTCACAGAACCATCATGAGTAACGTACAAGTTGAAACTCCAAACCATGATGTAGTCCCAGCTGCTTAGGTAACTGAGGTGGGAAGATACCTTGAGCCCAGGAGGTCGAGGTTACAGGGATCCATGCTCTTGCCACTGCACCCCAGCTGGAGACAGAGCAAAACCATTTCAAGAAAAATAAACCCCAACCGGGAATGTGTAGACCCCCAGAACCTTACAGACCATTACCCACCATTTACCACATGAGGAAACTAGGGCTGGGGGTGAGGGGTGGTGGCGGTGAGATGACTAGCCAAAGGTCGAACAGCTTGGAATTAGAATGAGAACCCAGGGTGGTCAGGTTCTAAAGCCAGGTTCGTCAATGCAGCATTCATTCAAGAACTACTTAAGTACTAATGATGTTCTTTTTTTTTTTTTTTTTTTTTGAGACAGAGTCTTGCTCTGTTGCCCAGGCTGGAGTGCAGTGGCGCAATCTCGGCTCACTGCAAGCTCCGCCTTCTAGGTTCACGTCATTCTCCTGCCTCAGCCTCCCGAGTAGCTGGGACTACAGGCGCCCGCCACCAGGCCCGGCTAATTTTTTGTATTTTTAGTAGAGACAGGGTTTCACTATGTTGGTCAGGCTGGTCTCAAACTCAAGTGATCCACCCACCTTGGCCTCCCAAAGTGAGTGACTAAAGGTCACTTTTATTTTTTTGGTAGATACAGGGTCTTGCTGTTTCCCAGGCTGGTCTAGAACTCCTGGGCACAAGTGACCCTCCCACCTTGGCCTCCCAGGGTGCTGGGATTACAGGCATGAGCCACTGTGCCTGGCCACTTTTCTCAATCCTAAAACAGCCCTCTTCCTAAGGGAAGATCTTTAGCCAGTAAAGGGCTAACCAGACAATTCTGTCAATTATTTCCTTTAAGGAGAGACTCAATGACTCCAATCCTCTCCCACCAGGTAACCCAGAAGGAGGCTAATGGATTGACTCCCCTACTACTCAGAAGACTTAATCCCCAAAACTCTGAGAGCTGCTACCGCCCACCCCCCCCGCCACCCCACCAGGAGCTAGAAATCCTCTTCCCGCTGTCTACAAAATCTGCTTCCCACTAGAGTGTACAACTCACTCTACTACCCTGTCTTCTGGCATATTTCCACTGTTACATGGTTCCACATATTTGTAGCACAGTATCTGGGCTGTGCATCTATTTGTAGAAGGGACAGTGTCAATAATCAAGGGGAAGCCAACGGTCATGTATTATAGGTGTATGTGCCTCCCACTCAGGGTGCATATTCCAGATACATCTGAGGAGCTGGCCCCATCAGCTCTAAACTGCTTTGAGTTGGGTACAGAGCACAACCAAGGGGCAATGGTCCAGACTGATAGGAATAAGCTTCAAACACCCACTCTGCTCAGGATACCCAGCTAAGTGTTTTCCTACCCAAATCCTCACAAAATAACCTGCAATGTGGTATTACTTCTCCCAATCTGACAACTCAGGAAACAAGAGGCTGCCAGGGGTTGAACTGCCCCAGGAAGCAGCAAGATCAGGTTTCAAATCCTGAAGGCAGGGAAATAATGAAGAATACGAAATTTGGAGTCCAGAAGACTTGGATTCCAATCCCTATAATGTCACTTATCTATCACATGATTGGGCAAATTGTATGATTATATAGAAGCTCAGTTTCCTCATCTGGAAAATGAAACAATACCTACCTCATCAGGTTATTAGGAAGATTAAATGGGATAGTGTTCAAACAGCACTGAATACTGTGCCTGGCCCAGAGTAAGTAAGGTAAGCTCTCAATAAAAAGGTACCTTAGACTACTTACAATTAACCTAGGCTTCTGACATCCACATCCTGGCCTCTTTCTATGTATACCATCGAAAAATTCTCTCTCAAAGTGGGAAGAAGTTAGCTACAGCTGTATGCTTTACTCAACGGATGAAGCTGATCAAAGATGGTGACACATGGGACCAGAGGGCACAATAGGGAACTGGCTCAGTCTGCATTTGGAGAGGGCTGTTTTGTAGGGGTCCTCTGTGGTTTACCAGAGGAAGCAGAAGACGGAGATTTCATGAAAAAGCTGGCCTTTCTAGGGAAACTTGCTAGGCACATGTAGGAACATGAGTAGTCTTCTCTGCAAGCTATGAGTCAAGACATAGTAAATGGTAAGCCCTGGGGCAGATCATTACAATTTCCTCCCAGATGCTTCCTGGCACCACTGGCTTGTATCACTAGTTTCATAATGAAACTGATACGAAACCAGGTCTCATCATCACTCATCCCTCCTTTACCCCATCTTTTAATAGTCAGCGAAGTAAACTGACTCCTGTTCCTAACTGCAGCATGGTTCCACAAGGCCACACATCTTGGCCAAATCACGGGGGCATGAATGGGCTTGCATCAAACTCTTTCTGGGGCAACTTGATGATGAGCACATGGGGCAATAGTTCAGAATTTAAGGCTGGAAAATGAAAGCCTAAACATAGCTCTTTCTTCCACACCCATCCAGGGCTTCAGACAGTCATTTGACCGCATTAGCCTCAGTTTCTCCCACAAGGATTCTGAATTACAAGGTCAATGAACCTGATGAAGAGGTGCCTGCTCTACCAATATAAATGGACAGCTTTTAGCACTGAGCCTAAATGTACATTCCCTAAAATACTGTCGGGGAAGGGAAAAAGGGAATCAGTAACCTGAGGCTGCTTCTAGAGAAATTAACAATTAATATCATAGGACACATTATAGGTAAAAATAAATAAAAAGAGAAATTAACAACAAAAAAGCCAGAGCTCTATGTATCTGCACTCGATAGAAGACATCCAATGGAAACCAGGAGTCTCTGGCCTATGTTCAAAGCTCCTCTCTAAAGATCATCCTGCCAAGCCTGGCCTCGGGTCCTGAACTGGCGCCACTAATAAAACTTGGGCAAGAAGAGTTTGGTCCCTGGGGTACTAGAGCTATTGGGAAAAGAAAGCTTTTTAAATAGACTTATAAGAATTGATGGATGCTGGGCTAAGAACTCATTCCTCTTATGTTCCAGGCCTGCTTTTAGGTTGGAATTTGCCTAGACACCTCCATACTCCCAAGGGAATACCCTTGAAGGTCAGGAGCTTGTCTCTTCCTGGAGGTGCTATCTGGTCCTGATGTCCAACATTACTGGATGTTCTGGCAAAATAAAACCACCCATCTTTCCGTAGACAAAATGTCCATCAAGTGATCACTCTCCACCAATTTCCCTACTGATCTCTGGGTATTTTGACTAGAGGAAAAGGAAAACATCATCTTAAACATATTGTGGCCAAAAGGCAGCCTGGGGAGTTGGGGGAAGAGATTGCCTAGGAAATTTCTATTCTAGCTTGCTTTAGGGACATACCTAGCTCACAAAACAAACAAATTTGTCCTTATAGCTATCACTACCTTCTGTTAAGGGATTGGGATAAGAGGGCACCGGGGAAAAGTAGGTGGAAGTGACTTGAAGAAAGATTCTGGCATTTTTCCTAAGTAAAACTACATATAGAAAAAAGTTCACCAACTAAGAAATACAAATTAAAAGGGCAAGTGCTGTGTCACAGTTGGGAACCGGGTGCTGCTATATATTGCTAGGGGTGGGGGAATATTAACTGGCACAACCTTTCTGGCAAATTAAAATGCCTTAAACAAGCCCATTGACCCAGGAATTGTGCCAAGATACCATCCCAGATGTGACAAAACCATACCTGCCAGGATGTTCGTGACTTGCTTAATAGGGAAAAAAAGCAAAAAAAGGTCTCAACAACCTAACTCTCAACAGAACAGTTAATTATGCTGTGCCACAGTCACCCAAATGCCTAATCTACAGCCTTAAATACTATAAAAGAAAACCTACCCAGGAAAAAGTATTTTGCAGAGGGGGGAAAAAAGCAGGTCATAAAGCCATTTATAGCATAAGGCTGACAATTATTATATAAAATATTTATAGTTTTATTCTTGTACCAAAAAGAAGAGAGAGAGAGGGGCTGAGCCCTGGTGCCAAGGCTGTGGTCTGCCTCTCTCCGTCACCAAGTATTTTCCACGCACAAGAAAACCAAGATGGTGGCCAGTGAGCCAGACCCGTTTTGAGGAGACCCACGGGAGAGGTCATAGGGCAGCAAAGTGGGGTGGGGGGAAGAGGCTGCACATGCTGGGATCCCAAGAGGCCTTGGGGCTCCTGGATTCACTTGGGACCCACCCCTGGGCATGCTGGGAGGCCCATTGCCCTTGCCTAGCAAGCTTGGGGCAGCTCTGCAAGGGCCTGCCAGAGCCCTGGGTGCACCTATTGGGTGTCCAGGCCTTTTTCCCCAGAGCTGTAAGCAGAGCAGCTCTTGGAGGGCAACAGAACCCAGGTGGAGTGCAGTTACACCTGGCGGATGGCACCCATCTATACACAGGCCCCCTGGACCTGGATCTTCTCACAGATAGGGCTGACGGGGTGTGTGAGGGCCTCAGCTTGCAGCCCTTCTCTGACCCAGCCAAGCAGAAGAGGAAGCTGGGATACTGGGGAGGCAAGCCTGGAGAGTGAGTGGTGAAATCATTCAGACTCGGGCCCTCTGCCTCAGATCAGATACCCTCAACAAAGACTCAGGTGGAAAGATTGGGAAATGGATGATTGATTTCAAATATTCCTTTGAAAAGACAAAGGTCCCGTATGGGTGGTAGGCCCCCATTTTGCCTTCCAGTTTTTCCACAGTAAACATGTATTTGATTTTCAATCAGAATTTGATGTGAGTTTTTCCCCCGACTAGAAAAATTATATGGCAACCCCATGTCGTTGAGGGTGGAGAAAGCAGTTCCAGGGGAGTTTTGGCTGACGAAAGCTCTGCTGTGTTCATCAAGTTCCTCATAACCCTTAGGAGGTGAGTCTTCCCTCCCAGAGTGAAACCCAAACTAGGCACTCTGAGAGTTTGGAACGCGGCTGACTCAGCATGAGGTGTGCTGTCTGGCTCACTGGCTACCATCCTCAAGGACCATGCCAGAACAAAGATCCCAGTGATCAACCTGAGACAGCTGTGGTAACAATTAAGGGTCTGGTAGGTAAAAGTGCTGTGTACTGGCTCTGCAGCCTTGCGTCAATCACTTAATCTCTAAACTGTTTAACAGTAAGTACTCAATAAATGTAAGCCATTTATTGCTGCTTAATTTCCAGTCTCTAAAATGGGAATACACACACACACACACCCCCAGGTGCTTGTTAGGGTCAAATATGATGTGTTGTGCTTTATATTTATTTATTTATTATTTTTTGAGACAGAGGCTAACGCTGTCACCCAGGCTGCAGTGCAGTGGCATGATCTCGGCTCACTTGAACCTCCCAGTTTCAAGTGATTCTCCTGCCTCAGCCTCCCGAGTAGCTGGGACTACAGGCACATGCCACCACACCCGGCTAATTTTTTGTATCTTTTGTAGACGTGAGGTTTCACCATGTTAGCCAGGCTGGTCTCAATCTCCTGACCTCATGATCTGCCCGCCTCAGCCTCCCAAAGTGCTGGGATTACAGGCATGAGCCACTGTGCCCAGCTGTGTTGTGCTTTAAAAAGCACAATAAAGTATTAAAAACCAGGGGCAGTGATTTAAAAAGCAACACAGAAGGACAGGAAGGTGAAGGCCATTCAGAATCCTAAGATAAGCAGAAAGTTTAAAAATAGGATCAACTGCCATAGAGGCAAGCATAGGAAATTAAATCCCAAATGCCATGCAGCTAGGCACAGTGGCTCATGCCTGTAATTCTAGCACTTTGGGAGGCCAAGGCGGGTGGGTCACTTAAGTCCAGGAGTTTGAGACCAGCCTGGGCAACATGGCGAAACCCCATCTCTACCAAAATTAGCTGGGAGTGATAGTGCATGCCTGTGGTCCCAGCTACTTGAGAGGCTGAGGTGGGAGGATCACCTGAGCCTGGGAGATCAAGGCTGCAGTGAGTCGTGATCACACCATGCACTCCAGCCTGGGCAACAGAGAGAGACCCTGTCTCAAAATAATAATAATAATATCAATAAAATGCTATGCTTCTTTCATTCACATCTCACCAGTTTGTTCCTTTCTATACATTTAGCTCTTCAAAGAGGGCTTAATGTTGTCACAGAGCAGTGATTCCCAAACATAGCTGATAGAATCATCTGGCAAACAATTTAAAAAATCCAGATTCCCTGCCGACCGCCCACCTATCACTTCTACTGAGTCAGCTTCTGGAAGTGCATCTGGGGAAAGCAGTTTGTTGCTTTTTTTTAAAGTTCTTGATTCTCTCATTTATTTCTCATGAGAAGGTAAATTGGTATGGCTTTTGATGGCACTTCAGACCACATATCAAAAATTTAAATATCCAGATCCTTCCTCTGACCAAAAGTTATATCTGTCTATTCAGTATCTCTTTTGGATGCTTTCAAGATATCCTGAAATCAGTATGTCAAAACTTAAATTCACGATCTTTACTTAACCCAAATATGGTCTTTTTCCAGCATTCTCCCCCAGGGAATAGCATATCATGTACTCAGCTTGAGAACAGAATCCGGGCATCAGAAGCAGCCCAGAGTCTGGAGCCAGAGTGCCTGGGCTCAATTACCAGGCCCACACTGACTTTGGGCAAGTTGGCTAACCTCTCTGGGCCTGTTTCCTCAGCTATGAAATGGGAATAATGCTAATATCTACCTCAGTTGAATGAGTTAATACTTAGCATAGTGGGGGAGGGGGGAGGGATAGCTTTAGGAGATATACCTAAAGCTAAATGACGAGTTAATGGGTGCAGCACACCAGCATGGCACATGTATACATATGTAACTAACCTGCACATTGTGCACATGTACCCTAAAACTTAAAGTATAATAAAATAAAATAAAATAAAAAATAAAATATCTGATTAAAAAAAATACTTAGCATAATGCCTGGCATATGGTTTAGCTAGCAGCTGCTTCTTCCTTGACCATTTCTCCCTTAGAGCTTCCCTTCCCAGACTATCACCCACCAAGACTTAGGCCCCTTCCATCTCTACCCCCACCACCTTAGTGCATACAACATCATCTTTAGTATAAATGGGTGCAAAAATCTCCATTTAAAAAGATGAATCTCTTAAAAATGCAACAGCATAGTACATTTGAAAAAAATGAAATAAGGTCACTTTCGGCCAGGCGTGGTGGCTCACGCCTGTAATCCCAGCACTTTGGGAGGCCGAGGCGGGTGGATCTCGGGGTCAGGAGATCGAGACCATCCTGGCTAACGTGGTGAAACACCGTCTCTACTAAAAATACAAAAAAAAAGTTAGCCGGGCATCATGGCGGGCATCTGTAGTCCCAGCTACTTGGGAGGCTGAGGCAGGAGAATGGCGTGAACCCGGGAGGCAGAGACGGAGGTTGCAGTGAGCTGAGATCGTGCCACTGCACTCCAGCCTGGGTGACTGAGCAAGACTCCGTCTCAGAAAAAAAAAAAAAAAGTCACTTTCCTATTTGAAACTCAGTGATATGCCTTTGTTCCTGGGATAAAAAACAATCTGGCTGGGGACAGTGGCTCATGCCTGTAATCCTAGCACTTTGGGAGGCCGAGGCAGGTGGATCACCATGAGGTCAGGAGTTTGAGACCAGCCTGGTCAACATGGTGAAACTCCGTCTGTACTAATACAAAAATTAGCTGGGTGTGGTGGCAGGCACCTGTAGTCCCAGCTATAAGGGAGGCTAAAGCAGGAGAATAGCTTGAACCCAGGAGGCGGAGTGTGCAGTGAGCCAAGATCACGCCACTGCACTCCAGCCTGGGTGACAGAGCAAGACTGTCTCAAAAAAAAAAAAAAAAAAAAAAAACTTTAAAAAATCCACCAGCCTCCGGGAACGGTGGCTCACACCTGTAATCCCAGCACTTTGGGAGGCTGAGGCAGGTGGATCACGAGGTCAGGAGATCGAGACCATCCTGGCTAATGCGGTGAAACTCCGTCTCTACTAAAAATACAAAAAAAATTAGCCGGGCGTGGTGGCGGGTGCCTGTAGTTCCAGCTACTCGGGAGGCTGAGGCAGGAGAATGGTGTGAACCCGGAGGTGGAGCTTCTTGCAGTGAGATCGTGCCACCGCACTCTAGCCTGGGCGACAGAGCAAGACTCCATCTCCAAAAAAAAAAAAAAAAAAAAGGCTGGCTTCAGCCTCCCAAAGTGCTGGGATTACAGACGTGAGCCACTGCACCCAGCCAAAAATATCTTTTTTAAAGGGACAAGGTCTTACTATATGGTCCAGGCTGGAGAGCAGTGACTGTTTACAAATGCAGTCATCATGCACTACAGCCTAGACCTCCTAGGCTCAAGTGATCCTCCTGCCTCTGCCTCCCCAAGTGGTGGGACTAAAGGTGCATGTCACCATGTCCTAAAAAACAAACTCTTTAATGTGCCAATCTCTCTCTCTAGCCACATTGAGCCTCTTCTTAAATACAGCATAACCCCCTACCACAGGGCCTTTGCACACACTACTCCCTCTGTCTGGAACAGTGTCTCCTTGCATTCCCATCCCGATTTTACACAGTTAACTCCTGACATCTTTCAGATCCCAATTCAACAGTTACTTTTTCAGGGAAATTTCCCTCAACCCTCCCAAACTAGATCAGATTCCCCAGTGAAAAACCCTTCTGGCTTTGAATAACTTTCCTCCATAGAATTTATTACAACTTGTGATTATATGTTTAGTAGTGATTGGCTGGGCGCCGTGGCTCACGCCTGTAATCCCAGCACTTTGGGAGGCTGAGACGGGCAGATCACCTGAGGTCAGGAGTTCACTACCAGCCTGGCCAACATGGCGAAACCCCATCTCTACTAAAAACACAAAAAAATTAGCCAGGTGTGCTGGCAGGTGCCTATAATTCCAGCTACTTGGGAGGCTGAGGCAGGAGAATAGCTTGAACCCGGGAGGCGGAGGTTGCAGCGAGCTGAGATCGCGCCATTGAATTCCAGCCTAGGATACAGAGTAAGACGCCATCTCCAAAATAAACAAAAAAAGTTACTAGTGATTATTTAATTGCCTATCTCCCCCACTAGAATTTGCTTCTCACTGTCTCCCAGCATTTAGCACTGTGCCCAGTACAAAGTAGGTGTTTGATAATTGTTGAATGAACTATGAAAGTCACATGACCCAACAATTTCACTTGCAGAAATCTAGTCTAAAGAAATATGTATACAAACTATTCCAGCTATAACAATACTGCTATTCCTCCTGCCACTGGCACTTAACATTGATGTACTCACTACATGCCGTTTCATACACAAACTCATTTAATCTTCACCATAACCATATGAGATCCCCATTATTATATTCATTTTACAGATGAGAAAACTGAGGCACAGAGGTTAAGTAACTTGCCCCAAGGTTCCACAAGTAGTAAGTGGACAGATTCAACCCAGACACAGTGGCTCTGGGACCCCAATTCAGGCACTCTATACATTATAATACAGATATATTTCATGCAAACTTCAACTGCAGAAATTTGAAATGGTGCCATAAATATTAGTTTTGCTTTTTATGTAAAGTGTGAAGAAATGCAAATCCCCCAAATTAAAAGTTTTAAGTTACATAATTTCAAAGCTGGAGAGTAGTGAATTGTAAGCATCCCCTTGGCCCCTCCACCCCATACATACACTTCACATGTATTCATATGAGAATATAAGTCTTGAATCATGGGAATTATGAATTATTTGTAATTTTCTTCTTTTTTTTTTTTTTTTGAGACGGAGTCTTGCTCTGTTGCCCAGGCTGGAGTGCTGGGGTGCAGTGGCGGGATCTCGGCTCACTGCAAGCTCTGCCTCCCGGGTTCACGCCATTCTCCTGCCTCAGCCTCCCAAATAGCTGGGACTACAGGCGCCTGCCACTACGCCCGGCTAATTTTTTGTGTTTTTTAGTAGAGACGGGGTTTCACTGTGTTAGCCAGGATAGTCTCGATCTCCTGACCTCGTGATCTGCCGGCCTCGGCCTCCCAGAGTGCTGGGATTACAGGCATGAGCCCCAGCGCCCAGCCTATTTGTGGTTTTCAAGAATGCATCCTTTATATAAATGCAACCACCCTGTCCTAGGCTTTAGTGCAGCAATATTTGAGTTTAAGAAAAAAACTCATAAGCTCCTCTTGGGGGGAAAATAAGAACAGAAATGAGTGTCTGCTTTAAGACTGGAAATCAACTTTTATTCAGCAAAATGCTTGCTAACTAGATTTTGAAATCTAAAGAAAAACTTGAGAAAAAAATGCACTTTGAATTGACTGATGACACATTCTCAATCTCTCAACACCCAGGGAAAATAATGCTAGTGTGAATGAATGTGGTAGTTTACTTCTGAGTCATGCAATTTAAAAGTTTTTGATTTTTGGTGAATTCATATGCTTTTGAAACTATTGACTATTATTTAGATAGTCATAAAACAAAAGTTAGTATGAAAACTATTTTTAAATGGTATAGTAACCTTAAGTTTACAGCAGAGTCTGTATTAAAGGTATTGTTTAAACATGAAAGCTCAATTTATCTGGATGATGTTAAGATGAACAGTTCACTCGATCATCTTTCTACAGCAGTCTTTCCTAATAAGGCAATTACTGATAGTTAGATTGCTAAAAATCCAAACACTTCACAATTTTGATGTTAACTCTTCCCTACACCACATCTGTAAAAGATAAAAGTAGAAGACTGGCTAAATAAATCATGGTACATTCACCATGTAAAAGACTACGGCGCTATTAAAAACAAGATAGATGTGTATTTAACAGTCTGGAAAGATGCCTGTGATTCTAAGTTAAAAAGCGAGCTGCAGAGTAACATTTGTATGCATGATATAGTCCAATTCTTGTTTTTAAAATTCCTGTATGCATACATAAGTTTTTTGTGCAAAAAAAAAAAAAAAGGGTCTACAAGGATTCTTATAAAATCAGTAACTGTGTGCTTGCCCTTAAGAGAGTAGAACTGGGGAAGAAATTTCACGTGTTTATTTCTTTTTCTCTTTATTTATTTTTTGGTTTTTTTTGAAGACAGGGTCTTGCTCTGTTACCCAGGCTACAGTACAGTGGTGTGATCTTGGCTCACTGCAACCTCTGCCTCCCGGGCTCAAAAGATCCTTTTTTTTTTTTTTGAGACAGCATCTCACTCTGTTGCCCAGGCTGGAGTGCAGTGCAGTCGTATGATCTTGGCTCACTGCAACCTCCATCTCCCAGGTTCAAGCGATTCTCCTGCCCCAGCCACCTGAGTAGAGTAGATGGGACTACAGGCATGCACCACCATGCCTGGCTAATTTTTGTATTTTTTGTAGAAACCGGGGTCTCACCATGTTGCCCAGGCTGGTCTCGAACTCCTGGGTTCAAGCAATCCTCCCACCTCAACCTCCCACAGTGCTAGAATTACAGTTGTGAGCCACCATACCCCAGCCTTCATGTGTTTATTTCTGACTTGCTTCTATTGACAGGCAGTAGAGTTCAGTGGTGTAAGCTCAGTCTGCTTAGGTTTGAATCTGAGCTCTACTACTTACTTAGCTGTGTGATCTTGGGCAAGTTACTTAACTTCTCTGGCCTCAGTTTCCTCACCTGTAAAACGGGGACAACAATAGTACCTCCCTCAAGGGATGTTTGAGGATTAAATGAGCTGATGCATATAAAGTACTAAGAACTTTATCTGTCACATAGTAAGTGCCACATATTTTTATTGAAAAAAGTGTGTCTTTACAGTGAACATATTTTCATGTATTAATTTGAAATCCCAACCAACCAACCGTCCCTATGTAAACAATATAAAATGGTATACATTGGGGAGGAGACGATAAAAAAATAAAAAGCTCCCCAGGCAATTTGATCACCAGCCAAGCTTGCAAACTACTGACTCAGAGGCCAAAAGCAGGGATAAACCAGTTGAAGTGGGGCTAAGTCCCAGCTGAGGAATGCAGGAGACTTCTGGAAGCGGAAAAAGACCATAAAAGACAAGAGAAGAGCAGGTTTCGAAGTACGGTGGGAAGCCTGGATGAAGCGACTCTACAGGGAGAAGGCAGTGTGTGGGCCTGGCGTCCTGTCCTGGCTTGTGTGGGGAGAGCTCACAAGTTGCTGTTTCTCCCCTGCCTGAAGTTACAACAAGATGGGGCACGCTGTGCAAAGGCCGCTCAGAAGGCAGTCAGCCTTCAGCAAGACACCCAGGAGAGCAGCCGAACCCTCCACCTGGGCCCTCTCACTGGCCAGTGAGCAGTCCAGCCAGCCGCCCTCTCATAGCTCCAGGGCCATTTCCCATGCACGCACAGGGAAGTTAGGGCCTCAAGGCTGAGGAGCTTGGACTCAGTAACTCGCCTCAGGCCACATCATTTGGGATGAGAAACAGCTTAGAATCCATTTTTCCCTTGCCTGTGCTGGGATATATACCATTAGGTCTCTTCCCACTGCTGGGTTTAACGAGAGTCTGAAGAATTTCCAAATGGACCCAAGTGCAAATCATTTCTCTAAACAGTAGTTCTAGCTTCTCTATAAAATGACTGGGGGCCAGGAATGATGGCTCACACAGGAAATCCCAACTTTGGGGTGCTGAGGCGGGTGGATCACTTGAGGCCAGGAGTTCAAGACCAGCCTGGGCAACATAGTGAGACCCTGTCTCTAAAAAAAAAAAAAAAAAAAAGAAAGAAAAAGACTGGGAGATATGGGGAATACCTGTGGTCCCCAAATTTGAAGGAGGAGACTTCTTAGAAAGATGCGCATGCACTCTTAGGCACGGTTAATTCCTGGGGATCAACGACTTCCTAAAGCGAATGTGAGACCCTAGAGTAAGAACTCAAGCAAAAATACCTTCTACTCCTCCTAGCGTACAACACAGGTTGTCAAGGTCTCTTGCTAATAGGTAACTTCCAACTTTAAAGTGGTCTTCAACAAAAGGGGGGCTACTGAGATTGAAGGAGAAGAAGAGGGCCTGGGATTATACCTCCCCATTCCCCATCTCCCCATTTAGCCCTAAGATGCCTCAGAGTCCTAGGGAAAAACAGATCTTTCCTCTTGGGGTTCAGTAGCACCTGGAGAGGCTCTCACGAAGGGAGGCAGCCCACCAGCCCTCCCACCTCCTAGCTCTGTGGCCTTGGCTCTGAGCCCTCTCCTCAGATGTTAGACAGCCACAGAGCCAGAGTCCTGAGTTCAAAGATGGGGTCGAGGGAGAAAGGAAGACGTTTGGCTTTTTGAGACAGAGTCTTGCTCTGTCGCCCAGGCTGGAGTGCAGTGGTGCGATCTCGGCTCACTGCAACCTCTGCCTCCCAGGTTCAAGCAATTCTTCTACCTCAGCCTCCCGAGTAGCTGGGATTACAGGCACACGCCACCATGCCCGGCTAATTTTTATATTTTTAGTAGAGACAGGGTTTCACCATGTTGGCCAGGCTGGTCTCGAACTCCCGAGCTCAGGTGATCCACCCGCCTAGGCCTCCCAAAGTGCTGGGATTACAGGTGCCAGCCATCACACCGAGCCCGTTTGGCTTTCTTTCCCCAGGTGAGGCATTCTGGTTCACTGCCCAAGCAGCAGGTCCCCAACACTCTTAAGTCCAGCAGACAGAGGCAGCTGCAGCCTGGAGGGAATTCTGTCAGCTGGAGGAATTTGCAGACCTCTGATGCTCTAGGTAACCCAGAGCCCTGAGGATGCCCAGATTTGGCTGGGGGAGGAGGAGCGAGTGAGGAAGGGTCTGTCAAGCTCTTCTACCCAGAGCAAGAGGTGGGAGGTCTTTGCTGCTGGAGGCAGGTGGGGGTGGGGTGACAGTTCTCTGCAGAGGGCTGTCAGTTTGAGTGCTCTCAGACCTGGTATCTGAACCCTCCCTGTTCCCCCATATCTTAAAAGGGAGGCCAGAGGTCCTGGGCAGAAGTGCCTGCCAACCCCAACCCTCCTGGCGATTAGCAGGGGCCTGTGGAGAGAATAGGAATTCAAAGCCCTTGGGTCAGAAGTTAACTATTTCCAATCTTCCTCTAATTTGGCTGGGGCCAGAAGACTCCAAATATCTTTCCCTTTCCCACCCTGATTGCCAAATGGTCAGTGCCTCATACTTAGGGGGTCACACCTGTGTTCAAAATGTGACACCACAATTTATTAGCTGGGTGACCTTAGATAGTTACAAAGTGACAAGCCGAGGTTTCCTATCCAGTTAAATGGGGCCAATTCCACCCACCTCATGGGGCTTTTAGGAGGATTAAAGGGGCTTATTACATAAAGTACATAGTGTGATTCTGGAATTCAGTAAGCTATTAGGTGGTATCTGGGTGGTGGTGGTGAGTTTTCACAGCCCTTCCTTGCCAGCCCTGCTGCCTGGGTTGGCAATGCCAGGTGACTAAATGAAATGAGAAAAAGGCAACTGAGGCAGACATGGTCCTCCAGTCTGAGAATCGGGAGGGGAGTTGAGAAGGGTTGCTGGGAGTGGGGGCCAATATCCTGGTTCCAGGGAAGACTTCAGAGACCCTGGCCTCCATACTGGTACAACTGGGACTTCAGCCATTGTCTCCATACTGGTACAACTGGGATTTCCCCAAACACTTTGCTGCCTCTGTTATGGGGTGAGACAAATTTCAAGCGGGGCTGGACCCTGCCTATGCCTCACTGGCTCTCCCCACCTCACACTCCATGATCCAGCCAGATTCAATGTATCCAAGTCCCTGGAACCCTGGTGTTGTTCCTCTGCCAGAACACTCTATGCCACCTCTCATGCCCAACTCCCTTGCCTAATTCTTCTTCCTTGGCTGCCAGCTTGGACATCAGTTCCTCGAGGTTTCTCCAAGAACATGTCAGCAGCCTCTCCTATGTGACTCTATATCACTCCTTTCCCACCTCCCCCTCAATCTCTTTTTCTTTTTTTGAGACGGCGTCTCGCTCTGTCGCCCAGGCTGGAGTGGAGTGGCTTAATCTCAGCTCACTGCAACCTCTGCCTCCTGGGTTCAAGCCATTCTCCTGCCTCAGCCTCCTGAGTAAGCTGGGATTACAGGTGCTTGCCACCATGCCAGGCTAATTATTTTGTTTGTTTGTTTGTTGTTGTTGTTAGCAGAGACGGGGTTTCACTATGTTGGCCAGGCTGGTTTCGAACTCCTGACCTCAAGTGATCCGCCTGCCTCGGCTTCCCAAAGTGCTAGGATTACAGGTGTGAGCCACCATGCCCAGCCCCTCCTCAATCTCATATATGCATATATTGTACTTATTTGTCTGTCCCTCTATACTAGCAGATAAGTGGCCCTTTGAGGCCAGGATTTTTGCACATTTTGTTCACTAGTGAATTCCCAGCACCTAGAACAGTACCTGACAGTAAACAGTACCTGAACTCTAATCAGGAGTTCACTGAGGGTTAGGAGCTGTGGCCTTACTTACCCTCTGAGTATCTAGTACCTAGTAGGTACTCAGACATTTGTTGGCTGAATGACCATTTCAAATTGGCTTTGGATCTCAGACACTTCACTGTTTCTATAAGAGAGGAGCTGGATTTGAACATGTTGGCCAAATAAGGAGCTGCTGCCCACCCACACACTGGTCAGGATAAAAATCTCCACCCAGGGCCATGCACAGTGGCTCACACCTGTAATCCTAGCACTTTGGGAGGGTGAGGCAAGACGATTGCTTGAGGCTAGGGGTTCAAGGCCAGCCCAGGCAACATAGTCAGACCCCTTCTCTATTTTACGTATTTATTTATTTTTGGAGATGGAGTCTTGCTCTGTTGCCCAGGCTGGAATGCAGTGGTGCAATCTCGGCTCACTGCAACCTCCGCCTCCCAGGCTCAAGCAATTCTCCTACCTCAGCCTCCTGAGTAGCTAGGATTACAGGCGCACACCACCACGCCAGGCTAATTTTTGTATTTTTAGTAGAGACAGGGTTTCACCATGTTGGCCAGGCTGGTCTTGAACTCCTGACCTCAGGTGATCCGCCCACCTTGGCCTCCCAAAGTGCTGGGATTACAGGTGTGAGCCATCATGCCGGCCGCCTCTAATTTAAAAATAAATATATATATATATATATATATTTTTTTTTTTTGAGACAGAGTCTTGCTCGGTCACCCAGCCTGGAGTGCAGTGACACGATCTCCGCTCACTGCAACCTCCACCTCTCAGATTTAAGAGATTCTCCTGCCTCACCCTCCCAAGTAGCTGGGATTACAGGCACCTGCCACCACGCCCAGCTAATTTTTGTATTTTTAGTAGAGACAGGGTTTCACCATGTTGGCCAGGCTGGTCTCGAACTCTTGACCTCAGGTGATCCGCCTGCCTCGGCCTCCCAAAGTGCTGGGATTACAGGCGTGAGCCAACGCACCCAGCCGCAAAAAAAAAAAAAAAAAAAAAAAAAAAAAAAAAAAAAATTAATTTAAAAATTAAGAAAAAGGCCAGGTGCGGTGGCTCACACCTGTAATCCCAGCACTTTGGGAGGCCAAGGCGGGTAGATCACAAGGTCAGAAGATCGAGATCATCCTGGCTAACACGGTGAAACCCTGTCTCTACTAAAAATACAAAAAATTAGCTGGGCATGGTGGCACATGCCTGTAGTCCCAGCTATTCAGGAGGCTGAGGCAGGAGAATCGCTTGAATCCGGGAGGCGGAGTTTACAATGAGCCGAGATTGTGCCACTGCACCCTAGCCTGGGCAACAGAGTGAGACTCCATCTCAAAAAAAAAAAAAAAAATTAAGAACAAATAAATCTCTACCCAGAAAGTTCTCAAGACATTTGGCCGGGAGCAGTGACTCACGCCTGTAATCCCTGCACTTTGGGAGGCCGAGGTGGGTGGATCATGAGGTCAGGAGATCGAGACCATCCTGGCTAACATGGCGAAACCTCGTCTCTACTAAAAATACAAAAATTGCCCGTCTCTATTAAAAATACAAAAAATTAGCCGGGCGTGGTTGCGGGCGCCTGTAGTCCCAGCTACTTGGGAGGATGAGGCAGGAGAATGGCATGAACCTGGGAGGCGGAGCTTGCAGTGAGCCGAGATCAGGCCACTGCACTCCAGCCTAGGCGACAGAGCGAGACTCCGTCTCAAAAAAAAAAAAAAAAGAAAGAAAAGAAAAGAAAAGAAATTCAGGGCCCTTTCCAGATTCCCTTTCTACTTTTGAGGAAAGAAGCAAGCATCAGGATAAGGACAAAGAAAGGGAAGCTTTTCTCCCCCAAGACAAAGGATGAGGCCAAGCACATAATAAAAACTTGCTGCCGGCCGGGCGCGATGGCTCAAGCCTGTAATCCCAGCACTTTGGGAGGCCGAGGTAGGCGGATCACCTGAGGTCGGGAGTTTGAGACCAGCCTGACCCACATGGAGAAACCCCATCTCTACTAAAAATATAAAATTAGCCGGACTTGGTGGCGCATGCCTGTAATCCCAGCTACTTGGGAAGGCTGAGGCAGGAGAATCGCTTGAACCTGGGAGGTGGAGGTTGCGGTGAGCCAAGATCACGCCATTGCACTCCAGCCTGGGCAAGAGCAAAACTCTGTCTCAAAAATAAAATAAAATAAAATAAAATAATTGAAAAATTAAAAAATAAAAACTTGCTGTCTCTTAGCATAGGGCCAGATGAAAATCAAGACTCCGGAAAGGGGGTGGGGTCTGGCAGGGAGACTGTTGGGGTGGGAGAATGCAGAAGACACCTCACTACTTCAGAACAGAGAGGAGCTGATATCTCAGTCCAGGATCACAGTACTGGAATCCTCAGGTAATCAGTTAACCCAGCAATTGTGCCCCAGGTGTATAACTAACAAATAGGGGTGCACAGGTCACTAGAAGATTTGCACAAAATGGAAACTACTGAAATGCCCATCAACAGCAGAATTGTGGATAGTCACATAATGAAATACTATACAATGAGAATCAACTAGAACTACATCCAGAATTACGCAAGAATCTCTCAATGGTGCCATGAAAGCAGCCAGAGCTAAGATAATTGTATGATCCTCTTACAGAAAGTTCAAATGCAGGCAAATTCACCTGTGGTACTCAGAAGTCAGAAGAGTGGTTATCTTGAGAGAAGGTTGAAATTAGGAGGGAGGGGGCATCCAAGGCTCTGGTAATGCTGTTTCTTGATCTGTGCGCCAGAAACACAGGGGTTTTAAGTTTGCGATGTTCATCGGGCTGCACACTCATCATTTCGGCACTTTTGTCTACATTTGTTATTCTTCAATAACATCGAGTCTCTGAATGGAGACTGTTCAGCCTCAGGACCAAAGCCTCAACTGATGGGAGCTGGGGAGGCCCTTCCTCCCTCCTCTTCCATCATCCTCCAAATGCTTTGCAGAGGTATAGTTTCTGGCCCTAGAAACTCTTTGCTTGTCATAAGCAATGCCTTCCTTGTGCAGCAGGGAGGTGAGAGCACCCTGCACTGGGTAACCTAGGAACACAGTGGCATATGAGGAAATGGGAAGGGAGACTAGAGGTTTGAGACCTGCTCCCCAGGCACAAGCTACTGGTGATGCAGGACAGAGTTTTCAGCAAGTTAACCCTACTCTGCTGCTAAGCCAGGAAAGCGGCCTGCTAGGCTTGAAGGTCCAGTTCCCATTCACTCCTCGGAGCCACATTTATGGATATCTCCCTGGGCTGTGGAGGCAAAACACCAGGGTTTAATTCCTGGCCTTCTGTTTGTTGCACCAGTGACCTCTCACTGACTTCCTCAACCTCATTTTACAGCTAAGTGGAAATTATCAACAACTGCTTTGCAGGGCAGCCCATAAGCACAGAAAATTACTAAATTAGGGCCCGTTGGTCACCTCTAGTCGGTCCTGTCCTGCCACCGCACCTGCCAGCCGTATTCTCCATGCAATTCAACAAGGGCCCCTCATACTGGCTCTCCGCCGAGGTCAAGAACCGGCTCCTGTCCAGATATGACCCCCAGAAGGAGGCAGAGCTCCACAGCTGGATCGAGGGACTCACCAGCCTCTCCATCAGCCCTGACTTCCAGCAGGGCCTGAAGGACAGAATTATCTTACACACACTCATGAACGAGCTGCAGCCAGGCTCAGTCCCCTAGATCAACCACTCCATGCAGAACTGGCACCAGCTAGAAAACCTCTCCAACTTCATCAAGGCCATAGTCAGCTATGGCATGAACCCCATGGACCTGTTTGAGGCCAGTAACCTGTTTGAGAGTGGGAACATGATGCAGGTGCAGGTGTCTCTTCTTGCCCTGGCGGGGAAGGCCAAGACTAAGGGGCTGCAGAGCGGGGTGGACATCAGTGTCAGGTACTCAAAGAAGCAGGAGCAAAACTTCGACTAGAACACCATGAAGGCCGGCCAGTGCGTCATCGGGCTGCAGATGGGCACCAACAAATGTGCAAGCCAGTCGGGTATGACCATGTACGGCACAAGGAGGCATCTCTACAGCCCCAAGAACCATATCCTGCCCCCGTGGACCACTCGACCATCAGCCTCCAGATGGGTACAAACAAGTGCGCCAGCCACATGGGCATGACGGCTCCCTGGACCCAGCTGCACATCTATGACACCAAGCTGGGCACCAACAAGTATGACAACTCCTCCGTGTCCCTGCAGATGGGCTACCTGCAGGGTGCTAACCAGAGCAGCCAGGTCTTTGGCCTGGGCCGGCAGATATACAATTCCAACTACTGCCCACAAGGCCCAGTGGCCAACAGGGCTCCCTCGGGCACCAACGACTGCCCAGGCCCAGGGAAGGCCCCTGAATATCCCCCTTACTACCAGGAGGAGGCCAGCTACTAAGGCTCCCAGCACGCTCTCTCCCCACATCGTCTCCCTGTCTGGGTTTTGGTGTTTTTCTACGTTTTCCTCTTCTTTTTTTTTTTTTTTTTAACCTGTTCAATGTTGCCAATCAACTGAGGGTCTGTGAGTGGCGTCATGGGATGTGGCAGCAGGGATATTCCCCCCTTGCCTTGGTTCCTTCACAGAACTGGGCCACCAGGCTGTGGGGGAAGGGGTTAAGGCTGTATCCCGAAGCATGTAGGGTGAGGGTCCCTGCTGGCACGTCCAGGCTATGGACTGAGCTGTGCTGGGGAGAAGAGACCTGGGCGTGGAGGGAACTGGTCCCCGAAGGTTTCCAGTTGCCTTGCCTCTTCCCCCTTTTGTCAGCCGATCAGTTTGTGGTTTCTGTACCCACAGAAGTTTCAGGAAATATTAAAATAAAAATATGGCCGGGCGTGGTGGCTCACACCTGTAATCCCAGCACTCTGGGAGGCCAAGGTGGGCAGATCACCTGAGATCGGGAGTTCGACACCAGCCTGACCAACATGATAAAACCCCGTCTCTACTAAAAATACAAAATTAGCCAGGCGTTGTGGCGCATGCCTGTACCAGTTACTTGGGAGGCTGAAGCAGAAAAATCACTCGAACCCAGAAGGTGGAGGTTGCGGTGAGCCGAGACTGCGCCATTGCACTCCAGCCTGGGCAACAAGAGCAAAACTCCGTCTCAAAAAAAGAAAAAATATATATATTTTTTCCCCAAGGAATGGGGCAGGGACAGTGGAGAGGGTGCTGGGAAATGAGTCCCCTAGGAGAGGGGACCTGACCACGATGCTAAAATATGTCAGGCTCCTGAGTGGCCGGCTTTCTCTAGGACCCTCAGGCCTGCCCAGGGGCCCGGTGGGGAAACTGAGGCCTGCACAAGGGAGCAGAATTCTGAGTTGTTGGGGCTAAACCTGACCCCCTCTCCATGCTAACTACCCCCTACTGTGGTCCTCAGGTTTTTTTTTTTTCTTTGAGGCGGAGTCTCACTCTGTTGCCCAGGCTGGAGTACAGTGGCGTGATCTTGGCTTGCTGCAACCTCCACTTACTGGGCTCAAGCGATTCTCCTGCCTCAGCCTCCCAAGTAACTGGGTTACAGGCACACCACCATCACACCCAGCTAATTTTTGTGTTTTTAGTAGATACGGGATTTCGCCATGTTGGCCAGGCTGGTCTTGAACTCCTGGCCTCATGTGATCTGCCCGCCTCAGCCTCCCAAAGTGCTGGGATTACAGCCGTGAGCCACCGCGCCTCGCCCCTCAGTAGGTTTTAAGGAGCCCCCAGCCCTCCATCTCCCCTTCTGGGCCTGACCAGCTATACTGCTTCATCTCCCCTGGCCACACGCCCCTCCAAGTACTGCACAGGGACCCCCCTTACCCAGGGGCCCTGCACCGTGAGATAATGTGAAACACCGACTGTGGACCAAATGGAATAAAACCTCTGTTTTTAAGAAAAAAAGAAAAATTACTAGACTGTAAGCTCCCCAAGGGCAGGGACTTCGTTTTGTTCATTGCTTTAGTTGAAGTTGTGGAACAGTGCCTGATCTATGCAGATGCGAAATATATGCTTACAGGAAGAATGAAATGGAAATAAAGGGCATACCCCAGAGTAGGGGCTTCCACAATAAAAGGCAGTTTTTACACCCAGAGCTGAAATAGACAAAACCATCTTGATGTTAATTTGTGCTCAGTCAGATGCATTATTGAACTTGGAAGCTTCCTCCCAAAGCTGATGGTTAGTTTTTAATCTGACCCAAAGGCTGACTGTGGGTCAGATGATCCTGCTGAAGGCCATAATGAAGGACTGCATCTGTTTGACTGCCATTAAGCTGCCTCTCTCAGTTGTTCACCCTTAAGGATGAGTAGACCACTGTAGGTCACTCACTTAATCACTGCACTAATACCATGAAAGTTCCCTCCTCCCACCTCTCCACTGTCGGCTTCCAGACCACACTTGAAGGAAGGTGGCCCCCAGACTGTGGCACTGGGATGGGGGAATGTGCCGGCTTTCCTTCCCTCCAGATTAACCTTTCCTCTTGAGCTAGTCAAGACCCCTCACTTGGGCCCTTAGAGACTAAATCCAAACCAGTTTCCTCTACATCAATGTTTCTGGAAAATCCTACAATTAAAAAAAAAAAAGACTAAGCACTCTTGGGGTGGGGGGCCGGGAGAGCTTGTTATTAATAGCTGTGGGATTCAGGGATCCAACATTCTACCCTCTCCACTCAGGCCCTGCTTTCTGGTAGTAAAAAATGCCAGGGAGCTGGGCACAGTGGATCGTACCTGTCATCTCAGTGCTTGGGAGGCTGAGGTGGGAAGATTGCTTGAGCCCAGAGTTTGTGACCAGTCTGGGCAACATAGTGAGACCCCGTCTCTAGAAAACATTAAAAATTAGCCAGGCATGGTAGCACATGTCTGTGGTCTCAGCTACTTGGGAGGCTGTGATAGGAGGATCACTAGAGCCCAGGAGGTAGAGGTTGCAGTGAACCGTGATTGCATCACTGCATTCTAGCCTGGGCTGGGTGACAGAGCGATACCCTATCTCAAAAAAAAAAAAAAGCCAGGGAACTTGGGGGTCCAAAATTTCCATTCAAATCCCAGCTGATCACTGCAGTGATGACTTGGTGAAGCCACAGTCATGTAGGTTTCATCTATAAAATGGGCCGCCCTTCACAAGGTTGTCAAATTCATTCATAATTCATACAGGACTGGGCATCCTGTAAGGTACCAGGCCCTGGGCATATACCAGGAGGTAAAAGTTGTGTCTGTCACCCTCAAAGAAGTTCATGAGCTGTTTGGCTTAGTGAATCCAATCCGTTAAGCTGTGCCTCTGTTTCTCCACCTTCAAAACCTCAGGCAAGGCTAGACTATGGGGTTTCTGAAGTTCAAAATTCTGAGATTAAGAGCTCAGCTTGTTTAACATTTACCTCACCTGCTTCAAGGGAATGTTAGGAGGATAAAGCAAGCTCAGAGTTGCAAAAGGGCTTTGAAGGGGAAGATGCACATACAAACAAGGCATTAATTACATCAGATAAGTTCTTTGAGCTGAACTTCATAGACACCCTTGATATTCATAACCCAGGGGCGAACAACAGGGGTGATTGTTCCTTAGCAATATGGAAACTTGTCTGCTTGGCTAAACTTGAGAGTCTATACGTTCCTGCAGGATAACCCTTTCAACGTGGCTGGATCCAGGCTGGGGATCTATGTTTTGAGGATGAGGAACTAGGGTGCAGGTGGGGTGGTCAAAGTGCCAGCTGAAGACCAAAGGGAGAAATAGCAATATGTTTTGTTGGGAAGTCCCAATTTATTGGGACCAACTGGACCAAGAAATGCACTTTTACTTAAAAAAGCAAGCAGCAGCCCATGCCACCAGAAGCCTACTCTAAGACCCAGCCGTGTGGCAGGGAGTTTCAAGGTGCGCCGAGCGCATTAACCCGTCCTTTGTTGTATAACCCAGGTGTGCTCCTGGCGCAAACCCACCGTTTTTCACAACCGTAAAGCAGACATCCGAGAAAGCTGAATTTCCTCTAAAGGTTTAAAATGCCTGACGTCATTGGGAAACACTCGCCAACCCAACGATGAAATCGAAAACCTGATCACTGCTTCCCCCCAAAACCTCAAGCCTAGTGAAGTGACAGCTAATCTGATATTTCTTGCTTCAGTAGGAAAGATAAGGTACAGACAACACTCAAGGCTATAGCCTATTCTGGGAGACTGTAGTCAGAGAACTTGACAATGGGGCGGGGGGAGGGGGCGTAGATTTGGCAGAAGTCTGGTTAGCAATAAGGCTTCCTCAGGGAGCCGGAATTGGATTTGGGGCCCTGCCCGAATTCACATTTTTACAGGTTGGCTGAGTTGCAGTTTGTTAGCCAGCCAGTAATAAACCCCTGCGCAAGAATTTAAAGTTTATGAGGCATGGCTTCTTAATGCCTCTCCTCAGCTCCCTACAGCCAAGGGTTTAAGGAGCCTAGCCTAGCCTGGGTGTTAATTGTTTTGTCAATCTGCAGTTATTTGCAGAAAGAATTTTTTTAAAAAGGGCCTCCACAGACTCAAGGTCCTCAATCCTCTTTTGGAGAAATAAAAGAGAGCCACTCTGTCCCCTAGGCATTGACAGCCCCACATTCAAGCAGTGGGAGTTTGTGCCTGGGGTGAGGGATAAGTTGATGGAGACTTTAGAAGAATGCTAGGTAGCAAGGGTTCTCAGTGTTTTGAAGGCCAGGTAAGCCACGGTTCCTTCCCCCTAAAAATGAATACTCAAGTTCCCAAAAATTTCAGTGTAAGGATCCTCTGAAACCCGACCCAAGGATCCAGGGTTATACCCGTTTAAGAACTAGGTTTCAACCCTTGCTGGAGCCCCCATCCATTGTCCTCTTAACCTAGAGGGAGAAAGCCCTCCACTAGCCAGCAACCAACCGCCTGGGTCTCATAACACACTGGTTCTCCTCACTAACGTTGCACCGCCCACCCCCTCAGGTTTTTGAACTTGGGGCGGGGAGGGGGGGGGTAGGAGTAACTGAGGGATCAAAAATGTGCTTTGATCTCCCGTCCATCGCCCCCATAGCCCCAGGCCTGCCAGCTTGGGACACTGTCCCCCTCAAACTCCCCCCAGTGACCTAGCATCCCAGGCCCCAGACGCTGGGGGCGGGGTGGTTCCCGTACGTGATGGCCCCAGCCCAGGTGTGCCAGGGCCCAGTTTCCAGGCAGGCTACAAGGGCGCAGGCCCTCCGGGAAGAGCAGGGTTAAGAGTGCATTCCAGCTGCCGAGGAAGAAGGGGGGCGGGGTAGGGAAGCTCGGAGAAAAGAAACAGACCCGGTCTGTCTGTCGGAGACACAAAGCACGGTTCACAAAGGGGGCCCGAGAGGGGCGAAGGGGGCTGCCCGGGGCACGGCTCATCCCCACACCTGCGCGCGGGTTGGGGGAAGAATGTGGCCGGCGCATTCCTCTGCTGGGGCCAGCGGGGGAGAACTTCCCACGTCGAGACTGGGTGAGGGGCTCAGCCATCCGGCATCTCGGAGGAGGGGGTCAAGGTAAGCAGTGGCTACCGGACAAGGGGCTGGATGTCATAGGCGCTCTGCTGCCCAGCCTTCTCCGTCAGCCACCACCCCCAATCCCAGCCCCCGAGGCGCGTTCTGCGCCTCCCCGGGAACTGAGGTGGCGCCAGGAGTCCCTTGCCCCGGCCCGAACACCCCTCGCGCGGTCCACACCAAAATGGTCACGTGCGGCCCCTACCCTGCGGTTCCACCCTGAGGATCTTACCTTTCCCCAGCGCCTGGCCGGGCTCCTGCTCCGCGCCTCCCGCCTCCAAGGTCACTTCAGCCTCCCTGAAGACCGCCCGGCACGGCTCGGAGGCCGCGCACTGCAGCCAGCAAACCTGCGCCCGAGGGCAGAGAGTGAAGGAGGCTGGGTCCAGGCGTGCCCGGCCCTGCACTCCCCACACCGCAGGGTCCTCACGGGCCTTCCGGGACTCCCTTGGCCCCAGGGAGCGCAGCCCCGCGCTCTCCCCGACGCCACTGCCCCATGCGGACCCCGCCCGCCCCCCAGGGAGCGGTCCCGGTCGGGGCCACGGCGAGGCTGTGGAGTACCTGGAGAAGGAGGAGAGACGCGAGAGGTCCACGAGGGAGCCCCATGGCTGCAGAGAGAGGGGTGAAGCAGCTGCCGCGACGGCGGGCCGGTGTTCCGCTCAGCTCTTGCCCCTTTGAGCACCGCAGCCCCCGGGAGCCAGCGGGAGGAGGCCAGGTGAGCGCAGGTGGGTGCTGATTGGTCCAGCGCCACGAGGTCCCGCCCCCTCGCAGGTGGGACCGATGTGGGTGCGGTTGAGGCCCCAGCGAACCCCTCCTGGCCTCCCGGATGCCCTCCTGCGCTCTCCTGGCTTTTCTGGAGCTGTTCTTTACAGGGACTCAGCCTCTGTCTCGCAGTTCTGGGTTAGAGGAGAAAAGAACACCCAGTGCACTCCTCAGCCTCCTCAGTACGGGAAGAGAAATGTTTCCTTGCCTTGCGGCTACAGCGGAAAAAAGTGGAGACACATCTGAAGTCGACTGAAAACGGAGGCTCCGCATTCATTATCCCCCGGAGGCGCTGTTATCCCAAAGCTTTGAAGCAGGCCCGTGCGTCCTCCCACACGCGGCTACAGCGGGGCCGCCCAAGCCTCTTTCTCCACCTCCCGTGCCAGCCCGCCGGGGAGGATCCTCCGGGGTATAAAACTAGCAGGTCCCGAAGGACCGCGTTTCTGAATTGGATACAACTTCCTCTTTTTTCTTTTTTTTTTTTTTTTGGAGACAGGGTCTCGCTCTGTCGCCCAGGAGTGCAGTAGCGCGATCTCGGCTCACTACAGCCTCGACCTCCCGGGCTGAAGCGATTCTCCTCCCTCAGCTCCCGCTGAGACTACAGGCTTGCGCCACCACACCCGGCTAATTTTTAAAAATTTTTTGTAGCGATGTGGTGGGGCGGGGGGAGGGTGGAGGGTCACCCTATGTTGCCCAAGCTGGTCTTGAACTTCTGGACTCAAGCGATCCTCCGCCTCCCAGAGTGCTCAGGTTACAGGCATGAGCCGCCACACCCGGACCGCTTCTTCCATTTCACAGCTAAACAAAGGGAAGCTAGTCGAGAAAGTCCCAGAGTTTGGAAGCTGTAGTGGTGCCAAAGGGTGCGAGCTAAGAGGGTTGTTATTAGTCTCATAATCTCCAGCACCCCTACCCCCCATATAAATAACACTTTCTCAACTTTCTGTAAAATGTAAATAAAGACAATTTTTAAAACGCAGAGGTTTTGAAATTGGTCTGAAATACTGTATATAATCTGGGTAAAAACTGCTTGCTGCGCAAAGCAGCCTCCAGAGAGTCTCCCTTGGAAAACAGCTCTCCCACACCCTTCCTAGGAGATAAACGCCAGACCTGGGATTCGTTGTTCTTCTACGTTACTCTCATTCCACTACGTTAGACACGAAGTGCTTTCCTCTTGCTGCACACAAGTGGGCTCTGGCCATGAAAACGGTCCTGAGTCTCAATCACTACCCCACAAGCCCTTCCCCACGGAGCTGAGCTTTCCCGGTCAGTCTCTCTCACCTGTCCCCTCACTCCTCCTTCACCTTCTGCTGCTGCCTTGAGAAGCCCTGGATGCCACCTCCTGGTCCTTCTCCCTCCCCGTCCCCAGCTCAGATTTAGGGGTTTGAGGAACGGACTGGAGACTGGAGAGGTTTTTTTGTTTTGTTTGTTTTTTTGAGATGGAGTCTCACTGTCGTCCAGTACGGTGGCGTCATCTCTGCTCACTGCAACCTCCGCCTCCCAGGTTCAAGCGACTCTCCTGCCTCAGCCTCCCGAGTAGCTGGGACTACAGGCGCCCACTACCACACCAGGCTAATTTTTGTATTTTTAGTAGAGACGGGATTTCGCTATATTGGCCAGGCTGGTCTCGAACTCCCGACCTCAAGTGATCCGCTTCCCTTGGCCTCCTAAAGTGCTGGGATTACAGGCGTGAGAAACGGGGCCCAGCCTGGAGTTTTAAATGACAGATTCTTTGACCTTCCAGGGCTAACCTGGTAATCTATCCGTCCTCCTCCCCGCCAGGCCTGTGGCTAAGCCATGGATTGCTTGCGTTGCGAGGGTGGGGGTCTTGCTCTCTCAGGCCTAGCATGGGCCCTTAAGGCCGGCCCCACCTGGGTTCAAATCCAGGTCCCACCCCTTAGTAGCGCTGAAGCCTCGGGGAAGTAAAATAAACCCCCTGGGCCTCAGTTCTGCATCTGTCAAATGGGGCTGTTATGATCTTAGTATTTTACCCTCTCATAGATGAGTATTAAATAAATTAGAAGGTTTAAAACGCTAAACATCATATCTGGCACACAGCAAGTGCCCAAATGCTGCCTGGTATTATTGCTCTCAGATGTCTGGCGAGCCGTCTCTCTTTCTAGCATCCCCACATCCCCTGAATTAAGAGAATGAGAAGCGTTGTAATCCTCCAATTTCATGGCTGAGGGTACAACGAGCAACTGGCATCTGGTATCTCGGGAGCATTCCCTTAGCCGGCGGGTGAGCCCAGCAGCTGGGGCTGGGACTGAGGCTGGGGGTGGACCACGCGGTTGGGAAAGCCTGGGGCTGCTCGCTGAGCTCCGCGCCCTCCCGGCCTGGATCTCCCGCAGGGCGCTTTTTATGCCCGAGGGGAGGTCAGGTCTACGCGCACCCGCGCGGCGCAATGGAGTGGGCCCCCGGCGGGACAGGGTGGCCAGGCCTACGCTCGCCTCGCAGGTTCCCCCGCGCCCGCCCGGAGCCAGACGAAGCCATTAGGCGGACGGTTAAACACAAACGAGCCTCGGGATGCAGGCCCTAATTAAGTAAACACCCGGCTGGTGGGCTGTTGAGCGCGCTCATTTCCGCCTCCTTCTCGGGCACTCAGCATTCCGGACGGGGGCGGAGAGAGGAGCGGAGATTGGAGAGTCAGCTCTTCTGCCTGCGACGCGGACCGCACCGCTGCCTTCCCCTTAGCTCCCCTTGTCGGTCATTCACTCATTCATTCATTTCAAAAACATTTGCTGACAGCCGGCGATGTGCCAACCACTTAAGATACAACAGTGAACAAACATCCCTGCGCCTTCGGACTTGCCATCCAGAGTGTGGAGGGTAGAGGAAAGTGAAAAAATACGTGGAAATATAATATGTTAGATGGTAACATGTACCGTGTACAAGAACAAGGACAGGGGGGCCCGGCGCAGTGGGCAGTGGTTCACGCCTGTAATCCCATTTAGAAGGCTGAGGTGGGTGGATGAGCCCAGGAGTTTGACACCAGCCTGGGCAACACAGCGAGACCCCTGTCTCTACAAAAAATACAAAAAAAAAAATTAGCCAGGCTTGCTGGCACGGGCCTGTAGTCCCAGCTACTCAGAAGGCTAAGGCGGGAGGATAGCTTGAGCCCAGGAGGTTGAGGCTGCAGTGAACTATGATCACACCACTGCACTCCAGCCTGCTTTATTTTTTGAGGAAACACCATACTGTTTTCCATAGCAACTGCACTTTTTTTTTTTTTTTTGAGACATCTCGCTGCCATGCCCAGGCTGGAGTGCAATGGCGAGATCTCGGCTCACTGCAACCTCCGCCTCACGGGTTCAAGCGATTCTCTTGCCTCAGCCTCCCGAGTAGCTGGGACTACAGGTGCCTGCCACCATCCCCAGCTAATTTTTGTATTTTTAGTTGAGGCAGGGTTTCACCATGTTGGCCGGGCTGATCTCAAACTCCTGACCTCAGGCAATCTGCCCGCCTCGATCTCCCAAAGTGCTGGGATTACAGGCGTTAGAGACTGCGCCCAGCCGGGAGGTTCAAGTCTTAAGGAAGGGACGAGAGAAATGGGCAGGGTTCAGGGAGCCCAGACAACAGGGGTGTTGAGGCACCAGAGAGACAAACAAAAGCTGGAAGGCATGACTACTTTGAGAACTGAAGGTCAGAGAGGAAATCATGTTATTGGAAGTCCGTGGATAAGGGGACAGGGAAGTGTGGGATCCATTCCCAAATGCAGCTGTGATCGAGGAAGGCACAGCCACTGCCCAGAGCAGAGCAGAGAAAGTGCAGGGAAAAAAAATACCCCAGCATCTCTCCCCTCTTGCCTTTCATCTCCTGGTGGCACCTCCCATTCACCAAACCCACTCAGAAGCCTGAGGCAAGAAAGCCCAGGTTGCTTTCTAGAGGGGTCATTCTCCCCAGGCTCAGGACAGGGCACAGAAGGGCAGAAAATGATGGGAACTCGGAGAGCAAACAAGAAAGCCCAGAGGCCTTACTCATAAAGTGGCATTAGAACAAAGACTTGAAGGAAGTGAAGGAACCACGCTTTGGAAAGAGCATTCCAGGCAGAGAAAACAGGGCAGAGGCCCCGAGACAGTAGATTACTTGGAACAGCAAGAAAGCCAGTGTGGCTGGAGTAGAGAGAGCAAGTAGGAAGTGAGTCAGAGTATGGGAGGGCCAGGATCACACCTTGTAGAGCATGTAGGCCATTGTAAGAACTTTGGCCCCTACTTGGGGAACCAGGGGAGGCAGCCACTGTTGGTTTTGAGCAGAGGAGTGATGTTGAGAAAATTATAAGGGACAAGGGAAGCAGGGAGGCTGGTGGGGGCTCCATTGCAGTTATCCAGGCAAAAGATGAAACGGCTTGGTTCAGATTGGTCATTATGGAGTGGGTCTGAAACAGTCAGACTTTTTTTTTTTTTTTTTTTGAGACAGGGTCTTGCTGTCACCCCAGCAGGGGTGCAGTGCAGTGGCATGATCACAGCTCACTGCAGCCTCAACCTGTCAGGCTCAAGTGCGATCCTCCCACCTCACCCTCCCAAGTAGTTGGAAATAAAGGTGTGTGCCATCACGCCTGGCTAATTTTTTTTTTTTTTTTTGAGATGGAGTCTCGCTGTGTCGCCCAGGTTAGGGTGCAGTGGTGCGATCTGGGATCACTGCAACCTCCGCCTCCTAGGTTCAAGCGATTCTCCCGCCTCAGCCTCCTGAGTAGCTGGGGCCACAGGCGGGTGCCACCACGCCCAGCTAATTTTTGTATTTTTAATGGAGATGGGGTTTTGCCTTGTTGGCCAGGCTGGTCTTGAACTCCTGACCTCAGGTGATCTGCCCACCTCGACCTCCCAAAGTGCTGGGATTACAGGCATAAGCCACTGCACCCGGCCTAATTTTTTAATTTTCTAATTTTTTTTTTTTTTTTTTTTTGTAGAGACAGCATCTCCCTATGGCCCAGGCTGGTCTCTAACTCCTGGGCTCAAGCGATCTTCCTGCCTCAGTCTCCCAAAGTGTTGGGATTACAGACATGAACCACCATGCCTGGCAGAAGATTTTTTAAAACCCAGAAAGTAACAAGCATTGGTGAGGATGTGGAGAAATTAGGATCCTTGTGTGCTGTTGGTGGGAATGTAAAATGGTGCAGTCGCTATGGAAAACAGTATGGTAGTTCCTTAAGAAAAAAAAAATAGAATTACCATATGATCCAGCAATTCCATGTCTGGGTATATACTCAAAAAAAGTGAAAGCAGGGGCCAGGCACAGTGGCTCAACGTCTGTAATCCTAGCACTTTGGGAGGCCGAGGCAGGTGGATCGCTTGAGGTCAGGAGTTTGAGACCAGCCTGGGCAACATGGCAAAATGCCGTCTCTACTAAAAATACAAAAATTAGTTGGGCATAATGGTGCACGTCTGTTTTTCCAGCTACTTGGGAGGCTGAGGTGGAAGAATTGCTCGAACCCAGGAGGCAGAGGTTGCAGTGAGCCGAGATTGCGCCATTGCACTCCAGCCTGGGTGACAGAGTGAAACTTCATCTCAAAAAAAAAAAAAAAAAGCAGGACTTGAAGAGATGTTTGTACACCCATGTTCATAGCAGCATTATTCATAATAGTCAAAAGGTAGGACCAATCCAAGCACCCACTGATAGATGAATGGATAAACAAAATGTTTAACAGGTACACAGTTTCAGTTTTGCAGGATGAAAAGAGTTCAATGGATGGTGGCAATGGTTACACAATAGGAACGCAGTTAATACCACTGAAGAATACACTAAAAAATGGTTAAGATGGTAAATTTTATGTTATGTGTATTTTACCACTTTTTTTTTTTAATTTACTAAAAAAATTAAAAAACCCATGATCAGATTCTGGGTATATTTTGAAGTATTGTCAACAAAATTGGCCAAAAGATTGGATGTGGAGTATGAGAGGCAGAGCAGGTCAAGAATGACTCCAGGGTTTTTGGCCTGGCCCGAGCAATCAGCAGGATGACAATACCATTTCCTTTTTTGAGACAGAGTCTTATTCTGTTGCCCAGGCTGGAGTGCAGTGGCACAATCACAGATCACTGCAGCCTTGATCTCCCAGGCTCAAGAAATCCTCGTTTCAGCCTCCCAGATAGCTGGGACTATAGGTGCATACCACTATGCCCAGCTAGTTTTTTATTTTTATTTTTAGTAGAGATGAGGTCTTGCTATGTTGCCCAGGCTAGTCTTGAATTCCAGCCAGGAGGATCGCTCAAGTGATCCTCCCTCCTCCACCTCCCAAAGTGCTGGGATTACAGGTATGAGCCACCACACCCAGCCAGACAACGCCATTTCTGAAATAGGGAAGGGAAGTGTAGTGGACACTGTCAGGACCCTGCTTGGACTCCCTGGGATCACTTTTCCAGTTTTTGAACTCCCCTCCCTTGGCGCTGTGTGCTGTTTAAAGAGCCTGGTGCCTCCCCCACCTCTCTGTTACTCCCTCTCTCTCCCTGTGACACGTCCCCACTTTGCCTTCCACCATGATTGGAAGCTTCTGGAGGCCCTCAGCAGAAGCGAATGCCAGCACCATGCTTTCTGTACAGCTTGCAGAACCATGAGCCAAAATAAACCTCTTTTCTTTATAAATTACCCAGTCTCTGGTATTCCTTTACAGCAATGCAAATGGACCAACACAGGGTCAGAGGTCAGGGCTATCGGACTCTTACCTCTCCAGACTTCCCCACAGCACCCAAACTAAGACATGCCCATGGCCTGAAGTTAGGGTCCACAGACCTGAGTTGTGAATCGTGCCTCTGAAAATGACTGCCTGAGTGACCTGGTGTGAGTTCCCTGACCCCTCTAGGCCCTTCGGAGCTTTCCACTTGATGGGTGATGGTGAGATTATCCCAAACTGAACTCCTGGCCTTCCCCGACACACCTGCGCCTCCTGCACTCTTTCCTTCCAGAGGCTCAGGCCAAGCCATCTTCCACTTCGGCTCCCACTAGATCCCTGAGCTTTCCCAACATCAGGGGTGGGCCCGCCACAGGCCTTTGCACTTGCCGTTCCCTCTGCTTGGATCACTCTTCCCAGACATCCACCTGCCCCTCTCCCTCACCTCCTTCAGGTCTCTGCTCAGATGTGGCTCATCAGAGAGGCCTCCCCAAGCCCCCTGCAGAGAGAGCACTCTCCCATCACTCTCTTTTCCCTTTACTCTGCTTTTTTTTTTTTTAAGCTTTGTAAAAGTTATCTTTGTAGAGCCGGGGTCTCACTGTTGCCCAGGCTGGTCTCCAACTCCTGGGATCAAGTGATCCTCTTGCCTCGGCCTCCCTAAGCAGTGGGATTACAGGTGTGAGCCCCACATCCAGCCTATATGTTTTCATAGCACTTATCATACTTTAATTTATTAGTATATATATGATTTTTTTTTTGAGAGATGACCTATAGTAGAGATTAACAGCATGGACTGGGCACAGTGGCTCATGCCTGTAATCCCAGCACTTTGGGAAGGCTGAGGCGGGCAGATCGCTTGAGCTCAGGAGTTTGAGACCAGCCTGGGAAACATAGTGAAACCCTGTCTCTACTAAAAATACAAAAAATTAGCCAGGCATGGTAGTGTATGCCTGTAGTCCCATTTACTCGGGTGGCTGAGGTGGGAGAACCACTTGAACCCGGAGATTGCAGTGAGCCGAGATTGCACCACTGCACTCCAGCCTGGGCGACAGAGGGAGACTCTGCCTCAAAAAAAGAAAAAAAAAAAAAAAGATTAAGAGCATGGACTCTGGAGTCACACTGCCTGGCTTTGAATCCTGAATCCAGCTCTCCTTAGCTGTGAGACCTTGTGACTTTCAATCCCCTTGGAACTCAGTGTTCTAATCTGTAAAATGGGATAAGCATAATAACAACTTCCTCATAGGTCGTGAGTTAATATTTGTAAAGCACTTTAGGAGACAGTTTACATAAGAGTTTGTTAAATTGTACTCATTGTCTGTCTCCCTGCATTGAGTGTATCCTCTGCAAGAAGCAGGGGCTTTTGTCTCCTTTGTTTATTGCTGTATCTCCAGTGCATAGAATAGCCTGGCATAAAATAGATACTCAAATATGTATTGAATAACTGAAACCAACAAGTTGATCACTGTTAAGCATGTGGCAGGGTGCTAGATCCACAGTAGAGTCAAGATCAATGTTGGTTCCCTGACCCACCTCACAGAGCTGAGAGGAGATCCAATCAGCTAATATAAGGGAAAGTGTTTTGCAAAGTGTCATACAAGCCATGCGAGTCATAATAAAATGAACTATTACCATTTCCTGATTACTCACTGGATACCAGACTCTGTGCTAAATACTCTCATACATAAGCTCATTTTAATCCTCATAAATTTACAAGGTAATTCTTATTATTCCTATTTTACAGATAAAGTAACTGAACTTAAGTCCCTTGCCCAAGGCCACATAGCCAGGGCAGAGGCAAAGCAACAGGCTAATCTAGTTCTCGCTCCCAAACTCATTGCCTGACTTAGTAGCCAAGCTGCTACCCATAAATATTTGCTGGAAGAATGATTTGGGGGAACAGGTCTTTTGTGTATTTGGAAGAATTCCACAATATTCAATCCTTTCTCTAAGAACGTTTCAAAATAAACACATTTGCCTTTGGTCAAGGTTAAATTCTGGGTCTTCCAAGAAACATTCAGAAAGAGCTTTTCTGCCCATTTTTGGTAGTAAACTTCCCAGAGCTTCACTCCCACGGAGCATACTTAAAGGGATGTGTCCCAAAGACAAGACGGTGTTTTCCAGTCTTCCAGGAAGTGGCCTTAAAACCGGGTGAGGCTCTAATTCCTGGCACCTCACACCCCAGGGCTCTGCGAGAGGGATTCCACAATCTTACCTTTTTGCATCTGTTCCTGACCTCCTCAGGACCCGTCTATTTGCCTTGTGACATCACCGGCCAGCTCTTCCTATTTATCACTTCTGAATCCTTAAAGATGCTGAGGCAGGCTGCCCAGGTCGAGAAACCTGGGCTGCATACCTTCCCTTTCCCTGAATCTTGGGTGGGGCTGTGCTGCCTTCAGCACTGGGGAATTTTTGCCAAGGCCTGAGCTGTCAGTTTCCAGAGAACAGAAGCCAAGCATTTGTGTACGTGTGTACACTGAGGGCAAGGAGTCGATTAGTCAATAAGCACTCATGACGCCCCGGGTCCCGCTGCAGTGGTTGGTTAAGGTCTAGAAACTCTGAGAACTTTAGGACCAAAAAGGACCTTAAAGAAAATAATAATGATAATAATAATAATAACAACAAAATATACGAATCTGCTCTCAGAGCCATTCTTCATCCTTCCCCTAAAAGGCAGGGGTGACCCCTGCAGACTGCTTCCCAGGCTCCCTTGAAAGATGACATCCTTCTGGATTCAGCTGATGGAGGCACTACTGGGAGGGCAGGAGGCAGGACAAACAAAAGAGCCAGAGAGCTTGCTCAACAGTGCCTAAGAAGTGGCTGTGTCTTGTCTGCAGATCCAGCTTGGCTGTGGGTCTCCCAGGTGACCCCAGACTCTAGGCTCCAGTGATACCACCTTTCCCTTTCTTCGTTTTTTTTTTTGAGACGGAGTCTCACTCTGTTGCCCAGGCTGGATGGAGTGCAGTAGCGCGATCTCGGCTCACCGCAAGCTCCGCCTCCCGGGTTCACACCATTCTCCTGCCTCAGCCTCCTGAGTAGCTGGGACTACAGGCGCCCACCACCACGCCCGGCTAATTTTTTGTATTTTTAGTAGAGACAAGGTTTCACCGTGTCAGCCAGGATGGTCTCGATCTCCTGACCTCGTGATCCACCCGCCTCGGCCTCCCAAAGTGCTGGGATTACAGGCGTGAGCCACCGCACCCGGCCTTTTTTTTTTCTTCTTCTTTTTTTTTTTTTTTAAGACACCGTCTCGCTCTGTCACCCAGGCTGGAGTGCAGTGGCGCAATCTCGGCTCACTGCAACCTCCGCCTCCGGGTTCAAGCGATTCTCCTGCATCAGCCTCCTGAGGAGCTGGGACTACAGGCGCGTGCCACCACACCCAACTAATTTTTGTAATTTTAGTAGAGATGGGTTTTACCATATTGGCCAGGCTGGTCTCGAACTCCTGACCTCGTGATCCACCTGCCTCAGCCTCCCAAAGTGCTGGGATTACAGGCGTGAATCACTGCGCCTGGTCACCTTTCCCTTTCTTCCTTTTGCTAAGGGGTAGCAGACTTCATGCTCTCTAATCTCTGTGTTGCATCACCATCCCCGTTTGTCTTCTCATCCTCTCCATTACCTCTTTTTTTTTTTTTCTGAGATAGGGTCTCACTCTGTTGTCCAGGCTGGAGTGCAGTGCTGTCATCACAGCTCACTGCAGCCTCAACCTCTTGGCCTCAAGCAATCCTCCCACCTCAGTCTCCCAAGTAGCTAGGACTACAAGAGCACACCACCATGCCTGGCTAATTTTTATTTGTTGTAGAGATGGGGTCTCCCTAGGTTACCCAGGCTCCTCTGGTTTAAATACTCACAGTGGTTTTTGTCTTCCTGATTGGACCCTGACTGATAGAATAGTTAAAACTTACACAGTACTTACTACATGCCAGACACTGTTCTAAGTGCATGATGGAAGTTAGCTTATTTAATTCTACCATCAGGGGAATGATTACACATTACAGATGAGAAAGCTGAGGCACAGAGAGTTTGATCTAGCCCAGCAAGATCCCATATCTGGATCCATATCAAAAGTTGCCCAGGAAGGCCAGGTGCAGTGGCTCACACCTGTAATACCAGCTCTTCAGGAGGCCGAGGCTGGCGGACTACTTGAAGTCAGGAGTTCGAGACCAGCCTGGCCAACATGGAGAAACCCAAAAATTAGCCAGGTATGGTGGCATGGGCCTGTAGTCCTAGATACTCGGGAGGTTGAGGCAGGAGAATCGCCCAAACCCAGGAGACGGAGGTTGCCATGAGCCAAGACAGTGTCACTGCACTCCAGCCTGGGCGACAGAGCAAGACTGTCTCAGAAAAAAATAAAAATAAAAATAAAATAAAATAAAAATAGAGGAAGTGATGGATGCCATCCTATCCCCCCTGAATCAGACTCTTCCAATCTATTGGGCCCAGCAATCTGGAGATGTAATAAGCTCTCCAGGTGATTTTGATGCAGTTAACCCAGCACCTTTCCACGAACTGGTACTATCTGAGAAAGCGTAACTTCGTTTTGGTGATGAGCACACCAAGATTTAGATCAGTAATGTGACCTGCCCTGGGTGCACAGCAAACTCAGTGGCAGACAAAAAACAGGGACAAGGACAGCACTTTCTGCTTCCCCCACCACTTTCTCGTTCAAGGTCAAATGTCTGCTTCTGATGTTTGGACTTGCTTCTCCTTCAAGCCATCTGAACCCACTTTCTTATGAGAAATATTTTGGAAAATTTAGTATATCAACAGATGTATATGCAGGATTGCTGAGTGGCTGATCAGTGTTTGGGAAAAAGAGAAGGGAGGCAGTTTAATTCACTTAATCTCTTATTTTCCAGCTGTTCTGAATAACTTTAGAGAGCTTGTTAACTCTTCCACATACTACCTTCTCCTTATTAATTCATTAAGACTGTGGTCAGGCCAAGAATCAGGCCAAGAATCAATCTATCTATCTATCTATCTATCTATCTATCTATCTATCTATCTATTTTTTTTTTTTTTGAGACGGAGTCTCGCTCTGTCGCTCAGGCTGGAGTGCAGTGGCGGGATCTCTGCTCATTGCAAGCTCCACCTCCCGGGTACACGCCATTCTCCTGCCTCAGCCTCCTGAGTAGCTGGGATTACAGGCACCTGCCACCACACCTGGTTAATTTTTTGTATTTTTAGTAGAGACGGGGTTTCACCGTGTTAGCCAGGATGGTCTCGATCTCTTGACCTCGTGATCTGCCCGCCTTGGCCTCCCAAAGTGCTGGGATTACAGGCGTGAGCCACCATGCCCGGCCAAGAATCTACATTTTTGAACTGAGGCCCAAAGTCATGTGACAATTTGAGAAACTAGAATCAAAATCCAAAACGCCCAGAATCTGAACGCACTTCCGCAAAATGTCAGCTCCATAAGAATTGGATTTTTGTGTTGTGGTGCACACTTGTGATCCCAGCTACTCAGGAAGCTGAGGTGGGAGGATTGCTTGAATCTGGGAAGTGAAGGCTGCAATGAGCCTTGATCATGCCACTGCACTCTAGCCTGGATGATGGAGTAAGACCCTGTCTCAAAAAAAAAAAAAAAAAAAAAAAAAGGCTGGGGGCAGTGGCTCACTCCTGTAATCCCAGCACTTTGGGAGGCCAAGGCAGGTGGATCACTTGAGGTCAGGAGTTGGAGACCAGCCTGGCCAACATGGTGAAACCCCATCTCCACTAAAAACACAAAAATTAGCTGGCCATGGTGGTGCACGCGTGTGATCCCAGCTACTCAGGAGGCTGAGGCAGGAGAATTGCTTGAACCAGGAAGGCGGAGTTTCCAGCGAGCCAAGATGTTGCCATTGTACTCCAGCCTGGGCGACAAAAGCGAAACTCCAACTCAAAAAAAAAAAAAAATAATAACGGCCGGGCGCGGTGGCTCATGTCAGTAATCCCAGCACTTTGGGAGGCTGAGGCGGGCAGATCACCTGAGGTCAAGAGCTCAAGGCCAGCCTGGCCAACATGGTGAAACCCCCTCTCTATTAAAAATACAAAAATTAACTGGGCGTGATGGTGTGTGCCTGTAATCCCAGCTACTCAGGAGGCTGAAGCAAGAGAATCTCTTGAACCCGGGAGGCAGAGGTTGCAGTGAGCCGCAAATGATTGTGCCATTGCACTCCAGCCTGGGCAATAGAGCGAGACTCCATTTCAAAAATAAAGAAAGAAATAAAAATAATATCTAGGCACAGTGGCTCACGCCTGTAATCTCAGCACTCTGGGAGGCTGAGGCGAGTGGATCACCTGAGGTCAGGAGTTCGAGACCAGCCTGGCCAACGTGGTAAAACCCCGTCTCTACTAAAAATACAAAAATTAGCTGGGCATGGAGGCAGGTGCCTGTAATCCCAGCTACTCGGGAGGCTGAGGCAGGAGAATCGCTTGAACTCGGAGGCAGAGGTTGCAGTGAGCCGAGATTGCACCATTGCATTCCAACCTGGGCGACAAGAGTGAAACTCTGTCTCAAAATAATAATAATGATAAGTAAAGAATAATTGCCTCTTGTGAAAAAAGTAGTACATAAATGCACAAAGTATGTAATAAGTAGTATTTTCCAAAAGAAAGCCTGTTAATGTCACCTTCTCTGAATAAAAACCCTTTAATGGTTTCCCATTCTCTGAAATAAAAGCTCTTAACAAAGTCTTCAGGGGCTGTCTGGTCTGGCCCCTGACTACTCTCCCACCCACATTGCCCTGTGCTCTAGCCGTAGGTCCTCTGTCCATCCCTTGAATGTGCCGTAATCTTTTCTGCTACAGGTCTTTTGCTCCTGCTCTTTCCTCTGCCTGGAGCACTCTTCTTTTTTTCTTCTTTTCCACTTAATTTACACTTATCCTTCAATCTTAGCTGAGTGCTGTTTCCTTAGGGAAGCCTTCCCTGACTTCTCTAACTAGGTCAGAAAACTTTTTTTTTTTTTTTTTTTTGAGACAGAATCTTGCTCTGTCACCCAGACTGGAAGGAAGTGGCACCATCTAGGCTCACTGCAACCTCTACTCCCACCAACCCTCCAGCCCCCCTGGGCTCAATCAGTCCTCCTACCTCAGCCTCCCAAGTAGCTGAAACCACAGGTGCACACCACCATGCCCTGTTAATTTTTGTACTTTTTGTAGAAATGGGGTTTTGCCATGTTGCCCAGGCTGGTCTCGAACTCCTGGGCTCAAGTGATCCTCCTGCCTTGGCCTCCCAAAGTGCTGGGATTCCAGATATTCGAACCATTGTGCCCAACCAGAGCCCAATATTTTATGTTCTTGTAGGACTGAATATACTAGCTCTTGTCATTGTTTAAATTGTCCATTTATGTGTAGACAACTTGGCTAATTATCCACATTTAATTTTAATCTTTGGTTAAATTATATCTCCTCGCTAGCCTGTGAACCATATGAGGACAGAGAGTGTTTAAGCTCACCGTTAGATCCCCAGGATTCAAAATAGCAAATAATAGGTGCTCAATAAATACTTATTGAATGAATGAATGGAGAAAAGACACCAAAACCACATTTCCAGGTGATGAAATTATGAGTAATTTTGTCTTCTCTCTCTCTGCGGCATATCTGTATCTTTTTTTCCTATTCGTTTTCTACTAAAAAAAGTGTGCTAACTGTGAGTTAAAAACTAGTCTTTTGTGGACTAGTGTGGAACTGTCTACTCCTCATTCCTGTGGAAGCAGGAATACATTCATAACATGCTCCATTAAAAAAGGAGTTCTAGGCCAGGCAGCGTGCCTCATGCCTGGAATCCCAGCACTTTGGGAGGCCGAGGCAGGAGGATGGCTTGAGGCCAGGAGTTCAACACCAGTTTGGGCAACATAATGAGCCCCCTGTCTCTATGAAAAAATAAAAATAAATTAATAAATAAAAATTAGCCAGTCATGGTGGCACACACTTATAGTCCCAGGTACTCAGGAGGCTGAGGATTGCTTGAGCCCGGCAGGTTGAGGCTGCAGTGGGCTGTGATTGTGCCACTGCACTGCAGCCTGGGCAACCCAGCAAGACCCTGTCTCAAAAAAAAAAAAAAAAAAAGGCCAGGTGTGGTGGCTCACGCCTGTAATCCCAGCACTTTGGGAGGGCAAGGCAGGTGGATCACCTGATGTCAGGAGTTTGAGACCAGCCTGACCAACATGGCGAAAGCCTGTCTCTACCAAAAATAAAAATTAGCCGGTTGTGGTGGTGGGCGCCTGTAATCCCAGCTACTCGGGAGGCTGAGGCAGGAGAATCGCTTGAACCCTGGAGCCAGAGGTTGCAGTGAGATGAGATCATGCCATTGCACTCCAGCCTGGACGACAGAGCGAGACTTCATCTCAAAAAAAAAAAAGGATCCTCAGGGCTGCCAACCTTATAGTAGAAGTTGAGGTGGTAGTGGATTTCTCCTACACAAAAGACCAAGTAAACAAAAAGGAAAAAAAGTTTAAAGAAACAAAACACCAGTCTTATCTGAGTTCTAGTTTTCCAGGGTGTGATCCAGAACCTATGGATCAAAACCAGAAAGAACAACCAGAATCCAGCAGCAATTCAGCGTGAGGCACTAACAGTTCTCCTGCTTCCCAATACCCACTACCCCACCTCTGCTCCCACCCAGGAATCTTCGTTTTGCAGGTCCCTGTAGCAGTCCTGGCTTTCACACCCTCATACACAATAGTTAAGGACACCAAAGCCCATTTGCCTGCCCTCTTTGATAAAACAGTGACAGGAAGACAAAACATCACCAGCAAAAGTCTTTAAAAATTTAAAGACCCTGATAAAGTCCTCCATTCCACACCTGCCAGGGAAGGAAATGGCCTCTGGCAAGTGCCTCTGTTGCTGCCCCCACTCCCACCTCCCAACACCTTTTCTACAAACATCCCCTTCTCAACTTGTCCTCAGCTGCCTGCTAGAGGGCACCAGATCCACTTGCCTGAGGAGCTGGAGGAAGGGGAAGCCCCCACGACCCCACTGTGTAGTCATGGGGATGAAACTAATGAGTTGATGTTCTTCAAGCATTTGGAGGATCAAAGCCTGAGATCTGAGGCCTTGGCGAGAACACAGCGCTTGCAGGCATGGGTGGGCACAAGCCAAGAGGCCCCCCGGATCACACAGGGCCAGGTGCTGTGCACACTCGGGTAGGGGCCGCTTGCCGACAGACAGGTGTGAGGGCTGGCCCAAGAAAGTCAGGTCCCTAAAGTGATACTACAGAAAAGGAAGAATTCTGAAACATTGTAATTAAATTAATACAGGAATTTGGGAAGGGGAGGGAAAGTAAAGGACAAGGAAGAAGAAAACAAGAAAACAACAATCACTCATTATCTCTCCAGATCAAATTAACCTATGCTAGGAGTTTAGTTTATTTGCTCCTAGTCTTTTTTTTTTTCTTTTTCTTTTTTCTTTTCTTTTTTTTTTTTTTTTGAGACAGAGTCTCGCTCTCTCGCCCAGGCTGGAGTGCAGTGGCATGATCTTGGCTCACTGCAACTTCTGCCTTACGGGTTCAAGCAATTCTCCAGCCTCAGCCTCCAGATTAGCTGGGATTACAGGCGTGTGCCACCATGCCCGGCTAATTTGTTGTATTTTTAATAGAGGTGGGTTTTCACTGTGTTAGCCAGGATGTTCTCAATCTCCTGACTTCGTGATCCGCCCGCCTCAGCCTCCCAAAGTGCTGGGATTACAGGCGTGAGCCACCGCGCCCGGCTGCTCCTATTAATTTTTATTTTTTGAAACAGAGTCTTGTTATGTCACCCAGACTGGAGCACAGTGGTGCAATCATGACTCACTGTAGCCTCGACCTGGGCTCAAGCCATCCTTCCATCCCAGCCTCTGGAGTAGCTGTGACTACAGGAGCACACCACCACACTCAGCTAATTTTTGTATTTTTTGTAGAAATGGGATTCCACCATGTCGCACAGGCTGGTCTTGAGCTCCTGGGCTCAAGCAATCTACCCACCTCAGCCTCCCAAAGTTCTGGGATTACTGGCATGAGCCACTGCACCCACTCCAAGCTACTACTTTTTCCTGCAGATATTGACATGATAATATTTTTCTCCTTTAACCAGGTAATGTGGTGCATTACATGAATAGGGTTTCTGCAGTTGAAATGCCCTTGCATTCCTGGGATAATCAATTGCAATTATTTTCTACCGTGAGTTCCTTTTCTAGCCCCCTGTCTCAGTTTATGCCTTGGAGGGGCAAAGTTATTTCCGGTCTTGGCTCTTTGTCAAAAGCTCTAGTTTCTTAGCCGGAATGTTATAGAAGCTTCCAGAAACTTGGTTTGCTCATTAGTGATGTGGTAGGAGTGGTCTCACTCATTGCTGAGGTGGAGACAATGAAGTGGGAACAAAAGGAAGTGAGGGAGGTCTTGCTCTCACGAGCCTGGATAGATCTCACAGGAATTAATTAGTTCCCTAGAGAATGGGTTGCTATAAAGCCAGGATGCCCATCAGGATCCCCCCCACCCCACAGGTGTCCATTTCCCCTTTGACATTCACCACATTGTAACACAGCGCAAAAGTTCTTGCCAGAGCCAGGGCCATGTCCTTGAATTTCTCAGCCGGCAGAACTGTGAGGTTAATAAATCTTTCATTATAAGTTACCCAGCCTCAAAGATTCTTTTATAGCAACACAAAGTGAACTAAAACAGTCAGCATTGAAAATAAATGAAGTACTGGCCGGGCACAGTGACTCATGCCTGTAATTCCAGCACTTTGGGAGACCGAGGTGGGTGAATCACTTGAGGTCAGGAGTTCGAGACCAGCCTGGCCAACATGATGAAATCCCGTCTCTACCAAAAATATAAAAAAATAGCCAGGTATGGTGGTGGGTGCCTATAATCCCAGCTACTTGGGAGGCTGAGGCAGGAGAATTGCTTGAACCCGGGAGGCAGAGGTTGCAGTGAGCTGAGATCGCGCCACTGCACTCCAGCCTGGGCGACAGAGCAAAACTCCATCTCAAAAAAGAAAAAGAAAAGAAATGAAGTACTGATACAAGCTGTGGATGAACCTTGAAAATATTATTTAAAGTGAAAGAAGCCTGTCACAAAAGCCAGTCACAAAAAAATATAACTAATTGTTTTATTAGTCAACTAATACATCTAATAGTTTGCCTATGCTGGACATTTCATATAAATTAATACAATTAATCATATTAATTTTTTTTTTTTTGAGACAGAATTTCGCTCCTGTTCCCCAGGCTGGAGTGCAATGGCGCAATCTAGGCTCACTGCAACCTCCGCCTCCTGGGTTCAAGTAGTTCTCCTGCCTGAGCCTCCTGAGTAGCTGGGATTACAGGCACCCACCACCACGCCCAGCTAACTTTTTGTATTTTTAGTAGAGACGGGGTTTCACCGTTTTGGCCAGGCTGGTCTTGAACTCCTGACCTCAAGTGATCTGCCCACCTCAGCCTCCCAAAGTGCTGGGATTACAGGCATGAGCCATCGCACCCAGCCAGTTGTATTAATTGAAAATTGTGTTAATTTATATGAAATGTCCAGAATAGGCAAATCTATAGAGACAAAAAGCAGATTGGTGTTTGGCTGGTGCTGGGGAGTTTGGGAAGAAATGAGGCATGATTACAATGGGAATGAGGCTTCTTTTTAGGGTGATGAAAATGTCCTAAAATTGATTATGGTAATGGTTGTGTAAGTCTGTGAATATACAAAAAACACTGAGTTGTACACTTTAAATTGGGGAATTGTGTGGCAGATGAATTACATCTCAACGCTGTTATTTTTTAAAAGCTTTAAAAAGCAGCGTGCAACGCAATTTCCCTAAGGGAGTTATTACTGCAGACATCCCATGTGAACATGTGTCACAGCTGACACTGAGATCAATCAGACCACAAATGACTCCAGCCAATCGCACTTGGCAATGCTTGGTCATGCACTGGTCACACGGAGCTAACGGTTCTTAATAACACTGATCATGGGAGTTTACAGGCCATTTCCTAGATGCCATGTTTGGGCTGACAAAGCCAGTTTCCCAGAGCATGTATAGTGATGGTTCATAGCAAAGGCTCCGCAATGAGACAAATTCGACTTGGAACCTGGGCTCTGTCTTGTGACCACTGGCAAGTTAGCCTCTCAGTCGCAGTTTTCTCATGCATAGAATAGAGCTAATGCCTACCCTATAGGGTGATTAATGTCTACCCTATAGGGGATTAAATAAAATGCTATTTGCAGAACAATGATCACAGTGCCTAGAACTGGGGAAAAGATCAGTACATAGTAACTGGCATCATTAATAGTAAGGCATATAAAAAACTGAGCACAGTGTCTGGCCCTTAGGGAGTGGTCAAAACACAAAATGATAAAGTTACACTTTTCTTTTTTTTTTTTTTTTGAGATGGAGTCTCGCTCTGTCACCCAGGCTGGAGTGCAGTGGCAGGATCTCGGCTCACTGCAAGCTCCGCCTCCCGGGTTCAGGCCATTCTCCTGCCTCAGCCTCCTGAGTAGCTGGGACTACAGGCGCCTGCAACCACGCCCGGCTAATTTTTTGTATTTTTAGTAGAGACAGGGTTTCACTGTGTTAGCCAGGACGGGCTCGATCTCCTGACCTCGTGATCTGCCCGCTTCCCGAAGTGCTGGGATTACAGGCGTGAGCCACGGCGCCTAGCCAAAGTTACACTTTTCACAAAAAAAGTATCTATGAGACAGAATAAACTTTCCAGACAAGGGCAGAGAATTTGAATTCTGTTGCTAAAAAACAAAAGTAGGTAACTTTGGATGTTGCTACTTGCTCACAACCTGGCTTTCACCTGATTCTACAGCCTAAAGCACCAGGTTCTCTCCTGACGCCTCTTGACCAATCCCATCACATCACTAATAAGCAAACCAAGTTTCCAGAAGCTTCTAGAAAATTCCAACTAAGAAACTGGAGTTTTTGACAAGGAACCAAGACAGGAAATGTCATTGTCCCTCCAAGGCATGGACTGAGACAGGGAGCTAGAAAAGAAACTCACAATAGAAAATAAATGCAATTGGCCGAGCACGGTAGCTCACGACTGTAATCTCAGCACTTTGGGAGGCTGAGGCGAGCGGATCACGAGGTCAGCAGTTTGAGACCAGCCTGGCCAACGTGGTGAAACCCCGTCTCTACTAAAAATACAAAAATTAGCCAGGCATAGTGGAGGGCGCCTGTAATCCCAGCTACTCAGGAGGCTGAGGCAGGAGAATTGCTTAAACCTGGGAGGCGGAGGTTGCAGTGAGCCAAGACTGCACCATTGCAGCCCAGCCTGGGTGACACGGCAAGACTCTGTCTCAAAAAACAAAACAAAAAAAAAAGAAAGAAAATAAATGCAATTGATTATCCCAGGAAGGCAAGGGCATTTCAACAGCAGAAAATCTTTTCATGTAATGCACCATATTCCCTGGTTAACAGAGAAAAATATGATCATCTCAGTATCTGCAGGAAAAATTCATAGTTCGGGCTAGAGGCAAGGTGGCTCATGCCAGTAATCTCAGAACGTTGGGAGACAAAAGTGGGCGGATTGCTTGAGCCCAGGAGTTGAGACCAGTCTGGGCAACATGGTGAAATATCGCCTCTACAAAAAAATACGAAAATTAGCTGAGTGTGGTGGTGTGTGCCTGTTGTCTCAGCCACTCAGGAGGCTGAAGCTGCAGGATGGCTTGAGCCCAGGAGGTCGAGGTTGCAGTGAGTCATGATAGTACCACTATACTCTAGCCTGGGCAACAGAGCAAGAAAAGAGTCTCCAAAAAAAAATAAAAGAACATGCAGAAAGGACATAAACTACCTCTTAGAGTGTTTGCCTCTTGGAAGGCAATAAGATTTTTATTTTATTTCTGAATAGAAATTGAGAAGGAGGGCTGGGCACGGTGGCTCACGCCTGTAATCTCAGCACTTTGGGAGGCTGAGGCGGGTGAATCACCTGAGGTCAGGAGTTCGAGACCAGTCTAACTAACATGGTGAAACCCCATCTCTACTAAAAATAAAAAATTAGCCAGGCGCAGTGGCATGTGCCTATAATCCCAGCTACTTGGGAGACTGAGGCAGGAGAATCGCTTGAACCTCGGAGGTAGAGGTTGCAGTGAGCCGAGATCGTACCATTGCACACCAGCCTGGGCAACAGAGCAAGACTCTAGACTCTGTCTCAAACAAACAAACAAACAAAAGAAAGAAAGAAAAGAAATTGAGAAGGAGGTCAGGTGCAGTGGCTCGCACCTGTAATCCCTTCATATAACAATGATTTTACAATATTCTCTGTAGAGAGAGCAGAAAAATAATTTAGTCTTTTTTCTAGAATGGTTGAACAAAAACTATTGATTAGTATTAGCAGTTTAGAAAAGTTTAACATTATTGATAAGTAAATTTTTATTATTTTATATGCATTTCAAAATTTATATATATATATATATATTTTTTTTTTTTTGAGACAGAGTCTCGCTCTGTTGCCCAGGCTGGAGTGCAGTGGCGTGATCTCAGCTCACTGCAACCTCTGCCTCCCGGGTTCAAGTGATTCTCCTGCCTCAGCCTCCTGAGTAGCTGGGATTACAGGTGCGTGCCACCATGCCTGGCTAATTTTTTTGTATTTTTAGTAGAGTTGGGGTTTCACCATGTTGGTCAGGCTGGTCTTGAACTCCTGACCTTGTGATCTCCCCGCCTCAGCCTCCCAAAGTAAATTTTTTTTTTACAGTAAAAAATGAGAGGTCAGGAGTGGTGGCTCACACCTGTAATTCCAGCACTTTGGGAGGCCAAGGTGGGAGGATTGCTTGAGCCCAGGAGTTCTAAACCAGTCTAGGCAACATGATGAGACCCATTCTCTACAAAAAATACCAAAAAAATTACCAGGCATGATACCGTGCCTGGCTGAATTCCTGTGTTGAATTCCTGTGTTTAAATCTCTTGCTGGTGGGGCACGTTGAGCCACTGTGCCTGCCCAGCAAGAGATTTAAACACAGGAATTCTGATAAATTTTATTTCATAAGATTCTCACTTATAAAAAAGAAATGGCTGCATACAGTGGCACATGCTTTTGTTCCAGCTACTCCGGAGGTTGGGGCAGGAAGATGGCTTGAACCCAGGAGTTGGAAGCTAGCCTGGGCAACATAGTGAGACCTCATTTAAAAAAAAGAAAAAGAAAAAGAGGCCGAGGGTGGTGGCTCGAGCCCATAATCCCAACACTTTGGGAGGCCGAGGTGGGTGGATCACCTGAGGTCAGGAGTTTGAGACCAGCCTGGCCGACATGATGAAACCCCTTCTCTAATAAAAATACAAAAAATTAGTGGTGGTGGTGGTGGGCACCTGTAATCCCACCTACTTGGGAGGCTGAAGCAGGAGAATTGCTTGAACCCGGGAGGCAGAGGTTGCAGTGAGCCCAGATCGCACCATTGCACTCCGGCCTGAGTGGCAGAGGGAGATTCCTTTAAAAAGCAAGTCTTTAAAAAAATAAATAAAATAAAAGATGCATTTGTATGTATATGCTCTGTATCAGTTAAGTATTACTGTGTAACAAAGCACTCCAAAATTTAGTTCTTAAAACAACCAACATTCTCTTTACTTATAATTCTGTGGGTCAGCAATTTAGGCTGTGATCAGCTGGATGGTTCTTCTGCTAGTTTCACCTTGAATCCCTCAAGCAGCTGCAGTCATCTTGTGGCTGGAATAGGATTGGATGGCTTAGGCTAGCCTCATTCACATCTGGTGATGGGTGTTGGTTCTGAGCTAGGCCTCTCTGACTGATTGGGCTTGTGTGTGTGTGTGTGTGTGTGTGTGTGTGTGTGTGTGTGTGTGTGTGTGTGTGTGTGAGAGAGAGATGGGGTTTCTTATTTTTGAGACAGAGTCTCGCTGTGTTACCCATGCTGGAGTGCGGTCGCCCAATTAGGGCTCACTGCAACCTCCAACTCCCAGGCTCAAGCCACACTTCCATCTCAGCCTCCTGAATAGCTGGGACTACAGGTGCATGCCACCATGCCTGGCTTTTTTTTTTTTTTTGTAGATACAGGGGCTTGCTATGTTGTATGTTGCCCAAGACTGTCTTGAACTCCTGGGCTCAAGCGATCCTCCTGACTTAGCCTCCCAAAGTGCTGGGATTATAGGTGTGAGCCCATGTGCCCAGCCTTGGGTTTCTTTTTTATTTATTTTTTTGAGGTGGAGTTCTGCTCTGTCACCCAGGCTGGAGTGCAGTGGCACAATCTCGGCTCACTGCAAGTTCCACCTCCTGGGTTCAAGTGATTCTTCTGCCTCAGCCTCCCGAGTAGCAGTAGCTGGGACTACAGGCATGTGCCACCACGCCCAGCTAATTTTTGTATTTTTAGTAGAGATGTGGTTTCACCAAATTGGCCAGGCTGGTCTTGAACTCCTGACCTCGTGATTCACCTGCCTCAGCCTCCCAAAGTGCCGGGATTACACGCATGAGCCACTGCCCTTGGCTGCCTTGGGCTTCTTTATACAGCAGTGGTAGAACTTCCAAAGGCCAAGGGCAGAAGCTGCAGGGTCTTTTAAAGTCTAGGTGTGTGATGGTTAATTTTATGTGTCAACTTCACTGGGCTAAGGAATGACCAGATAGCTGGTAAAACACTTCTGGGTGTGTCTGTGAGGGTGTTTCTGGGGGAGATTAGCATTTGAATCAGTAGACCCAGTACAGAATTTGACCCTCTCCGATGTGGATGGGCATCATCCCATCTATTTGAGGCCCAAATAGAACAAAAAAGTCAAGGAAGGTAAGAGCCTCTCTCCATCTTTCTCTTCTTGAGATGGGATACCTATCTTCCCCTGCTCCTGGGCTCAAGCAATCCTCCCACCTCACCCTCCCAAAGTGCTGGGATTATAGGCATGAGGCACCACACCCAGCCCACAAGGGTTCTTATATGTGAAAGAGGGAGCATCAGAGTGTGAGCCACTATGCCCAGCCAGGGTGATCATTTTAAAGGTGAAATCAAATCACATCACTCCTCCATTCAAAACACTCCAAGACTTCATGTTTCACTCCGAATACAGGTTTGTTTGTTTGTTTGTTTTTTGAGACGGAGTCTCGCTCTGTCGCTCAGGCTGGAGTACAGTGGCGTGACCTCGGCTCACTGCAACCTCTGCCTCCCAGGTTCAAGCGATTCTCCTGCCTCAGCATCCCGAGTAGCTGGGATTACAGGCGTGTGCCACCATGCTGGGCTAATTTTTTGTATTTTTAGTAGAGACAGGGTTTCACCATATTAGCCAGGATGGTCTCGATCTCCTGACCTTGTGATCTGCCCACCTCGGCCTCCCAAAGTGCTGAGATTACAGGCATGAGCCATGGCGCCCAGCCAGTATAAGTTTTTTTTGTTTGTTTGTTTTGTTTTGTTTTGTTTTGTTTGAGGAGTTTTGCTCTTGTTGCCCAGGCCAGAGTGCAATGGCGCAATCTTGGCTCACTGCAACCTCCGTCTCCCTGGTTCAAGTGATTCTCTTACCTCAGCCTCTCAAGTAGCTGGGATTACAGGCATGTGCCACCAAGCCTGGCTAATTTTGTATTTTTAGTAGAGATGGGGTTTCACCATATTGGCCAGGCTGGTCTTGAACTCCTGACCTCAGGTGATCCCCCCACCTCAGCCTCCCAAAGTGCTGGGTTTACAGGCGTGAGCCACCACGCCCGGCAGATCTAGCTATGTTAATAGATATTCTTTACAAATGCAGATTTTCCCCTGTAAAGAATAGCTTTGTCGGGCCATTTTAAAATATGGCAAAGAAATATGTTTTGGTGTAAAATATTTTTATTTTCTTCCTTGTCTCCTAATGTTACAACAGAGTCAGGTTGGAAAGTTAGTCACGATATATAGGATTAAAGAAAACCCATCTGATGAGAATTTATTATTTGTAGGGCATGACTCCCCAGACCCCTTAGATAGGAATTTGGACAAGATAAAAAAAGAAATCACAGTTTAGGCCTCAGGACAAATCCAGGTCAGTTTGTGGACATGCTAAGTTTGAAATGCCTCTCAAAAGTCCATGTGGGGATGTTGAGTAGGCAATCGGATATATAAATTTAGAATAAAGGAGAGAGAACTTGGCTACAGATATAAATTCAGGAATAATCTTATAGTAATTAAATCCATGAGGCCGGGCACAGTGGCTCACACCTGTAATCCTAGCACTTTGGGGGGCCGAAGCGGGCGGATCACCTGTGGTCAGGAGTTCGAGACCATCTTGGCCAACATGGTGAAACCTCATCTCTACTAAAAATACAAAGATAAACTGGGCATGGTGGCCCATACCTGTAATCCCAGCTACTCCAGGAGGCTGAGGCAGGAGAATCACTTGAACCCGGGAGGCAGAGGTTGCAGTGAGCTGAGATCACGCCATTGCACTCCAGCTTGGCAACAGAGTGAGAATCCATCTCAAAAAAAAAAAAAAAAAAAAAAAAGAAAGTTTTGTAAGGAGCAGGGAGTGATCAGCTGAGTCAAATTCTGCAGCTGATAGGTTAAGCAAGAGTAGGACTCCTCAATGGCCATTGGATCTCCTCAAGTGGAAATCACTGGTGAGCTTTGAGACATTTTGGTGGACTGTTGGGGCGAAAGCTGAATTGTAATTGTAGTGAGAAGAAACAGGAGGAGGAGAGGAATTGGAGGCACGAGCTCAGACAAGCTTTTCAGGAGATTTTCTGGAAAGAGAGGGAGCAGAGTAATTAGGTAAGAGCAGGAGGAAGATGTGAGGTCAAGCTAGGAACTTTTTCCCAACATTTTATTGTGAAAGTTTTCAAACATACCAAAAAGTTGAAAGAATTTTACAGTGAACATATACAGACCCACTCTCTGGATTCTGCAACCAACATTTTACTAGACTTGCTTTATCACGTGTATGTCCATCTATCCCTCCCTAAGACAGGTTTATTTTCTTTTTCATTTTCTTTTGTTTTTCTTTTTTCTTTTTCTCTTCCTTTTTTTTTTTTTTTTTTTTTTTTTGAGACACGGTCTTGCTCTGTTGCTCAGGCTGGAGTGCAGTTGTGTGATCATGGCTCACTGCAGCTTTGACCTCCTGGGCTCAAATGATTCTCCCACCTCAGCCTCCCCAGTAGGTGAGACCACACTTTTAAAAATGTTTTGGCCAGGCACGGTGGCTCACACCTGTAATCCCAGCACTTTGGGAGGCCGAGGAGGCTGGATCACCTGAGGTCGGGAGTTCGAGACCAGCCTGGCCAACATGGTGAAACCCCGTCTCTACTGAAAATACAAAATTAGCCAGGTGTGGCGGTGCATGCCTGTAATCCCAGCTACTTGGGAGGCTGAGGCAGGAAAATCGCTTGAACCTGGGAGGCAGAGGTTGCAGTGAGCTGAGATTGCACCATTGCACTCCAGGCTGGGCGACAAGAGCGAGACTCTGTCTCAAAAAAAAATTTTTTTTTCTGTAGAGATGGGGTCTCACTATGTTGCCGGGGCTGGTCTTGAACTCCTGGACTCAAGTGATCCTCCTGCCTTGGCTTCCCAAAGTGCTGGGATTACAGGCATGAGCCACTTCGCCTAACAGGTATTAGTTTTTTTTGTTTGTTTTTTTGAGACGGAGTCTCACTCTGTTGCCAGGCTGGAGTGCAGTGGCACGAGCTCGGCTCACTGCAACCTCTGCTTCCTAGGTTCAAGTGATTCTCCTGCCTCAGCCTCCCGGGTAGCTGGGATTTTTTTTTTAACATTGATAAATTACAGGCTGATTAAAGTTTGATGGGAAAAATGCAATGGGTGGAGGAGACTGAGGATACGGGAGAAAGAGGGAGGGATTTTTGAAGCAATTGGCTGAGTGGAAAAAAGGGGCTAAGATCTACTGCTAAGTGATGGATTGATCTTTTTTTTATTTTTTATTTATTTTTTATTTTTATTTATTTATTTTTTTGAGATGGAGTTTCGCTCTTGTTGCCCAGGCTGGAGTGCAATGGCATGATCTGGGCTCACCGCAACCTCCGCCTCCCGGGTTCAAGCGATTCTCCTGCCTCAGCCTCCTGAGTAGCTGGAATTACAGGCATGCACCACCATGCCAGGCTAATTTTTAGTAGAGACGGGGTTTCTCCATGTTGGTCAGGCTGATCTCGAACTCCTGACCTCAAGTGATCTGCCCGCCTCGGCCTCCCAAAGTGCTGGGATTACAGGCGTAAGCCACCGCGCCTGACCTGGGTTGATCTTTAAAAAGGGGCACAGGGGATCTGCTTCAGTGGCTCACGGCTGCATTCCCAGCACTTTGGAAGTCTGAGGTGGGAGGATCACTTGAGCCTGGGAGGTCGAAGTTGCAGTGAACCATGGTTGTGCCACTGCACCCTAGCCTGGGTGACAGAGTGAGACCTTGTCAAATGACAAACAACAACAACAACAACAACAAACAAACAAACATCGCATGCAGAGCTGTGGAAAGAGGCTGGGCACCGTGGCTCACGCCTATAATCCCAGCACTTTGGGAGGCCGAGGCGGACAGATCACCTGAGGCCAGGAGTTCGAGACCAGCCTGGGCAACATGGTGAAACCCCTGTCTCTACCAAAAATACAAAAATTAGCTGGGCGTGGTGACGCAAGCCTGTAATCCCAGCTACCTGGGAGGCTGAGGCAGATGAATCGCTTGAACCTGGGAGGCAGAGGTTGCAGTGAGCTGAGATTGCACCATTGCATTCCAGCCTAGGCAACAGAGCAAGATTCTGCCTCAAAAAAAAAAAAAAAAAAAAAAAAGCTGTGGAAGGAAGGAAGGTGGGGCACACACATGTTCACAGATGCAGGGTGCGTGTGGGTGTGGGAGCTTATGGAAGTTCTCTTGTGATGAAATCATTGGCTGAGGGTGAGCACACAGGAGGACGGGTTGTGCACGAGAAGAGAGAGAAGGCACGAAATAATCTCTAGGAGTGTGGGAGAGTGAATGGCCTGAGAAAGGTGGTAAGATGGTAAGGTTGCCAAGCAATCCCGGGGGTCCACTTGAAGTTAATGGTCACGCATTTGAAATAAGTCCCTGTGGTTGTGAGTTTTCCCCAGCCTGTTCAGCTGCACGGGTACAGCTGTAGAGTAGAAGAGTTGGAATTAACGGTGTTTTTCTGGGTGACTACAGAAAAGGGGCAAAGAAGTTGAGGATGTATATAAAGGAGTGACTGTAATGATGGACCATGGAATGTCAGACGCAAAGACGGAAGTGAGGCAATGTCAAGTGTAAGAGATGATGGAAAGGTGGTAGAATCAATGGATTGTGGGTCCAAAAGGAGTCAAAGAATTACTGGAGATGGAATACTTGAAAAGCGGGCTGGAGGTAGAGGTAGTGATTATCGAGCAGGATGCTTGAAATCAGGATTATGGGGTTACAGCTATCGGAACGATAGTTGTAACTTCTCACTAGCATAATGTTCTCAAGGGTCCTCCTCTTTGTTGGTATTGAAGTGATTATGATTCTTAGTGTTGGAGAAAATGTGAAATCATCAAGGAACAGGGAAGAGTGACTCAGGTTCTGTAGCTGTCTGCCTTAAGGAGGGAGGAGGGTGGTCCAGTCTGATGACCTGGGACCTACAGTCAGCTCACATGAAGAGGGATTTACTCCAGGGCATCCAGCGATAGAAGAGGAATGATAAGGCTGGCTATCAGGAACTGGATCCAGAAAGTCAAGAACCAAGGTTGTGCTCTCTGGGCCACCAGGCTTTCTCATTTCTGCCTCTCCCTGCCCTTCCCTTTCTCTCGAAGCCATCTTCTTCCTCCTCACCTGACCTGACATGGCCTCCACAGCCCCTCCACAGCCCCAACACAATACAACCTTGCCTTTCAACTTTCTTCTAACTGCTTTCATCTCTGTCCCACATTTCCAGGACAAAGAGCCTGACTGCCTCAGCCCAGCCGAAGAATCGGTGTCTTTCTGGGTCTACTGTCCACTCTTAGGTCAGTCAACCATGGTCCGGGGGGATGGGGGCCTGTGGCACAACATAGCAGCCCAGGCAGTAGGCTGAGACCTCTCAGAACCAGATGTGGCTGGAGAGACCAGGAGCAGCCTCACTGGTGCCTCTCCCAGGAGGCACAAACACCAGCTAAGTAAGGAGAAGGCAGGAAGCTGTGCTCCGATGTCCCCAGGTGATGCTGAGGTGGAGCTCCGCTCTCCACCCTCCCTGGCCATCCTGCCCTGGGGAACAGTTTCTGGCTCTCAGCACCTCCCTGTCTGATAAACCCTCAGCGTTGCTCAGAGTCATCTGGACAGACAAGATTCTGCCTTCGGGCCTGAGAAAGCCTGGCTGGTACACTATCCATCCCTATGATAGCTATTTGGGCTTTCTGTTTGTTTGTTTTTAATTTTAAGACAGAGTCTCGGTCTGTCACCAAGGCTGGAGTACAGTGGTGCCATCTCAGCTCACTGCAGCCTCGACCTCCCAGGTTCAAGCGATTCTCTTGCCTCAGCCTCACAAGTAGCTGGGACTACAGGTGCCTGCCACCATGCCCGGCTATTTTTTTATATTTTTAGTAGAGATGGGGTTTCACCGTGTTAGCCAGGATGGCCTCTATCTCCTGACCTCGTGATCCGCCAGCCTCAGCCTCCCAAAGTGCTGGGATTATGGGCATGAGCCACCGTGCCCAACCGGGGGTATTTGTTTTTTTTTAACGTTGATAATTTAAGGATGACTGAAGGCTGATGGGAAGATCCAAAGGGCGAAGAAGATCAACGATGCAGGAGAAAGGGGCAGGGATTATTGAAGCAACGAGCTGAGTAGAAAAGAGAGGCCAGGATTGGGGGCTCTCTCACTGACCAGTTCTGTGGGATTTGCTGGGACCTCTTCCTATCATGTCACAGAGGCTTCAGGAGAAAGAACTTTTGTCACAAGAGATCAGCTTGAGCCACAACCCTGCCTAAGTCCCTTAGCTGATTCTCATGGGGGAGACAACAAGAGAGAGAGGAAATGGAAAGGAAAGGACTCTCTGAGATTCTCTAAATTGTGGGGAAATGCAGGTTATTTTATTTTATTTTAATAAAATTTTATTGGCCAGGTGTGGTGGCTCACACCTGTAATCCCAGCGCTTAGGGAGGCTGAGTCAGGCAGATGGCTTGAGCCCAGGAGTTCAAGACCAGCCTGGGTAACATAGCAAAACACTGTCTCTATAAAAAATACAAAAATTAGCTGGTGTGGTGGCACATGCCTGTGGTCCCAAGTGGCTGAGGTGGGAAAATTGCTTGAGCCCTCGAGGTTGAGGCTGCAGTGAACCGTGATGGTGCCACTGCACTCCAGCTCTAAAAAAAAAAAAAAAAAAAAAAAAAAAAAAGAGAATGTATTGATTTTTTTTTCTTTTTTCTGAGATGGAGTCTCACTCTGTTGCCCAGGCTGGAGTACAGTGGTGCGATCTTGGCTCACTGCAACCCCCACCTCCCAGGTTCAAGCAATTCTTCTGCCTCAGCCTCCCGAGTAGCTGGGATTACAGGTGTATGCCACCATACCCAGCTAATTTTTTGTATTTTTAGTAAAGATGGTGTTTCACCATGTTGGCCAGGCTGGTCTCGAACTCCTGACCTCAGGTGATCCACCTGCCTTGGCCTCCCAAAGTGCTGGGATTACAGGTGTGAACCACCATGGCCAGCCCTTCTTTCCATTTTTTGACATAGTGTTCTGGACCTTACTTTCACTTTATATAATTTAGAGGTTGTTCTCTATGAGTATATAGCAAGCTCTCTGATTATTTTTCTTCCTTTTTTTTTTAAACTGCTGCATAGTATTCCACTGAAATGGATCTCCCTGATTTATTTAGCTGATCTCCTACTGATGAACATTTGGCTCATTTCTGATCTTCTACTACTGTAAACAATGGTGCAGTGAATATCCTTGTGCATAAATTATTTCACACATGTAAAAACATATCTGTTAGATACATTCCTAGGAGTAGAAGTACTAGCTAAGAGGCATATTTTATTTGCATTTTCTTTGCATTTGTTTGTTTGTTTTTTGAGACACAGTCTCACTCTGTCACCCAGGCTGGAGTGCAGTGGCACAGCCACGGCTCATTGCAGCCTTGACCTTCTGGGCTCAAGCAATTCTCCTGCCTCAACCACCTGAGTAGCTGGGACTACAGGCATGCATCACCATGCCCAGCTAATTTTTTTGATATTTTGTAGGACGGGGTCTCACTATGTTACTCAGGTTGGTCTTGAACTCCTGGGCTCCAGGGATCCTCCCTCCTCAGCCTCTCAAAGTGCTGGGATTACAGCGTCAGCCACCATGCCTGGCCTCATATTTGCACTTTCAACTTTTATAGATTTATTTAAGTTATGCTCTATAGCAACTGGGGTTTTGTGCAAGAACCGGAAACCACTTTAGGTAGTTCAAGCAGGAGATTTAATGGAGGAAATTAGGTGTTCACAAAATTGCTGAAATGACTGTAGGAGGGGCTTTGGCCTGGGCCTCCAAGAGGTCAATACACAGGTAACTTTCTGGGGAAGCCACTCCTCTGCGATCACTACTGGAACTGCAGCCAGAAGTTAGGATCAAAATGTCACTACTGACACCTAGGATGCCAGATAATGGACTCTGAATATGCTGCAGAAAAATCTCAGGTCTCCACAACCCTCCTTGACAGCAGAGATAGCCAAAAGTACAGAGAAAATGGCCTTTGTCTTTCCATCACCTACCCCGTGTCTCATTAATTCTTCTAACTAGTAGGACCTAATTTCTATCCAAAACTCTAGCTGCAAGGGAGTCTGGGACGTGTAGGTTTAGCTTTCCAATGTCTCCACCTAGAAGAGGGTGGAATGAGTCAGATTGAGAGAGCCAGTCCACAGTACTCTCTACACCCTCCATAAAAGGGGTACCAAATTACACTACCACCAACATGGGATCCTGTCAACTCTTTGATTTGCTAATCCAAAACATGGAAAACAGTACCTTATTGTTTTAATTAACATTTCTCTTATTATGAGAGGTTGAGTATCTTATCTTACAAATCATCAAAAAATATATCTCTGTGAATAGAATCCAATGGGAGTGCTGCCCCCTGGAGTTGTGCAGCATGGTGACCCTGTAATATGAATAAATGCCATTTAAATGTCTTTTTTATGTATGAATTCTGTATGTCTTTTGTCCACAGATGGTCTTTTAGTTTCCACCATGATATATGTAACATACATGGAGTCTGTATAATGGTACAGTTTTCTAAACCTAGAGTTTAGCTAGTGATCCCACAATTTTTTTCCCTTTGGGTCATTTCTCCCCAGGATATAGTCCCAGTGAGGGGTAGGGAGGGACAGCCTGTACTTGAAATGTCACAAGCATGTCAAATTCTGGAGGTCTAGAACTTTGAAATTAAACTACACTCAAAGTGTCTCTCCAATGCCAGTTTACACAAAATTCTAGTTTGCCTCCTGCCTGAAGATTTAATTATGAATCATGCTGGATGGAGGAGTGAGGACACTGTGTGCCTAGTGAGCTGGGCGGTCATTCCTGCCTGCTGGGCTTTATGTTCCTGTGGTTTATAATGTCTTCTCCAGTGAATAATAACCTCGGGTTCATGCCAGGCCTTTTGGTCTTTGTTGATGATCTATAGGGACTGGAAGCCTGAGATCTCAAATTCAAGAACAGGCCTTTTAAGCCTGGTCAATCAATCAGGCTGCATAGTCAGAGCCACAGATAGTACAAGCTGCCAAGCTGCTGATGTAGAAAAAGACCCAAGTACTCAAAGGAACACACCATTCGCCAGAAAGTATGGGGTTGATTTTTTTTTTTCTCTTGAAATTGTTCAGTTGCTAGCAGGCTTCAGGTGTCAGTGGCAAGGCCAGCCAACAAGGAGAGCACTTATGGGCTTTCCCATAAACCCCAATCTGATGCACCAAATTTTGCCATTAGGTATTCACTCCTTTGGCTTAAACATTCCCCCATCAACCCAGCACTCCCTCCTGACCTGCTGATTATTTTCCACTTGGTCAAGCTGGAAGTGTTCTGGTCATTTTTGATCCTCTCCTCTTCTCCTCCTCCTGTCCCAATCCAATTAATCATGATGCCCACTGAATTATTCCTTCAGGGTACCTGGGGAAGACATGCTGGAGTCGTAAAGTACCGGCTATGACCCTGAGCAAGTGCTTCCAATTCTCTCTCAGCCTCGGTTTCTTCACCTGTAAGGGAGAGCTAACAATATCCTACCTCACAAGGTTTTTGTGAGGATTAAAAATAATACATGGAGGCTGGGCACGGTGGCTCATGCCTGTAATCCCAGCACTTTGGGAGGCTGAGGTGGGCAGATCACAAGGTCAGGATTTCGAGACCAGCCTGACCAACATGGTGAAACCCTGTCTCTACTAAAAATACAAAAATTAGCTGGGCATGGTGGCATGCATCTGTAATCCTAGCTATTCAGGAGGCTGAGGCAGGAGAATCGCTTGAATCCGGGAGGCAGAAGTTGCAGTGAGCCAAGATCCTGCCACTGCACTCCAGCTTGGGGGACAGAGTGAGACTCTGTCTCAAAATAAATAAATAAATAAATAAATAAATATTTAAAAAACCACATGGTTTTATTAAAAACAAAACATGCACACATATACCCCAACACTTCCCCAGAAGCCTCTTCAGCTAACTAGTGTCAAGCCTTGTGACTTACAAGACCACATAGATTATATTTTAAAACACACACAATACTAATAATACATGGTTTTATAAAAGTGAGGTCACAGCCCATGTATAAAACACAGATATTTGAGAAAAGAAAAAGAAAACCCAACAACAACAAAATAGATATGTGGCCCAAGTTGATACTTTCCTTTCTAGTCCTTTCTTTCATGATCTAACCCTACGTTCTTGCTTCATTTCTGCCACAGCTTCTTTCTTTCTTTTTTTTTTTTTTTTTTTTGAGACAGGGTCTTACTTCCATCACCCAGGCTAGAGTGCAGTGATTCAATCTCAGCTCACTGCTGCCTTGACCTCCCAGGCTCAGGGGATTCTCCCATCTCAGTAGGTGTAGCTGGCACCACAGGCGCGTGCCACCATGCCCAGCTAATTTTTTGGGATTTTTTTTTTTTTTGAGACAGAGTTTCGTTCTTGTTGCCTAGGCTGGAGTGCAGTGGCGCCATCTCGGCTCACTGCAACTTCCGCCTCTCAGGTTCAAGCGATTCTCCTGCCTCAGCTTCCCAAGTAGCTGGGATTACAGGCATGCACCACCGCGCCCGGCTAATTTTGTGTTTTTAGTAGAGATGGGGTTTCTCCATATTGGTCAGGCTGGTCTCGAACTCCTGACCTCAGGTGATCCGCCTGCCTCCGCCTCCCAAAGTGCTGGGATTACAGGCTTGAGCCACTGCGCCCGGCCTTTTTTGTATTTTTTGTAGGGACAGAATTTTGCCATGTTGCCCAGGCTGATTCTGAACTCCTGGGTGCAAGTGAGCCTCCCGCTTCAGCCTCCCAAAGTGCTGAGATTATAGGCATGAGCCACCGTGCCTGGCCTTGCAACAACTTCTTAACTGTCCTTGCAATGACTAGTTCGTTTCCCTGTCCCACCTTCAGTTTACCTCCTCTTCAAAACATCCTCCTTCTCACTGCTGCTTGCTCAGCTTAATTTTGCTAAAACGCTTCTCAGATGATGAACTCCTCGTGTTCAACAATCTTCGATGGTCCCCATTGTCTTTGGGTATTGAGTCCAGATTCTTTAGCCTGGTGATGAAGGCTTTCCTGAACTGAACCAAACCTAGTCCAATTAACAACCACCTCCCGGTAGGACGCGGTGGCTCACACCTGTAATCCCAGCACTTTGGGAGGCTGAGGCGGGTGGATCACCTGAGGTCAGGAGTTTGAGACCAGCCTGGCAAACATGGAGAAACCCCATCTCTACTAAAAATACAAAAATTAGCCAGGTGTGGTGGCGCACGCTTGTAATCCCAGCTACTTGGGAGGCTGAGGCAGGAGAATCACTTGAGCCCAGGAGGCGGAGGTTGCAGTGAGCTGAGATTATGCCATTGCACTCCAGCCTGGGCAACAAGAGTGAAACTCCGTCTCAAAAAAACAAAAAACAACCACCTCCCAAGTGCTCCCAGTGTGCCCACCTCAGGCTTGACTTAGGGATGGGGATTTGGCAATGAGTAAGATTCAGTCCCCTCCACTAACTAGTGGAGAGACAGACAGATGCATAGACATTTTCTTTTTATTTTAATCTTTTTTATTTTTTGCCTTTTATTTTTTAATTTTATTTTTTGAGACAGGGTCTTACTCTGTCACCCAGGCTGGAGTGCAGTCGTGCAATCACAGTGCAATCCTGGCTCACTACAGGCCCAAACTCTTGGGCTCAGGCGATCCTTGAATCTCATCCTCCTGAGTAGCTGGGCCCACAGGCATGTGCTACCATACCTAGCTAATTTTTTGAGACCCTATCTCAAAAAAAAAAAAAAAAAAGGCACATCTGTTTTAATTCCAAATACGTCTAGAAACTGGCTATTTCTTATTTCTTTTCTTTTCTTTTTCTGAGATGGAGTCTTGCTCTGTCACCCCGGCTGGAGTGCAGTGGCGCCATCTCGGCTTACCACAATCTCCGCCTCCTGAGTTCAAGCGATTCTCTTGCCTCAGCCTCCCAAGTAGCTGGGATCACAGGTGTGTGCCACCATACCCAGCTACTTTTTTTTTTTTTTTTGAGATGGAGTTTTGCTCTGTTGCCCAGGCTGGAGTGCAGTGGTGCGATCTTGGCTCACTGCAACCTCCGCCTCCCGGGTTCAAGCCATTCTTCTGCCTCAGCCTCCCGAGTAGCTGGGACTACAGGTATGTGCCACCACACCTGGCTAATTTTTGTATTATTAGTACAGACGGGGTTTCACCATGTTGGCCAGGCTGGTCTCGAACTCTGGACCTCATGATCCACCTACCTCGGCCTCCCAAAGTGCTGGGATTACAGGCATAAGCCACTGCGCCCGGCCCTTTTTTTTTTTTTTTTTTGTATTATTAATAGAGACAGTGTTTCACCATGTTGGCCATGCTGGTCTCGAACTCCTGACCTCAAACGATCTGCCCACCTCAGCCTCCCAAAGTGCTGGGATTACAGGAATGAGCCACTTCTCCCAGCCTTTTTTTTTTTCTTTTTTTTCTTTTTTTTTGAGACGGAGTCTTGCTCTGTCGCTCTGGAGTGCACTGGTACAATCTCGGCTCACTGCAACCTCCGCCTCCTGGGTTCAAGTGATTCTCCTGCCTCAGCCTCCTGAGTAGCTGGGATTACAGGCGGGCACCACCACACCCAGCTAATTTTTGTATTTTTTGTAGAGATGGGTTTTCACCATGTTGGCCAGGCTGGTCTCAAACTCCTGACCTCAAGTGATCCGCCTGCCTTGGCCTCCCAAAGTGCTGGGATTACAGGCATGAGCAGCAGCACCTGGCCAGAATTTGGCTATTTCTGACCACCTTGGCCCAAACCACTGTCATCTCTCATCTGGATTATTGCAAGAGTCTCTGCTCCACTTCCTCTGCACCTGCTGCCTTAGAGCCTATCCTTCTCACAGATGCCAGAACAATCTCTTAAAAATTGAAAATAAGATCCTGTCACCCCCCAGCATAAAATTATTCAATGGCGTTCCATTTCTCATAGAAATAATCCATTCCCTCTATTTTTTTTTTTTTTTTTTTTTTTTGAGACGGAGTCTCACTCTGTCACCCAGGCTGGAGTGCAGTGGCGCGATCTCGGCTCACTGCAAGCTCCGCCTCCCGGGTTCACGCCATTCTCCTGCCTCAGCCTCCCAAGTAGCTGGGACTACAGTTGCCCGCTACCATGCCCGGCTAATTTTTGTATTTTTTTTTTTTAATAGAGACGGGGTTTCACCATGTTAGCTAGGATGGTCTCGAATTCCTGACCTCGTGATCCGCCCGCCTCGGCCTCCCAAAGTGCTGGGATTACAGGCGTGAGCCACCACACCTGGCTCATTCCCTCTATTTTGTTCCTCAATTGGTCTCAATTCTTTCACCCTCAGGGTCTCTGCGCTTGCTGTTCTCTCTGCCTGGTCCATTCTTATTCTGCAGCTCATGAGTTTGCAAATTATAGCTTGTGCACCAAATCTTACCTTCTGTCTGTTTTCATACTGCCCATGACCTACAAGTGGTTTTTACATTTTTCTTTTTTTTGAGATAGGGTCTTGCTTGTTGCCCAGGCTGGAGTACAATGGAGTGATCATGGCTCACTATAACCTTGAACTCCGGGGTTCAGGGGAATCTCCAGCCTGAGCCTCCTGAGTAGGGACTACAGGCACATGCCACCACACCTGGCTATTACTTTTCTTAGGTGGGGTCTTGCTGTGTTGCCCAGGCAGGCCTCAAACTCCTGGCCTCATGCAATCCTCCCACTTTGGCCTCCCAGAGTCTTGGAATTATAGTCGTGAGCCACCATGCCCAACCAGTTTTTACATTTTTAAGTAATTAGAAAAAATAAAAATAAAAAAGACCAATATTTCAGATACATGAAAATCATATAAAATTCAAATTTTAGTACTGTATCCATCAACAAAGTTTTGTTGGAACACAGCCTCACTCATTCATTCATGTATCGTCTACAGATGCTTTCTAAAAGTAACAGCAAAAGTAAACTAAAGAGGCAAAGATGGCATGGCCCATAAAGCCTAAAATATTTACTAACTGGCCCATTAGAGAAAACATTTGTCCTGCTCTGGTTCTCCTGGGCAGCTCTTCACCCTTCAGGTATCAATTTCAAAAAATCTCCTTCCCATTCAATCTCATCCCACCCTCCATTACTCTTGATCTCAACTCTGTATCTTCTTCCCAGCAAATACCACAATCTGTACTTACTTCTTTGTTTTCCTATTTTGTTTTATTTTATTTTATTTTGAGACAGAGCCTTGCTCTTTCACCCAGGCTAGAGTGCAGTGGTGTGGTCACAGCTAATGGCAGCCTCAACCTCCTGGGCTCAAATGATCCTCCTACCTCAGCCTGCTGAGTAGCTGGGACCACAGGTGTGCCCCACCACATGCGGCTAATTTTTGTATGTTTTTGTAGAGACGGGTTTTGCCATTTTGCCCAGGCCGATCTCAAACTCCTGGCTCAAGCCATCTACCGGTCTCAGCCTCCTGAGTAGCTGGGACTACAGGCGCACACCACTGTACCCAGCCTTAATCTTTTGTAGAGACAGGCTATCACTGTGTTGCCTAGGCTGGTCTCAAACTCCTGGCTTTAAATGATCCTCTTGTCATGGACTCCCAAAGCGCTGGCATTAGACGCATGAGCCACTGCACCCAGCCTCCTGTTTGCTACTTATATCCTCCACAAGACTGAATACTCCATGAATATATCTCCAGTGTCTGGCAGAATGCCTGGGCATGGTAGGCCCCTAATACATATTTAACAAATATTTATCTAAATATTTAACAAATATTTATCTAAATATTTAACAAATATTTATCTAAATATTTAACAAATATTTATCTAAATATTTAACAAATATTTATCTAAATATTTAACAAATATTTATCTAAATATTTAACAAATATTTATCTAAATATTTAACAAATATTTATCTAAATATTTAACAAATATTTATCTAAATATTTAACAAATATTTATCTAAATATTTAACAAATATTTATCTAAATATTTAACAAATATTTATCTAAATATTTAACAAATATTTATCTAAATATTTAACAAATATTTATCTAAATATTTAACAAATATTTAACATATTATTTAAATAAATATAAATAAGATGAAATTTGCAAGCGTCGTAGATTGAATTATTATTGTTACAATTCCGTCCCTTTAAAGGACCCATATTCTCAGCCAGGTGCAGTGGCTCACACCTGTAATCCCAGCACTTTGGAAGGCCAAGGCAGGAGGATTGCTTGGGCCCAGGAGTTCGAGACCAGCCTGGCAACATAGGTCTGGCAACATAGCAAGACTATTTCTTAAAAAAAAAAAGAACCCATATTCCCAAAGTGCCACCCTCCCCTCTGACTGGCTGTCCAGTTGGGAGGTGCCTCCATCACTCGGTTTCTCTCTTTTTTTTTTTTTTTTTTTTTGAGATGGAGTCTTGCTCTGTTGCCCAGGCTGGAATGCAGTGGTGCAATCTCGGCTCACTGCAACCTCCGCATCCCGGGTTCACGCCATTCTCCTGACTCAGCCTCCTGAGTAGCTGGGACTAAAGGCGCCCGCCACCACGCCCGGCTGATTTTTTGTATTTTTAGTAGAGACAGGGTTTCATCATGTTAGCCAGGCTGGTCTCGAACTCCTGCCCTCAGGTGATCCACCTGCCTCAGCCTCCCAAAGTGCTGGGATTACAGGCATGAGCCACCATGCCCGGCCTTATCATTCAGTTTCTGAATGCCTATATTTTGCCCCCAGTAGGTTCACAGGGCATCTTTCTGGACTCTGCTTCCCACATCTTAACTTCTTAAGCAGCTGCCATTTACTAACTAGCTGTGAGATCCAAAGCAAATTATCACTCTACCTCGGTATCCTCATCTGTAGGATGGGGACAATAGAAGTCCCTACCTCATAAGGTTGTGAGGATTAAATTAAAATGCTTAGTGCATGGTAAGCATTAAATAGATGTTTGCTAAGTTGGTTCTTTCCTTCCCACCAGAGATCTTCTCAACAGCATTTTACCTAGTCTCTATAAGGGGCTGGATTTGTTAGCTATTACTCTATAATAAACCGCCCCCAAAACCCAGTGGCTTAAAACTATTGCTCAAGAGTCTGTGGGTCAGCTGGGTTGTTCTACTGATTTCAGCAGGCTTGGCCCACCTCCACGGGGCTCACACATGAATCAACAGTCAGCTGCCAGGTCCCAGGTCAGTTGGTGGCTGGCAGGTCTGGGGTGGCCTCACTCATATGTCTGGCTGTTGGCTGCCTGTTACCTGGGCAACAGGGATGACTGGGCCACGATGCTCCCGCCATCTAGCCTGGGCTTGTTTTCACAGCAGAGGCAGTCTCCCAAGAGAAGAGCAGACGTGTGCAAGGCCCAAGTGTGGACACCATCATTTTTGCTGCATTATGTTGGCCAAAGCAAGGCCAACCCATATTCTAGGGTTGGAGAAACAGATGACACCATTTAGATAGGAGAGGCTGCAAAGTCTTATTACAAAGGATGAAGATACAGTGAGGGGTAAGGGTGGCCAGTTTTGATATCAAACTACTACCAGAGCGTGGGTGCCTGGGCTTAGGGAGTTTAGAATAGACTTGTCAGTTGCAGAAGCAGGAGTATCATCTCCCAACTTTGAGGCCAGATCCAGCTGGATTCAAATCCCAGCTCCACCAACTACCTGTGAGACCTGTGGGTGAGTTACTGTATCTCTTGAGCTTCAGTTTCCACCCAGGGTTGTTGTGATCAGAGGAAGTAGAGTGTGGAAGGGGCTGAGCACACTGCCTGGCTCACACAGAGCGAATATACAGCAAATAGAGATCATAGCATTCTTACATACGAGGTGCATCCTGGGCTCTGCTGTTTCCCGCCTCTGCTTCCCCAGGTGGAGAAGAAGGAAAACAGGCCAGGCAGGAGAGTGATTTCAGATGGAGAACCATGAATTGGCAATTACAGAGTAAGAGCTTAATTATAGTTCTTTGGGAAAAGAAGTGAGGAATGCAATCTGGTGGGCAGAGGGGAGGGGTCTGGGGTGGAGGAGGAGAGGGGAAAGTAAGAGGTGGAGGGGGAAGGGGCAGAGAGAGGGAAGAGACAGGGAGGCCCAAGAGGGAAAAACTGAGCCACTGGAAAGGAGTCTCCCCCTCCCCTAAAATAATGTCAATGACATTTTGTTGTTGCTCTGATTACAAGAGTACTGTGTGCTCACTCCATGGTATTTGGAAAATGCATAGACTGTTTCACCCATAATCCCACCAAGCAGAAATAAGCATAGCTGATATTTACATGCCCCTAGGGTGTGTCAACGTTGTCACAAATCTTTTACACTTTAATGTCTCCTGTGAAGACCCCATGAGTAGACATTGCTATCCCCATTGCACAGGGGAGGTAAGGAAATGGGGCACAGAAGATGTAAGTAACTTGTCCAGTGTGACACGTCTAGTAAATAGCATGTCCACATTCAAATCCAAGCTACCTAGTGCCAGGCCTCACATGTCACCAAGGGGTATATGTCCCTCTATACATTTTTCTCTTTCAGGAAAGGGTACCACTATTTTATTACGTTTTAAAAGGTTATTTGGCCGGGCCCAGTGGCTCACGCCTGTAATCCCAGCACTTTGGGAGGCCAAGACAGGCAGATCACCTGAGGTCAGGAGTTCGAGACCAGCCTGACCAACATGGAGAAACCCCGTCTCTACTAAAAATACAAAATTAGCCAGGTGTGATGGTGCATGCCTGTAATCCCAGCTACTCGGGAGGCTAGCGCAGGAGAATCGCTTGGAACCGGGAGGCAGAGGTTGCAGTGAGCCGAGATCACACCATTGCACTCCAGCCTGGGCAACAAAAGCAAAACTCCGTCTCAAAAAAAAAAAATGTTATTTGGAAAATTTGTACTGCCTTTTTCCAATTTTAGTTTTTAGTACTAATTCTAGAAGAGTGAAAATTTGTTTCATTATTTGTTTATTTATTTTTGAGATGGAGTTTCACTCTTGTTGCCCAGACTGGATTGCAATGGCATGGTCTTGGTTCACTGCAACCTCCGCCTCCTGGGTTCAAGCGATTCTCCTGCCTCAGCCTCCCAAGTAGCTGGGACTACAAGTGCCCACCACCATGCCTAATTTTTGTATTTTTAGTAGAGAGGGGGTTTCACCATGTTGGCCAGGCTGGTCTCGAACTCCTGACCTCAAGTGATCCACCTGCCTCGACCTCCCAAAGTGTTGGGATTACAGGTATGAGCCTCCGTGCCCGGCCCAGAGTGAAAATTTGTGTATCTGTCTTCCTTTCCTCCCTTTTTTGGTAATTTGTAATTTTGATATAATTTTAAGTGGAAACCAAAATCACAAGAATAGTACAAGAAACTCCAGAAACTCTACCCACATTAACCAGTTGTTGACCATTTGCTTCATAATTTTCTCCTCTATATGATATGGTTAAGCTTCATGTCCCTACCCAAATCTCATCTTGATTTGTAATCCCCATAATTCCCATAATCCCCACATATCAAGGGAGAGACCAGATGGAGGTAATTGAATCATGGGGGCGGTTTCCCCCATGCTGTTCTCGTGATAGTGAGTGAATTCTCAAGAGATGTGATGGTTTTATAAGGGGCTTTTCCCCATCGCATTCACTCGGCACTTCTCCTTCCTGCCACCTTGTGAAGAAGGTGCTTTGCTTCCCCTTCACCTTCGGCCATGATGGTAAATTTCCTGAGGCGTCCCCAGCCATGCTGAACTGTAAGTCAATTAAATCTCTTTCCTTTATAAATTACCCAGTCTCGGGGAGTTTTTGTTTGTTTGTTTTTGTTTTTTTTTTGAGATGAGGTTCGCTCTTGTTGCCCAGGCTGGAGTGCAATAGTACCATCTCGGCTCACTGCTACCTCTGCCTCCCGGGTTCAAGCAATTCTCTGCCTCAGCCTCCCCAGTAGCTGGGATTACCACACCCGGCTAATTTTTGTATATTTAGTAGAGACAGGGTTTCACCCTCTTGACTAGGCTGGTCTTGAACTCTTGACCTCGTGATCCATCTGCCTCGGCCTCCCAAAGTGCTGGGATTACAGGCATGAGCCACTGCGCCCAGCCTGGGCAGTTCTTTATAGCAGTATGAAAATGGACTAAAACAATATATAAATATTTACCTATATATGGATCTATCTGTGTATATGTGTATGTATATGTATTTTTCTGAACCATTTGAGATTAAATTAGAGACATCATGCCCTAAATATTCCAGCATGTAGTTCCTAAAAACAAAGACATTCCCATATATAACCACAGTATAATTATTAAACTCGGGACTTTTTTTTTTTTTTTTTTTTTTTTTGAGACGGAGTCTCACTCTGTTGCCCAGGCTGGAGTGCAGTGGCACAATCTCGGCTCACTGCAAGCTCTGCCTCCTGGGTTCATGCCATTCTCCTGCCTCAGCCTCCCAAGTAGCTGGGACTACAAGCGCCTGCCACCATGCCTGGCTAATTTTTTGTATTTTTAGTAGAGACAGGGTTTCACTGTGTTAGCCAGGATGGTCTCAATTTCCTGACCTCGTGATCCGCCCGCCTCGGCCTCCCAAAGTGCTGGGATTACAGGCTTGAGCCACCGTGCCTGGCCGCAAGGGACTTTTTAAATTATTATTATTTTGAGATAGAGTTTCGCTCTTGTTGCCCAGGCTGGAGTGCAATGGCATGATCTTGGCTCACCACAACCTCTGCCTCCTGGGTTCACGCAATTCTCCTGCCTCAGCCTCCCAAGTAGCTGGAATTACAGGCATGTGCCAACACGCCCAGCTAATTTTGTATTTTTAGTAGAGACGGGGTTTCACCATGTTGGTCAGGCTGGTCTTGAACTCCCGACCTCAGGTGATCTGCCTGCCTCGGCCTCCCAAAGTGCTGGGATTACAGGTGTGAGCCACCACGCCCCACCAAACTCAGGACATTTATTTAACATTGCAACAATACTATTATCAAATCTATAGCCTGTATTTAAATTAATCAATTACCAGTGTATATATGTTTTTCCCAGTTCAGGATCTAATCCAGGATCCTGCACTGTTGCATTTAATTGTCATAGCTCTTATGCCTTCTTTAAACTGAAATAGCTTGTCAGCCTTCCTTTGTCTTTCTTGACCTTGACATTGATATGGGCTTGTTATTTTGTAAAATGTTCCTCAATTTAGGTTCCTTCCATTATTTTTTCCTATGCAAATGTATACACACATATTTTTTAAAATTAGCATCAGGCCAGGTGTGGTGTCTCATGCCTATAATCCCAGCACTTTGGTAGGCCAAGGCGGGAGGATCCCAGGAGTTCAAGACCAGCCTGGACAACATAGCAAGACCTTGTCTCTACCAAGTACAAAACAAAATAAGGTAAAAAAACAACATTTATTATAAAAAGCTAGGATAATCAAAATATATAAAGGATAAAGAAGGTACCCACCAATTTAACAAATCAAATATTACATATATTCCTCCCCTTTTGTTTCCATGTACATTTTACTCTTTAATACTTTTATATTATTTTAGTGTTGAGGAAAGAAATGAGAATATATATATATGTTTTTTCTCCAGTCAATTTACTGAATGTCCATGTTTTCCATTGCTTTGTGATGTTTCTTATATACCCTACTGAGGTCATATGTAATAGGACATGTTTAAGTATTTCTATTTTTTCCCAGTAATTTGTGTGTTTATTCCTGCATCAGATCCACATTTATTAACTATACTTTTAATTAAAACATAAAAGCTAATTTAAATAAATTTCCATCATCCCCCCAAAAAGCTTCGTGTCCATTTACAGTCACTTTCCATTGTCTCCTCAGCCCAAGGGAACCACTAATTTATATTCTCTTTCTATGGATTTGCTTATTCTGAACATTTCATGTAAGTAAGAATCATATAATATGTGGCCTTTTGCATTTGGCTTCTCTTTTTTTTTCTTTCTTCTTTCTTCTTTTTTTTTTTTTTTTTTTGAGATGAGGTCTTGCTGTGTTGCCCAGGTTGGTCTCAAACTCCTGGGTTCAAGCAATCCTCCCATCTCAGCCTCCTAAACTGCTGAGATTACAGCCATGACCCACCACACCCAGCTGGCTTCTTTTTCTTTTTTTTTTTTTTTTTTGAGACGGAGTCTTGCTCTGTCACCCAGGCTGGAGTGCAGTGGCCTGATCTCGGTTCACTGCAACCTCCGCCTCCTGGGTTCACGCCATTCTCCTGCCTTAGCCTCCCGAGTAGCCCGGACTACAGGCGCCTGCCACCACACCCTGCTAACTTTGTATTTTTAGTAGAGACAGGGTTTCACTGTGTTAGCCAGGATGGTCTCGATCGCCTGACCTCGTGATCCGCCCTCCTCGGCCTCCCAAAGTGCTGGGATTACAGGCGGGAGCCACCACGCCCAGCCTTGGCTTCTTTTTCTTAATGTTTCCAAGGTTCATCCATGTCGTAGCATGGATCAGTGCTTCATTACTTTTTATGGCCAAACAATATTCCATTGTATAGATCTAGATGTTTTATTAATATTTGTCCATTCATTAGTTGAGGGGCATATGGGTTGTTTCGACTTTTTGGCTGTTATGAATAATGTTGCTGTGAACACTTGTGTACAAGTTTCTGTGTGGACACGTGCTTCATTTCTCTTGGGTAGATACCTAGGTGTGGAATTGCTGGGTTGTACGGTATCCTTAACCATGTGGAGAACTGCCAGAATGATTTCCAAAGCATCTACACCATTTTGTATTCCCATAAGCAGTGTATGCAGTTCTCTTCAGAACACCTCTTCTTTTTTTTTTTTTTTTTTTTGAGACAGAGTCTCACTGTGTACCCAGGCTGGAGTGCAATGGCTCAATCATAGCTCGCTGCAGCCTCAGTCTCCTGGGCTCAAATGATCTCCCACCTCAGCCTCCCCAGTAGCTGGGACCACAGGTAGGAGCCACCACACCCAGCTAATTTTTTGATTTTTTGTAAAGATGAGGTCTTACTATGTTACCCAGGCTGGTCTTGAACTCCGGGCTCAAGGGCTACTCCCACCTTGGCCTCCCAAAGTGTTAGGATTACAGGTGTGAGTCACCACGCTTAGCTTAGGACACTTTTATAAACATAAACTCACAACAATAATCTTCATAACAACCCCAGAGATAGGCATCATTGCTGTAATCTTTCAGACGAGGACAATGATGGCAGAGAGGAGATGACACCAGCTATAAGGGTCGGGGCTTCAAGTCTGAGACTGCCTCATTTCCTGTGGGAAGCCTGACTTTTGAGCCAAAACAATAGGCTTTCAGGCTTTGAGAGGTGATGGAACAATGGGCAGAGAGGAGGAATCTGCAGGTCAAAGTCTTGGTGTGGAGATGGAAGCTCCTAGAGCATCAAAGCCACTTCTGTTTTTGTTTTATTGGGCAACAGTGGAGCCAGGTTCTGACTAATTAATGATAATCAAAGTGCTCTGACAAGAAGGAGAGTTCTGCAAATGCCAGCCATGAATTATTCATGGCCAGGTCTTCTTAACTGGGAGAGAGGAGGCTGCCTGGGAGTAGAAGAAAGCTAAGCTCTCACTTACCCTCAAGTTCGCATGAGCCTGAGCAGCCCCCACAGGACTCAGTTTCTCCATGCAGAAAATGGGGCCAGATGTGAGCTCTCATTTCTTCGTTTTTTTTTTTGTTTGTTTGTTTTTAATTTTTTTGAGATAGGGTCTTGCTCTAATGCCCAGGCTGGAGTGCAGTGGCACAGTCTCAGCTCATTGCAACCTTTGCCTCCCAGGCTCAACCTATCCTCCTGCCTCAGCCTCTCCAGTGTGAGGTGTGAGCTGGGACTACAGGTGCACACTATCATGCCCGGCTAATTTTTTTTTTTTTTTTTTTTTTTTTTTTTTTGTGTAGAGATGGGGTTTTGCTATGTTCCCCAGGCTGGTTTCCAACTCCAGCTCAAGCAGTTCACCCGCTTTGGCCTCCCAAAGTGCTGGGATTACAGGCATGAGTCACCATGCCTGGCCAGCTATCATTTCTCTCTCTTTTTTTTTTGAGACAGAGTCTCACTCTGTCGCCCAGGCTGGAGTGCAGTGGTGTGATCTCAGCTCACTGCAACCTCCGCCTCCTGGGTTCAAGCGATTCTCCTCCCTCAGCCTCCCGAGTAGCTGGGACTACAGGAGCGCACCACCACACCAGGCTAATTTTTGTATTTTTAGTAGAGACAGGGTTTCACCACATTGGCCAGGCTGGTCTCGAACTCCTGACCTCAAGTGATCCGCCCTCTTCGGCCTCCCAAAGTGCTGGGATTATAGGCGTGAGCCACTGCGCCTGGCCTCATTTCTTTATACTATCAGACCAGGACCTGCAGAGAAGGGCTGGTGACCTGGGTCCTGCTACCACTCAACTGGAGGCAGTGCACACCCAAGCTGCCCCTAGCAAGCGGCAAACAAAAACTAATAATACCAAAACATAGTTCAGGGGTTGGTAAGCTTTTTCTTTTCTTTTCTTTTCTTTTTTTTGAGATGTTGTCTTGCTCTGTCACCCAGGCTGGAGTGCAGTGGTGTGATTTCAGGTCACTGCAACCTCCCCATTCTGGGTTCAAGCGATTCTCCTGCCTCAGCCTCCCGAGTAGCTGGGATTATAGGCACGTGCCACCATGCCTGGCTAATTTTTGTATTTTTAGTAGAGATGGGGTTTCACCATGTTGGCCAGGCTGGTCTCGAACTCCTGACCTCAGGTGATCTACCCGCCTCAGCCTCCCAAAAGTGCTGGGATTACAGGTGTGAGCCACCGTGCCCGGCCTGGTAAGCCTTTTCTATCAAAGGCCAGGTAGTACATATTTTGGGCTTTGCAGGACATATGGTCTCTGTCACACTACCCAGCTCTGCCATTGTAGTGCAAAAGCGTCCATAGATAATCCATCAGCGAATGAATTCAGCCATCCAATGAAGCTTGGTGTACATTGACATTTGAATTCGATGTAATTTTCATGTGTCACAAAATATTATTCTCGTTTTTTTTTTTCCCCAACCATTTAAAAATGTAAAAACCATTTTTAGCTCCTGGAATGTGTAAAAACAAGTGTACCCTCAAAATGTTAAACATAATTACTATTCGACCCAGAATTTTCATTCCTAAATATATACCTAAAAGAAATGGCCTTGGCCGGGTGTGGTGGCTCACGCCTGTAATTCCAACACTTTGGGAGGCCGAGGCGGGCATATTACGAGGTCAGGAGATCAAGACCATCCTGGCTAACATGGTGAAACCCTGTCTCTACTAAAAATACAAAAAAAATCAGCCAGGTGTGGTGGCACGTGCCTGTAGTCCCAGCTACTCCGGAGGCTGAGGCAGGAGAATCGCTTAAACTCAGGCGGCAGAGGTTGCAGTGAGCCAAGACTGCGCCACTGCACAGCAGCCTGGGTGATAGACAGCCTGAGACAGACTCTGCCTCAAATAAAAAAAAAAAAAAGAAAGAAATGGCCAGGTGCGGTGGCTCATGCTTGTAATCCCAGCACTTTGGGAGGCCAAGCCGGGCAGATTGCCTGAGGTCAGGAGTTTAAGACCAGATATAAAGATATTTTTGGCCGGGCACGGTGGCTCATGCTTGTAATCCCAGTACTTTGGGAGGCTGAGGCGGGCGGATCACAAGGTCAGGAGATCGAGACCATCCTGGCTAACACAGTGAAACCCCGTCTCTACTAAAAATACCAAAAAAAAATTAGCTGGGCGTGGTGGCGGGCACCTGTAGTCCCAGCTACTCAGGACTCTGAGGCAGGAGAATGGTGTGAACCCGGAAGGTGGAGGTTGCAGTGAGCTGAGATCACGCCACTGCACTCCAGCCTGGGTGACAGAGCGAGACTCCGTCTCAAAAAAAAAAAAAAAAAAAGATTCTTTCTGGTTTTTCTGCAATTAATTTTAAGAGATCTACCCCAGTCACCTTCACAGTAGCGGCTCTGGATATATGAAAGTTGGGGGAAGCTGTGGAGGGGGACGCTATGAGAAAAGAGTCAGGAATGGGATGGGGTTTTGCTCACCTCAAGCCCTACTCCAGCCCCAAACCCCTCTCCTTTCATTCTCAAAGATATTAAGGAAATCAAGGTCAAATTGCCAGCTGTGTGGCCTTGGATTGATTCCTCACCCTGTGTGAGCCCTTTCCCATATATGTCATGTGGACTAAATTTCTGGAAAAGGCTTCCAGTCCTTTTCCTCCTTTCCTTCCTAGCACTGCTAAGCAAGACACAGGGAGTGACAGCTTTGCTTAGCAGTGCTGGGAAGGAAGGCAGAGAAAAGGAAGGTGGGGAGCATGGGGCGAGGAGGAGAAAGCTGTCATTGGAATGGCTGGTGGGTGTGGCAGAGGCAGCAGGTGGGACAGGTAGAGGGATTCGTCCCCTCCTGTCATTTTCTCTGCCCTGGAGCTTTGAGGCCATGATTACCCAATCTCTGGATGTAACTCTTAGAAAGGCTGTGCTGGGCTGAGCACTGGACATGGAGTCCAAAGACCTGCATTCTGCTCACACCTCACATTGGTCACCTGTGACCTTGCGCAAATTAGTTCTTCCTTTGAGCCTTGTCTTGCTCAGCTATGTAAGGAGTTAATGCTTGGCTGGTTGCAACAGTTCTAGGAAAGGTGCTTTGAAAAAGGCTAAGCACCTACAGTGCTGTCAGTGATGAACAAACTGTGGCACACCTTCCCTTGTTTTTTAAAATGTCTATCGAGATGTAATTCACATACCACACGATTCGCCCATTTTAAATGTGTGCTTCAGCAGGTTTTAGTCTATTCACAGAGTTGCACAACCATGATCACAATCAGTTTTAGAACATTTTCATCATCCCAAGAAGAAATCTGTACTCTTGCCAGGAGCAATGGCTCCCGCCTGTAGTCTCAGCGATGAGGGAGGATTGCTTAAGTCTGGGAGTTCAAGACCAGCGTAGGCAACATTAAAAACAAGAAAACCCAAAAAGAACCTTAGCTGGGTGTGGTGACACAAACCTGTAGTCCCAGCTATTCATGAGGCTGAGGCAGGACGATCGCTTGAGCCCGGGAGTTTGAAGCTGCAGTGAGCCATGATCCTACCCCTGTACTCTAACTTGGGCGACAGAGCAAGACGACTCAAAAAAACAAACAAAAAAACTAAAACGAAAAACAAAACCATACTCTTTATTTTATTTTTTAGAGATGGAGTCTAATTTTGTTGCCTAGATTGGTCTTCAACTCCTGAATTCAAGGGATCCTCTGCCTCAGCCTCCCAAAATGCTGCAATTTCAGGTGTGAGCTGCGCCCGGCCAAAACCCTACTCAGGAGCTCTCACCCTCCAGTCTTCTCAGGCCCCGGAGCCCCAGGCAAGTACTCATCTACTTTCTATCTCTATAGATGTGCTTATTCTGGACATTTCATAGAAATGAAATCATATAATGTGTTGTCTTTTGACTGACTTTTTTCATTTAGGATAATGCTTGCAAGTCTTGTCTATTTTGTAGCATATATAAACATTTAATTTTTTTTATAGTTGAATATGCCACATTTTATGTATCCATTCATCAGTTGATAGACATCTGTGGGCTTTTTTCCCTATTTTGGGGCTACTATGAATAGTGCTGCTATGAAGTTTTTGTGTAGACACGTTTTCATTTCTTTCTTTCTTTTTTTTTTTTTTTTGAGACAGAGTTTTGCTCTGTCGCTAGGCTGGAGTGCAATGGTGCCATATCAGCTCACTGCAACCTCTGGCTCCTGGGTTCAAGCGATTCTCCTGCCTCAGCCTCCCCAGTAGCTGGGACTACAGGCATGCGCCACCATGCCCGGCTAATTTTTTATATTTTAGTAGAGATGGGGTTTCACCATGTTGGCCAAGATGGTCTCGATCTCCTGACCTCGTGATCCACCCGTCTCGGCCTCCCAAAGTGCTGGGATTACAGGCATGAGCCGCCACGTCCAGCTTTTTTTTTTCTTTTGAGACAGAGTCTCACTCCGTCACCCAAGCTGGAGTGCAGTGGTGCGATCTTGGCTCACTGCAACCTCCACCTCCCTGGTTCAAGTGATTATCCTGTCTCAGCCTCCCAAGTAGCTGGGATTACAGGTGCATGCCACCACATCCAGTTAATTTTTGTATTTTTAGTAGAGACGGGGTTTCACCGAGTTGGCCCAGCTGGTCTTGAACTCAAGCGATTTGCCCGCCTCGGCCTCCCAAAGTGCTGGGATTATAGGAAATGAGCCACCGCACCCAGCCTATTTTATTTATTTATTTTATTAGAGGTAGGGTTTTGCCATATTGCCCAGGCTGTTCTCAGACTCCTGGGCACAAGTGATCTGCCTGCCTTGGTTTCCCAAAGAGTTGGGATTACAGGCATGCGCCACTGAGTGGGGCCATTCAGTTTTATTTTTAACTGACAAATAATAATTGTGTATATCTGTGGGGTATGAAATGATGTTTCAGTACCTGTATACATTATGGAATGATCAAATCAGGCTAATTAACATACTTATCACCTCATATACTTACTGTTTCTTTGCGATGAGAACATTTAAGATCTGTTCTTTTAGCTTTTTTGAAATATATATTATTATTAACTATCACCATGCTGTATACTAGATCACTAGAACCTGGTTGGAGAAAAATCAAAAGGATAGCTTGTGACCATGAAAATTACATGAATTCAAATTTTAACTTGAAATATCTACTATCTAGCCCTTTATAGTAAAACTCTGATGACTTCTGAACTAAACAAACACAGAGAAACTTGGATAGAATCTATAAGCGGAATGAAAAAAGCAAATAGAACAGTGATCTGTTGCTGCATAACAAATGATCCCAAAAGGTAATGGCTTAAAAACAGACATTTATTATCTCACATAGTTTCTATGGATAAAAAATTTGCAAGTGGCTTGACTGAGTGGTTTTGGCTTGGGGTCTCTGACAAGGTTATGGTTAAGATGTTGCTGGAGGCCGGGCATGGTGGCTTATGCCTGTAATCCCAGCACTTTGGGAGGCCGAGGCAGGTGGATCACGAGGTCAGGAGATCGAGACCATCCTGGCTAACAGGATGAAACCCTGTCTCTACTAAAAATACAAAAAAATTAGCCGGGCATGGTGGCGGGTGCCTGTAGTCCCAGCTACTCAGGAGGCTGAGGCAGGAGAATGGTGTGAACCCGGGAGGCGGAGCTTGCAGTGAGCGGAGATCGTGCCACTGCACTCCAGCCTGGGCGACAGAGCGAGACTCCATCTCAAACAAAAAAAAAAGATGTTGCTGGGACTGCAGTCATCTGAAGGCTTTACTGGGGCTGCACAATCACTTTCAAGATGGTTCACTTACATGGCTGGCAAGTTGGTGCTAGCTGTTTGCAGAAGGCCTCAATCCTGTTATACCTCTTCATAGGGCTACTTGAGTGTTCTCATAACATGACAGTTGAAGGTCGGGTGCCTCAACTCGTTGTTTTAATTTACAGTTCCCCCTGGGCATGGTGTCTCACACCTGTAATCCCAGCATTTTGGCAGTCCAAAGCAGGCGGGTCACCTGAGGTCAGGGGTTCAAGACCAGCCTGGCCAACATGGCGAAACCCCGTCTCTACTAAAAATACAAAAAAAATTAGCTGGGCATAGTGGCACACACCTGTAATCCCAGCTACTTGGGTGGCTGAGGCAGGAGAATTTCTTGAACCCAGGAGGCGGAGGTTGCAGTGAGCCGAGATCATGCCACTGCACTCCAGCCTGGGCGACAAAGTGAGACTTCATCTCAAAAAAAAAAAAGAAAGAAAAAAGAAAAAGAAAATGCTCAATTATTACCCAAATGGCAGTGCTGGTGGATTGCTCACTCCTCCCGCCAGCCTTCTGCCCTCTCTGGAGACAAACTGTGAATGCCCCCAGTTCTAGACTGTTGGTGGGAGAATCAAAACTCTCTTTAAAAATATTAATATATCCTATGACTCTAGGTCTTGTCACTTCTTTCACTTAGCTCTCTTAACCCTCATCAGCTCTGCCAGGTAGGAACTGAACTGTTATATCAAGATGCCCAGAGAAGTGAGTTGAATGGCATGTTTTTAACTGTTATACCTCCCTGTGAAGTCATTCATTCATTCGGCAAATACTTATTGAGGACCTACTATGTGCCAGTATTGGGGATATAGCAGTGAACAAAGCAGGCAAAGACTTTCGTCTTCATGAGGGGTGGGAGCAGTGAGATAAGACCCTAGACAGCCCACGCTTGGTATCTCATGCCTGTAGACCCAGCCACTTGGGAAGCTGAAGTGGGAGGATCACTTGAGCCTGGGAAGTGGAGGCTGCAGTTAGCCATGATTGCATCATGCACTCCAGCCTGGGTGACAGAGACCCTGTCTCAAAACAAGCAAACAAACAAAGACATTAGGCAGTAAACAGTAAATAAGATAGATACATTAAAGTGGGGTGAACAGATAGAAAGTTACTGTGTTATAAGGGGTAGTCAGGGAAGACTTACATTTGAACTGACACCTGAAAGTGGGGAAGGAGCCAGCCCAGCGAAGAGCAATTCTGTAAGTGAATACAGCAGTGAATAGAACAGTGAAAAATCCCTATGCTGACAGAGTTTACACACCACCAGAGGGAGACAGACAGCAAATATAATAAGTCAATTATATGACATGTCAGGAGGTGATAATTGCTATGGGGAAAAAGTAGAGCAGGGTAAGGGGGTGTATTAGTCTGTTTTCACACTGTTGATAAAGATATATCCAAGACTGGGTAATTTATAAAGAAAAATAGGTTTAATGGACTCACAGTTCCTCGTGGCTGGGGAGGCCTCATGATCATGGTGGAAGGTGAAAGGCATGTCTTACATGGCGGCAGGCAAGAGAGAGAATGAGAGCCAACAAAAAAGGAAACCCCTTATAAAACCATCAGATCTCGTGAGACTTATTCACTACCACAAGAATAGTATGGGGGAAACTGCCCCCATGATTCAATTATCTCCCACATGGTCCCTCCCATAACACATGGAAATTATGGGAGCTACAATTCAAGATGAGATTTGGGTGGGGACACAGCCAAACCATACTGGGGGCTAGACTAGTTAATGAAGGTCTTGCTGAAAAGCTGATATTTGAACAAAGACTTGAGGATGAGGGAGGAAACCATGCTCTTCATGGGGAACATTACGCGTGTCAGGAATAGCAAGTGCAAAGTTCCTGTGGCAGGAATGTGCCCAGGTTTTTTGAAAGGCAGCAGGGAGGCCTGGGTGACCCTGGGTTTATTGGGCTATTTGTCCCACATCTTAGATGTAGCTTGTTGCTTCTTGTGATGTCAGATTTGGTTTGGTTTTTTTTTTTTTGGGTGGCGGGGTTGGATAGAAGGAAGGACAGGAAACTGTCACAGATAGCCCAGTGATCAAACTTAGCGTCACAAAATAGCACAAACCTACCCAATGGGCCTCCTGATATGATATAATGGGAAATAGATAACAAGGCCTATGTAATATGGTTACCAAAACGACTTGCCTGAATATAACCATGAATAATAAACAGGACAAATTCCAATTGTGGGACCTTTTACAAGACAACTGCCTGGATTCTTTAAAAATGTCATGAAAGAAAAAATGATGTGAACATTGATTGGCTCTTGGATCACAAATAAAACCACAGCTACACAGGATATAAATGAGACAACGGGACATTTGAGTATGTATCGGTGAGATAATAGCGTTATATCAAGGTTGAGCTTTTTAAGTGTGATAATGGCATTGCGGTTGCCTACAGAGATACAGGCTGAAGTATTCAGGGATGAAGTGTCAGGATGTCTCCAAGTAACTCTCAAATGGTGCAGTCAAGAAAATAAAAATACAATGAAATGCGTGGCAAAATGTGTTGACAACTGATGAATCCAAATGGGAGAAATAAAGGTGTTTGTTGACTGTACAATTTTAAAGCATTTCTGTGGGTATGAAGTTTTTCAAAATAATTAGCTGCGAGGAAAAACTAATGCTTTGCTCGTGGGGATGCCGGCTGCTCCTGCATCCCACCACGGGCCCCTCGGATGTGTGGATTTGCAGGTCTCGTTGTTTTATTTATTTATTTAATTTATTTATTTAGAGATGGAGTTTCACTCTTTCGGCCAGTCTGGAGTGAAGTGGGGATTCTCCTGCCTCAGCCTCCTGAGTAGCTGAGATTACACCCACCTGCCACCACGCCCAGCTAATTTTTGTATTTTTTGGCAAAGACAGGGTTTCGCCATGTTGGCCAGGCTAGTCTCAAACTCCTGACCTCAGGTGATCCACCCGCCTCGGCCTCCAAAGTGTTAGGATTACAGGCGTGAGCCAGCGTGCCCAGCCAGGTCTCATTATTTCTGATGCTCAACCTGATCCCTGCTGTTGCCGGGTGCCCCATATCTCTTCTTCTTGCATACAGGACCTGTGACCTGTGGATGGACGTCGCCAAGAGCAGGTATCTCATCAGAGAAGGAGAAATTCCAGCGTCGTTTAAAGGAGGGAAGGGAGAAAAGAAGGAAGAAAAGGAGAGGAAGCCAAACAAGCTCGCCTCTTGCAGGCTTCCTGCGGCCGGGCGGCTACGAGCTCTGCAGTCCTGGGAGCCCTTCACGGCGCATCACCGCCCCCCGGTGGCCACCAGGCAAGCACGCGGCGCCCAGCAGGGAGGTGGAAGGGGTCCTGCAACCCTCGCTCCTGGAGGCTCCCGGGAGAGCTCCTGGCAGGCCAGCGCCCGCAGAATCCTAGCCTGTTCACCTTGGGTTAGCACATTGTAAAAAGCAACTACTATGAGCTGAGCACGGTGCAGGTGCAGGTGCTCTGTAGCTATTAACTCACTTAATCCTCACATCAGCTTTAATAGGTGAGATTATGGTAGCCCCCATTTTACAGAAAAACTCAGGCTCAGAAAGGGAATGCAGATTGCCCAGGCTGGTCTTGAACTCCTGGCCTCAAGGGATCCTCCTGCCTTGGCCTCCCAAAGTCCTGGGATCCCACGTGTGAGCCACCTCACCTGGCCTGGGGCCTGTGTTTTAACTAGCAAAGACTGCACAGCTAGAGTTGCACCTTCTAACTCCAGGTCCAATGCATGGCCCACGACAGTACACCTGTTTTTTGTTTGTTTACTTTCCACATGTGATGATGATAACAAAATAATAGCAAGACACATCTATAGTGCTGACCATGGGCCACACATAGTGCAACATATTAACCCATTTAATCTGCAACAGCCCTACAGGTTACATTCTATTAAGACGGCCATTTTACCGTTGAGGAAACTTAAGTACAGAGAGCTTAAGAAATTTGCTGGACATGGTGGCTCGCATCTATAGTCCTAGCTACTCAGAGGCTGAGGCAGAAGGATGGCTTGAGCCCAAAAGTTTGAGACCAACCTGGGCAATATAGTGAGACCCTCGTCTCTATAAAAAATAAAAAATTAGCCAGGAGTGGTGGCAGTACCTGTAGTCCCAGCTACTTGGGAGGCTGAGCTAGGAGAATCACTTGAGCCTGGGGAGGTCGAGGCTGCAGTGAGCCGTGATTACGCCACTGCACCCCAGCCTGGGTGACAAGAGTGAGACCCTGTCTCTAAAAAAAGAAGGTTTTGTCCCAGGTCACTCAGAGAGCAAGGAGTATTGACTGGAATAGTATTGAGCAATGCTGGGATTGTCTGTTTATTCCGTTTATAAATGTTTATTGAACACCTACTAAGTGCAAGACCCTGAACTAAGACCTCAGCGTGCAGGGAGGGAGAAAGACGACAAACAATGCTGTTGAATTGAAAAATGAAAAATGCGAGGGAGGAGCCAAGATGGCCGAATAGGAACAGCTCCGGTCTACAGCTCCCAGCGTGAGTGACGCAGAAGACGGGTGATTTCTGCATTTCCATCTGAGGTACCGGGTTCATCTCACTAGGGAGTGCCAGACAGTGGGCGCAGGCCAGTGTGTGTGCGCACCGTGCGCGAGCCGAAGCAGGGCGAGGCATTGCCTCACCTGGGAAGCGCAAGGGGTCAGGGAGTTCCCTTTCCGAGTCAAAGAAAGGGGTGACGGACGCACCTGGAAAATCGGGTCACTCCCACCCGAATATTGCGCTTTTCAGACCGACTTAAGAAACGGCGCACCACGAGACTATATCCCACACCTGGCTCAGAGGGTCCTACGCCCACGGAATCTCGCTGATTGCTAGCACAGCAGTCTGAGATCAAACTGCAAGGCGGCAACGAGGCTGGGGGAGGGGCGCCCGCCATTGCCCAGGCTTGCTTAGGTAAACAAAGCAGCAGGGAAGCTCGAACTGGGTGGAGCCCACCACAGCTCAAGGAGGCCTGCCTGCCTCTGTAGGCTCCACCTCTGGGGGCAGGGCACAGACAAACAAAAAGACAGCAGTAACCTCTGCAGACTTAAGTGTCCCTGTCTGACAGCTTTGAAGAGAGCAGTGGTTCTCCCAGCACGCAGCTGGAGATCTGAGAATGGGCAGACTGCCTCCTCAAGTGGGTCCCTGACCCCTGACCCCCGAGCAGCCTAACTGGGAGGCACCCCCCAGCAGGGGCACACTGACACCTCACACGGCAGGGTATTCCAACAGACCTGCAGCTGAGGGTCCTGTCTGTTAGAAGGAAAACTAACAACCAGAAAGGACATCTACACCGAAAACCCATCTGTACATCACCATCATCAAAGACCAAAAGTAGATAAAACCACAAAGATGGGGGAAAAACAGAACAGAAAAACTGGAAACTCTAAAACGCAGAGCGCCTCTCCTCCTCCAAAGGAACGCAGTTCCTCACCAGCAACAGAACAAAGCTGGATGGAGAATGATTTTGACGAGCTGAGAGAAGAAGGCTTCAGACGATCAAATTACTCTGAGCTACGGGAGGACATTCAAACCAAAGGCAAAGAAGTTGAAAACTTTGAAAAAAATTTAGAAGAATGTATAACTAGAATAACCAATACAGAGAAGTGCTTAAAGGAGCTGATGGAGCTGAAAACCAAGGCTCGAGAACTACGTGAAGAATGCAGAAGCCTCAGGAGCCGATGCGATCAACTGGAAGAAAGGGTATCAGCAATGGAAGATGAAATGAATGAAATGAAGCGAGAAGGGAAGTTTAGAGAAAAAAGAATAAAAAGAAATGAGCAAAGCCTCCAAGAAATATGGGACTATGTGAAAAGACCAAATCTACGTCTGATTGGTGTACCTGAAAGTGATGTGGAGAATGGAACCAAGTTGGAAAACACTCTGCAGGATATTATCCAGGAGAACTTCCCCAATCTAGCAAGGCAGGCCAACGTTCAGATTCAGGAAATACAGAGAACGCCACAAAGATACTCCTCAAGAAGAGCAACTCCAAGACACATAATTGTCAGATTCACCAAAGTTGAAATGAAGGAAAAAATGTTAAGGGCAGCCAGAGAGAAAGGTCGGGTTACCCTCAAAGGAAAGCCCATCAGACTAACAGCGGATCTCTCGGCAGAAACCCTACAAGCCAGAAGAGAGTGGGGGCCAATATTCAACATTCTTAAAGAAAAGAATTTTCAACCCAGAATTTCATATCCAGCCAAACTAAGCTTCATAAGTGAAGGAGAAATAAAATACTTTATAGACAAGCAAATGCTGAGAGATTTTGTCACCACCAGGCCTGCCCTAAAAGAGCTCCTGAAGGAAGCGCTAAACATGGAAAGGAACAACCGGTACCAGCCGCTGCAAAATCATGCCAAAATGTAAAGACCATCGAGACTAGGAAGAAACTGCATCAAATAATGAGCAAAATCACCAGCTAACATCATAATGACAGGATCAAATTCACACATAACAATATTAACTTTAAATATAAATGGACTAAATTCTGCAATTAAAAGACACAGACTGGCAAGTTGGATAAAGAGTCAAGACCCATCAGTGTGCTGTATTCAGGAAACCCATCTCACGTGCAGAGACACACATAGGCTCAAAATAAAAGGATGGAGGAAGATCTACCAAGCCAATGGAAAACAAAAAAAGGCAGGGGTTGCAATCCTAGTCTCTGATAAAACAGACTTTAAACCAACAAAGATCAAAAGAGACAAAGAAGGCCATTACATAATGGTAAAGGGATCAATTCAACAAGAGGAGCTAACTATCCTAAATATTTATGCACCCAATACAGGAGCACCCAGATTCATAAAGCAAGTCCTGAGTGACCTACAAAGAGACTTAGACTCCCACACATTAATAATGGGAGACTTTAACACCCCACTGTCAACATTAGACAGATCAACGAGACAGAAAGTCAACAAGGATACCCAGGAATTGAACTCAGCTCTGCACCAAGCAGACCTAATAGACATCTACAGAACTCTCCACCCCTAATCAACAGAATATACATTTTTTTCAGCACCACACCACACCTATTCCAAAATTGACCACATAGTTGGAAGTAAAGCTCTCCTCAGCAAATGTAAAAGAACAGAAATTATAACAAACTATCTCTCAGACCACAGTGCAATCAAACTAGAACTCAGGATTAAGAATCTCACTCAAAGCCGCTCAACTACATGGAAACTGAACAACCTGCTCCTGAATGACTACTGGGTACATAACGAAATGAAGGCAGAAATAAAGATGTTCTTTGAAACCAACGAGAACAAAGACACAACATGCCAGAATCTCTGGGACGCATTCAAAGCAGTGTGTAGAGGGAAATTTATAGCACTAAATGCCTACAAGAGAAAGCAGGAAAGATCCAAAATTGACACCCTAACATCACAATTAAAAGAACTAGAAAAGCAAGAGCAAACACATTCAAAAGCTAGCAGAAGGCAAGAAATAACTAAAATCAGAGCAGAACTGAAGGAAATAGAGACACAAAAAACCCTTCAAAAAATCAATGAATCCAGGAGCTGGTTTTTTGAAAGGATCAACAAAATTGATAGACCGCTAGCAAGACTAATAAAGAAAAAAAGAGAGAAGAATCAAATAGACACAATAAAAAATGATAAAGGGGATATCACAGATATCCCACAGAAATACAAACTACCATCAGAGAATACTACAAACACCTCTACGCAAATAAACTAGAAAATCTAGAAGAAATGGATACATTCCTCGACACATACACTCTCCCAAGACTAAACCAGGAAGAAGTTGAATCTCTGAATAGACCAATAACAGTCTCTGAAATTGTGGCAATAATCAATAGTTTACCAACCAAAAAGAGTCCAGGACCAGATGGATTCACAGCCGAATTCTACCAGAGGTACAAGGAGGAACTGGTACCATTCCTTCTGAAACTATTCCAATCAATAGAAAAAGAGGGAATCCTCCCTAACTCATTTTATGAGGCCAGCATCATTCTGATACCAAAGCCGGGCAGAGACACAACCAAAAAAGAGAATTTTAGACCAATATCCTTGATGAACATTGATGCAAAAATCCTCAATAAAATACTGGCAAACCGAATCCAGCAGCACATCAAAAAGCTTATCCACCATGATCAAGTGGGCGTCATCCCTGGGATGCAAGGCTGGTTCAATATACGCAAATCAATAAATGTAATCCAGCATATAAACAGAGCCAAAGACAAAAACCACATGATTATCTCAATAGATGCAGAAAAAGCCTTTGACAAAATTCAACAACCCTTCATGCTAAAAACTCTCAATAAATTAGGTATTGATGGGACGTATTTCAAAATAATAAGAGCTATCTATGACAAACCCACAGCCAATATCATACTGAATGGGCAAAAACTGGAAGCATTCCCTTTGAAAACTGGCACAAGACAGGGATGCCCTCTCTCACCGCTCCTATTCAACATAGTGTTGGAAGTTCTGGCCAGGGCAATCAGGCAGGAGAAGGAAATAAAGGGTATTCAATTAGGAAAAGAGGAAGTCAAATTGTCCGTTTGCAGACGACATGATTGTTTATCTAGAAAACCCCATCGTCTCAGCCCAAAATCTCCTTAAGCTGATAAGCAACTTCAGCAAAGTCTCAGGATACAAAATCAATGTACAAAAATCACAAGCATTCTTATACACCAACAACAGACAAACAGAGAGCCAAATCATGAGTGAACTCCCATTCACAATTGCTTCAAAGAGAATAAAATACCTAGGAATCCAACTTACAAGGGATGTGAAGGACCTCTTCAAGGAGAACTACAAACCACTGCTCAAGGAAATAAAAGAGGACACAAACAAATGGAAGAACATTCCATGCTCATGGGTAGGAAGAATCAATATCGTGAAAATGGCCATACTCCCCAAGGTAATTTACAGATTCAATGCCATCCCCATCAAGCTACCAATGACTTTCTTCACAGAATTGGAAAAAACTACTTTAAAGTTCATATGGAACCAAAAAAGAGCCCGCATCGCCAAGTCAATCCTAAGCCAAAAGAACAAAGCTGGAGGCATCACACTACCTGACTTCAAACTATACTACAAGGCTACAGTAACCAAAACAGCATGGTACTGGTACCAAAACAGAGATATAGATCAATGGAACAGAACAGAGCCCTCAGAAATAATGCCACATATCTACAACTATCTGATCTTTGACAAACCTGAGAAAAACAAGCAATGGGGAAAGGATTCCCTATTTAATAAATGGTGCTGGGAAAACTGGGTCGCCATATGTAGAAAGCTGAAACTGGATCCCTTCCTTACACCTTATACAAAAATCAATTCAAGATGGATTAAAGATTTAAATGTTAGACCTAAAACCATAAAAACCCTAGAAGAAAACCTAGGCATTACCATTCAGGACATAGGCGTGGGCAAGGACTTCATGTCCAAAACACCAAAAGCAATGGCAACAAAAGACAAAATTGACAAATGGGATCTAATTAAACTAAAGAGCTTCTGCACAGCAAAAGAAACTACCATCAGAGTGAACAGGCAACCTACAACATGGGAGAAAATTTTCGCAACCTACTCATCTGACAAAGGGCTAATATCCAGAATCTACAATGAACTCAAACAAATTTACAAGAAAAAAACAAACAACCCCATCAAAAAGTGGGCGAAGGACATGAACAGACACTTCTCAAAAGAAGACATTTATGCAGCCAAAAAACACATGAAGAAATGCTCATCATCACTGGCCATCAGAGAAATGCAAATCAAAACCACTATGAGATATCATCTCACACCAGTTAGAATGGCAATCATTAAAAAGTCAGGAAACAACAGGTGCTGGAGAGGATGTGGAGAAATAGGAACACTTTTACACTGTTGGTGGGACTGTAAACTAGTTCAACCATTGTGGAAGTCAGTGTGGCGATTCCTCAGGGATCTAGAACTAGAAATACCATTTGACCCAGCCATCCCATTACTGGGTATATACCCAAAGGACTATAAATCATGCTGCTATAAAGACACATGCACACGTATGTTTATTGCGGCACTATTCACAATAGCAAAGACTTGGAACCAACCCAAATGTCCAACAATGATAGACTGGATTAAGAAAATGTGGCACATATACACCATGGAATACTATGCAGCCATAAAAAATGATGAGTTCATGTCCTTTGTAGGGACATGGATGAAATTGGAAACCATCATTCTCAGTAAACTATCGCAAGAACAAAAAACCAAACACCGCATATTCTCACTCATAGGTGGGAATTGAACAATGAGATCACTTGGACACAGGAAGGGGAATATCACACTCTGGGGACTGTGGTGGGGTCGGGGGAGGGGGGAGGGATAGCATTGGGAGATATACCTAATGCTAGATGACACGTTAGTGGGTGCAGCGCACCAGCATGGCACATGTATACATATGTAACTAACCTGCACAATGTGCACATGTACCCTAAAACTTAGAGTATAATAAAAAAAAAAAAAATTAAAAAAAAAAAAAAAAAAAGAAAAATGAAAAATGCAACGAGCAAACCTAATGTAATTACAAAGATGTTACTGGAAATAAGATCCTTAATGTGGAGAATGGAATGGTTTAAGATAATTTAGAAATAAAAGTAAATGTGAACAGCTGACTACTTCTCGGGGAGAGGAGGAGTGACGGCTTAAGTGAATAAACACCCTTTCACTGCAATCCACCAGCAGAAGTAACACACCGGTTAAGTCCTAATTTAAGGCTTGGCTGAATATTTATTTTGACGACAAAAGAAGGAGCTGCCATTTTCCTGAGAAATTAAGAAAAGGGGTAGCTTTTTAAAACTGTATTGAAAGTCCTACTCTTAATAAACAGAATCTAGTGATTCAATCTGACTTTCAGAGAATGCCAGTTAGCTACCACTTGCAATCACCTACTCCCACTTCAAGCCTCTGGCCTCATGCAGAGCACCTTGTGGCAGCACCAGGTACTCAGTCCCCTCCTGGGTCGGAGGAAGTCCATCCACCTAGCTCTTGTCAGGTCACCCCCTCTCTTCTGTACCTCTCAGGCCCACTGCTGCACCATGTTTCTTTGGAAGGCCTCAGACTTGGGCCTGCTAACCGTCATCAGAGACTCACTCCTTCCTTACCCGGGTGGGCAAAACCCCAGGGAGAAGCAGCCTTCCCAGGGCGCTCCATCTACAGCCTTACTGTGACTGCACTCAGCACCAGCGGGGCACCGCCTCCGCCTCCCTGCAAACACACACTTTTATTTTTTTTAGCTTACATACCTTATGTAGTTATACAAGATACATGCAGAAAACTGTGTAGGAAAATGAAAAGCACAAGGTTTTATCATTTTCATCTTATCCTTGTTAATATTTTGATCCATGAAATATTGTCTGGACATATTCGAGGAAAAGATATGGCTGGAAAAACTGGCTAAGAGTGAATAAACTGGAGGGCGTGTTAGATCCAAAACAACACAACAGTAAAACACAGCATCCCGCAAAAGTAGTTGTATGTTTTGTTTTTATTGAGACAGAGTCTCACTCTGTTGCCCAGGCTGGAGTGCAGTGGTGTGATCATGGTGCACTGCAGCCTCAACCTTTAGGGTGATCCTCCCACCTCAGCCTCCTGAGCAGCTGGGACTGCAGGGAGGTACCACCACGCCCAGCTAATTTTTGTATTTTTTTGTAGAGATGGGGTTTCGCCAAGTTGCCCAGGCTGGTCGTGAACTCCTGGCCTCAGTCCCGCCTCGGCCTCCCATAGTGCTGGGATTACAGGCGTGAGCCAGTGTGCCCAGCCAGTAGTTGCATTTTTTTATTATCTATATCAGTGGTTCTCAAAATGTAGTCCCTGGGCCAGCAGTATCAACATCATGTGGGAACTTTTCAGAATTGCACGCTCAGTAGCCAGCCCAGACATGCTGGATCAGAAAATAGGCTGGAGCCTGTGTTTTTTATTGTACTTATTTATTTTTTGTTGAGACTGGGGTCTTGGCTTTGTTGTCCAGGCTGGTCTCGAACTCTTGTCTTCAAGTGATTCTCAAGCGTTGGCCTCCCAAAGGGCTGGGATCTCAGGCATAAGCCATCACACCCAGCCTGGTGTCTGTGTTTTAACCAGCTTTCCAACTGATTCTGATAAATGCTCAATTTTGAGAACCACTGTACTGCACAATGACCAAACCTCTTAGGAATTCGGTGATATTTAAAAAATGAATTTATACTTCTCTAACCATAACAACATCGACTTATATTTTCAGAAATAACAGCAAGAGGGCCAGGCGCAGTGGCTCACACCTGTAATCTTGGCACTTTGGGAGGCTGAAGCAGGTGGATCACATGAGCCAGGAGTTCAAGACAGGCTTGGCCAACATGGTGAAACCCCATCTCTACTAAAAATACGAATTAGCCGGGCATGGCAGCGGGCGCCTGTACTGGGGAGGCTGAGGCACAAGAATCGCTTGAACCGGGGAGGTGGAGGTTTCAGTGAGCCGAGATCACACCACTGCACTCCAGCCTGGGTGACAGAGTGACTACGTCTCAAAAAAACAAAACAAAACAAACAGAAAACAGAGCAGAAGACTCTGGTTTGATGAGTGGAGAGAATGCCTGGCATGGGGATGGGGTTGTCCACCCAACATCTCTACTTGAGGTAACAAGTCCTAGGAGCCAGGTAGCAGGTAGTGTCCAGATGGGCTGGACAAAATTAGGGGTGGGTTTCTCCATCCCCCTTCCCTCCCCAAAAGTGTTTGTGTGGTGAAATTAGAAAATGAATAGAAAGTGGGAAAGAACCAAAAATGTCCCTCTCAACAGCTGCAGGATCCCCTTAACCAAGCACCCTTGAGCTCCCAGGAGGGGTCCCCTGGGGCATTTTTCTGCCCCTACATCGTCCCTTGTCCTCCTCTACCCCTCTCCTCCCCCACATCTGTCCCTTGTTTTCTCTTCATCCCTTTCTGCCCCTCCTCTTGGTTCCCCACTCTCTCTGTCCCCTTTTCTCCAACTCCAACTCCAGCTTTTTTTTTTTTTTCTTTTTGAGACAGAGACTTATTCTGTTACCCAGGCTGGAGTGCAGTGGTGCAATCTCAGCTCACTGCAACCTCCACCTTCCAGGTTCGAGCTATTCACGTGTCTCAGCCTTCCAAGTAGCTGAGACTACAGGCACATGCCACCACGTCCAGCTAATTTTTTTATTTTTAGTAGAGATGGGGATTCACCAGATTGGCCAGGCTGGTCTTGAACTCCTGACCTCAAGTGATCTGCCCACCTCGGCCTCCCAAAGTGCTGGGCAACTCCGGCTTTTTACTTCTAACCCCTCTTTTTCTGTGTTTCTTGGTCTCCAGGTGTTGATGAGGGGATTAGGACACGGAGGTCACTGCCTGGTTTCCTGCTGGCCCCTGTGAGGATCTCAGTGGTGGAGAGTGGTTCAATGAGTCCTGCAGGGCACCCCCTTTTGTGGCTCTTCAGGTTCCCCAACATGGAGGCCATTCTTGTCCCATGGAAAGGCCCCAGGTCTGCAGTCTTCTTGGGAAGCTCACCATTGTCCTGTTGGGTTGCTGGGTCCTTGGGTCAGTGGAGTTGCCTCCATCCCCCCGCCCCACCCCAGAGTCCAATCCCTGGGCCAGGAAATGCCTGTGACCTGGCAACCTCTGGACAGTAATGAAGGAGGGGGCACCAGCGAGCACCTTTGGGGGCCAGGCACTCCCGGGAGTGGCAAATGGGCACCCCATTTCTCTCTCTGCCTTTGGTCTAGCTTCCTTGCTGGGCCGAGATTACGCCACTGCACTCCACCCTGGGCAACAAAAGTGAAACTCCATCTCAAAAATAAATAAATTAATTAATTAAATAAAATAAAGATAAATAAATAAAATATACAATTCAGGCTGGGAGTGGTGGCTCACACCTGTAATCCCAGCACTTTGGGAGGCCGAAGCGGGCAAATCATCTGAGGTTAGGGGTTTGAGACCAGCCTGGCCAACATGGTGAAAAATACATTTTTACATTGTATTGTAAAAATACAAAACTTAGCCGAGTGTGGTGGTGCATACCTGTAATCCCAGCTACTGGAGAGGCTGAGGCGCAAGAATCACTTGAACCCAGGAGGTGGAGGTTGCGGTGAGCGGAGATTGTACCACTGCACTCCAGCCTGGGCAACACAGCGAGACTCTGTCTCTGAAAAAAATAATATATGTATATATAATTCAGTGAGGTTAGACAGATGTGAATACTCATGAAGCTATCACCACAATCAACTTATCAAGCATTTCTGTCACCCCTAGGAATTTTCTTGTGTCCCTCTGCAGCCAATCTCTCCTTCTGCTCCTGGCCCTAGGCAACTGCTGATTGGCTTTTTGTCAATAAAGGTACATTTTCTAGAATTTTGTACAAATGAAATCATGTAGTATGTAACCTTTTGGGTCTTTCACTTAGCATAATTATTTTGAAATTCATGCATGTTGTATGTATTAACAGTTCATTCCTTCTTATTACTGTGTAGTATTCCACTGTGTGGATACATCATGATTTGTTTATCCATTCACCTGCTGATGCACCTTTGAGTTGTTTCCAGTTTTTGACTATTGCAAAAAAAAAGTTGCTAGAAACATTCATGTACAGGTCTGCATGGACATGTTTTCTCTTGTTTTTTAGAGACAGCATCTTGTGTTGCCAAGGCTGAAGTGCAGTGGTACAATCATAGCTCACTGCAACCTCGAATTCATGGGCTCAGGCACTCTTCCCAACTCAGCCTCCTGAGTAGCTGGGACTACAGGCACACGCCACCATACTCAAGTAATAAAAAAAAAATTTTTTTTAAGAGATGGGATCTTACTGTGTTGCCCAGGCTGATCCGGAACTCCTGACCTCAAGTGATCCTCCTGCCTTGGCCTCCCAAACTGTTGGGATTACAGGCAGGAGCCACCACACCCAGCCCAATTTTTCTCTTAAAGTCTGTTTTGTTCTGACATTGGTATAGGCATCACAGCTCTCTCTTGGTTTCTATTTGTGTGGTATAAATCTCTTCCCATCCTTTTACTTTCAACCTGTTTGTACCTTTGAATTTAATTTGTGTCTCTTGTAGGCAACATCTAGTTGATTTTTTTTTTTTTTTTTTTTTTTTTTTTTAGGCAGAGTCTCACTCTGTTGCCCAAGCTGGAATGCAGTGGCACAATCTCGGCTCACTGCAACCTCTACCTCCTGGGTTCAAGCAATTCTCCTGCCTCAGCCTCCCAAGTAGCTTGGATTACGGGTGTGTGCCACCATGCCTGGCTAATTTTTTTATTTTTAGTAGACATTGGGTTTCACCACGTTGGCCAAGCTGGTCTCGAGCTGCTAACCTCAGGTCCGCCCACCTCAGCCTCCCAAAGTGCTGGGATTACAGGCATGAGCCACCACGCCCCGGCCTGAATCATGTTTTTAAATCCATTCTGCTGGCCAGGTGCAGTGGCTCATGCCTGTAATCCCAGATTACAGGGATTACCCGCCTCCCAGGTTCACACGATTCTCCTGCCTCAGCCTCCTGAGTAGCTGGGACTACAGGCGCCTGCCACCACTCCTGGCTAATTTTTTGTATTTTTAGTAGAGACAGGGTTTCACCGTGTTAGCCAGGATGGTCTCAATCTCCTGACCGTGTGATCTGCCTGCCTCAGCCTCCCAAAGTGCTGGGATTACAGGTGTGAGCCACCGGGCCTGGCCTTTTTTTTTTATTTTTTTTGAGATGGAATCTCACTCTATTGCCCAGGCTGGAGTGCAGTGATGCAATATCAACTCACTGCAACACATACCTCCCAGGTTCAAGTGATTCTCCTGCCTCATCCTCCTGAGTAGCTGGGATTACAGGCACCTGCCATCACACCCAGCGAGCTTTTGTATTTTTAATAGAGATGGGGTTTTGCTATGTTGGCCAGGCTGGTCTCAAACTCCTAAGCTTCAGTCTCCCAAAGTGCTGGGATTACAGGCATGAGCCACTGCACCTGGCCCAATCTATTCCTTTTGATTGTGCTTAATCCATTTACACTTGATGTATTTACTTGTAAGGTAGAGTTTATATCTGCCATTTTGGTATTTGTATCTATAGGTCTTATGTCTTTTTGATATGGCCTGTTTTCTTTTGTGTTAAACAGTATTTTCCAGTGTATCATTTAATTTGATTATGATGTGTCTAGGTGTGGACCTCTTAAGAGTTTATCCTCCTTGGAGTTTTTTTGAGATTCTTAGATGTATGTTTTTTGATCTGGGAAGTTTTGGCCATTATTTCTTCAAATATTATTTCTGCTCCTTTCCCTCCCTTCTCTTCTTCTGGGACTCCTGTTACACAAATGTTGGTATGCTTGATGGTGTCCCACAGGTCTCTGAGGCTCTGTTTACTTTTTTTCATTCCTTTTAAAATCCTGCTCCTCAGACTGAAACTCTCAATTGACGTAGCTTCGAGTTTGCTGAATATTTCTTTTGCTTGCTCAAATCTGCTGCTGAACCCCTCTAGTGAATTTTTCATTTCAGTTAATGTACTTTTGAATTCCCAAATTTCTATTTTGTCATTAAAAATAATTTCTACCTCTTTATTGATAGTTTCTATTTGGTGAAATATTGTTCTCATATTTTCCTTTAGTTCTCTAGACATGGTTTCATTTAGTTCTTTAAACATATTTTAAAATAGCTAAGGTAAAGTCTTGTTTAGGCTTCCTCAGGAAGTTTCTATTGATTGTTTTTTTCCCCCTGTGGGTGGGCCATATATTCCTGTTGTGTTGCATGCCTCATAATTTTTTGTTGAATGTTGAACACTTAAAACATAAAGTGGCAATTCTGGAAATCAGATTTCCCCTCCCCTTCCTAGAGTTTGTTGCTGGCTGTTGTTGCTGCTGTTTATTTAGTAACTTTTCTGAACAAATTCTTAAACTCTGTGTTCTCTGTCATGTGGCCCCTGAAATCTCTGCTCAGTTAGCTAGTGGTCAGCTGATTAGACAGAGAGTTCCTTAAATGCCTAGAACAACCAAGTCTCCTGGTCTTTTCCAAAGAGCAAAGGGCTCTTGTGTCTTTAGGGGCACACTTTCCACACTCAGCTAGGCAGTTTACTACCCTGCCTTAGGCATTGCTTCCTGCTTGCATAGAGCCTCAAGGTCAGCTGTTAAGCGATAGCTTAGTGACTTTCTGGGTTTTTCCCTTGCACAGCGCTATGCATGTGCATTGCCTTCTAGATTTCTAGGAATATGCTGGAGCTTTTCTTTTCTTTTCTTTTTTTTTGAGACGGAGTCTCGCTCTGTCACCCAGGCTGGAGTGCAGTGGCGTGATCTCGGCTCACTGTAAGCTCCGCCTCCCGGGTTCACGCCATTCTCCTGCCTCAGCCTCCCGAGTAGCTGGGACTACAGGGACACGCCACTGCACCCACCTCATTTTTTTGTATTTTTTTAGTAGAGATGGGGTTTCACCGTGTTAGCCAGGATGATCTCGATCTTCTGACCTCGTGATCCGCCTGCCTCGGCCTCCCAAAGTGCTGGGATTACAGGCGTGAGCCACCGTGCCCGGCCTGCTGGAGCTTTTCAAAGCTCCTTACAGACATCTTATTACCCAGCTTTTCCTTTTAAGCTTTTTGGTTAGCCTATTGTTTGCATTGTTACCTACTGCCTCAGGTAGCAATGATGTTAAACAATTGCCCTGATAATTTTCAAGTGATACCCCTGGGGAAAAGGCTGTTTGCACTGAGTCAGGTCAAATAAAGATAAGTCTTGTGAGTAGAGTCTTACAGGAAACCACCATACAAGTCAAATAATGACAATTCTCTGGGAATGGGGCTTTGAAGATGCTCCAAACCTATTCTGCTCCTTCCAGTGGTTGCCTGGCTGTTGGTTTTCAGGGATACTGAGGAGCTGGGGAGAAGGAAATGGGAATAGAGCATGTTAAAATGCCACAAAGATCACTCTTGTTAATGAAATGCTTTTTTTTTTTTTTTTTAAATAAATGTTTCCTAGCTTGCTGCAAGGGGAACATTTGCTGCTTGCTGGAATAAATGTTCCAGAGTTGTGAAAAATCTGATTCTCACAGTTTTGTCAGTATTTGCATGGCTTGTACGGGGCAGAGAACTTCTGGAGGTCCTTACTTAGCCATTCTTGCTGACATCACTCAGGATTCTTTCTTGGAAGTTTCTGTCTTCTTTCGCCCTTACTCCCAGATGGTAGCGACAGCGGCAGGAGGCAGACAAATCCTAGGCAGACAGGAACAGGTCCCCACTGAAACCCAACCTTCAAGCTGAAGACAGTTTGATGCCTAGCTACAAATCCTCGGTAAATCCACAGACCGGATTGAGAACCTGTCTTCCCATCTGGCATGCTTTCCTCTGATTGATCACTAACCTTCATCTATTTTACATATAACTACCCTTGCCTAATTGGTTTTCTACACTGTCATGCCCACCTTTGAGTAGTGCCTTTGTTTTAGCCTTTTTTTTTTTTTTTTTTTTGCATACTCACAAACCAATCAGCACACACTCCCCATTCTGAGCCCATAAAAGCCCTGGACCCAGTCAACAGAGAGATGACCTGACTTTGGGTGGGGGACCACCCTTACATCCCCTCTCCACTGAGAGCTGTTGTGTTACTCAATAAAATTCTTCTCTGCCCTCCTCACCCTTCAGTTGTCAGCATAACCTCATTCTTCTTGGATGCAGGACAAGAACTTGGCAACTGTCAAATGCGGGTATGAACTGTGACACAGGCAGGCTGAGGCACGCCTGTCCCAGCCACAGACCGAGTGCAGATCCCAGTGCACAAGCCAGGCACAGCATGGTGGGCTGAGTGGATGAGGTGCCTCCTGTGGCAGGCCCAGGGCCAAGGGAGGCCCAGGTGGGGACACTGCTGGCCACAGAGGCCCCTATAGGCAAAGTGAGAAAAATCCTGTGTCAGTTGTCCTAAGTTGTCTAAACCACAGCTTATTTTCCCCAGTTCAACATTTTCCTGAGGGTGTCTTCATCTGGGGTGATAGTTCAAATATGGGGTAATTATTAAGTCTACCAATGTCACAGCTGGGTTTCACAGTGTCTCTTTTTTTTTCCACTTTTTTTTTTTTTTTTGAGACAGGGTCTCACTCTGTGGCCCAGGCTGGCATATGCCAGTGGCACAATCTCTGCTCACTGCAACCTCTGCTTCCCTGGCTCAAGCAATTCTCCAGGCTCAGTCTGCCAAGTAGCTGGGACTACAGGTGTGAGCCACCATGCCAGCTAATTTTTGTATTTTTTTTAGAGACAGGGTTTCACCATGTTGCCCAAGCTGGTCTCAAACTCCTGAGCTCAAAGGAATCTGCCTGACTCAGCCTCCCAAAATGCTGGGATTATAGGTGTGAGGCACCACACCCGGTCCACGCGTGTCTTTCATCAGCAAAATGCCTCCAGACAAAAGCAGATTTGAGTGCTAGGATCAGGAATTGTTTCTTGCTTCTCCTAAAGTTTGATCCCCAATTCTTTACTCTCCTTAGCTCTTTGGTGCTTTTGGGAATAATTTTTTTTTTTTCAACATGTTTGCCAGCTTATTTTCTGTGGGAAATTCAGGCCTAATTACCTCGACCACTGTTATTGGGAGTATAACTCCCCACTCAAGGTTTCATTATTCTCCCTCTAGCCTGCCTGCACAAGGCCGTCTGGTCCAGAAGATGGGAGAAGGGGTTGGAAGGAGACAGGGAAGATGAGATTGCATCTCTGTTCTTTATGACCTTGTTTCAGGGGGAGGAGAAACTTAAAGAAAAACCTTTTTTTTTTTTTTTTTTTTTTTTTTTTTCAGAAAAAGGAGACACATTGACCTGGAGTTTCCCCGCTTAGACAATTTCATATGGTTCAACTTATCCGCACTTTGTCCAGTAGGTCACATGATAGGAGATGGCAGTCTCCTGCCATCTGGCAAAGGTCAGAAGGCAGGAGGGGCCTGGTCCAGGATGTCCCAGGCATGGGACACAGATGGCTAGTGGCAGCCACAGGAGGAGAATGACTTGTCCCTGCATGCAGGAAACCTGGAGAAAGGCACGCAGCCAAGCTTGTACCCACGCTGTGCCACTCAGAAGGAAGCGAAAACTCAGCACTGCACATGGCCGAGCAGACCAAAAGCGACTGCGAGGGAAGACGTTCAGCCCAGAAGTGGAAGTGAGCTGCTGCTAAGGCTTTCGGGGAACGTAGTCCCTAGCTGTGCCACATGTCCCTGCGTTCAGGAGGTGCTCTCTTGACATGTGTGTGCAACACACCTGGCGGAACTACACATCTCAACCTCAGCTCATAAAATGTATGATGATGCCAGTGGGCTTCCTTTGGACACCTCTTTAAAAGGCACACCCAGATCTTCCTATTATTAATTGTAAACTGGTGGTGTAAACTTTTCTAACCTGTGTGATGTTACCCTTAAAATGCCTTCCCACTCCCCAACACTGTCAAATCCCATGTTAGGATCCCTTAACCTGAGCAAATACAATTTTCTGCTTACTTTCAGTTATTGAAACTTAGTCTGACCATATATATATAGAGTTTTGTTTTGCTTTTAGAGACAGGTCTTGCTGTGTCACCCAGGCTGGGGTGCAATGGCATAATCATGGCTCACTGTAGCCTGGACCTGCTGGCCTCAAGCCTCCTGAAGTTCTGGGATTTTAAGTGTGCCACTGCACCTGGCGATGAAGCCTGTGGCCTGCCCTGATGGCACCCCTGGGTCCAGCTTCATCCCAGCTCTCTGTGTCGATTCACAGCAGGGCAGCCTAGTTTCCCTTGGGCCTCACGCAATCCTTGCCTCTAACCAGTCTCAAGGTGAGTTTGGCAGAGCAGCCATTGACACAGCCTTATGGCTCCTGCCCACTTGTCCTCCTTCCCAGGAGCTCCAGGTACAGGGTGAACATACATCTGGGTTTTAGAGCACAATCTGAGCTTCCCATCTGATTAGCTTCCCCTTCATTCTCAGGGTCCCTGTTTGGACAATCAATTATAAGGACACCCTATCCAGGAACCACTGAAATCCTGACTTGTGATCTCTGATGTCAAGGAAAACAGATGGAGTGGTCCTATCCTTTCCTTCCCAGGGATAACACAAATGCAGACCCTTAGAGATCTCCACTCTGCTGCTAGGGACTAATCCAGCAGCAGCCCCCTCCCTTCTGAAATCTCCAGACAGTTGGGGGCACCCCTCTCTGTTCGATCCTTTACCACCTTCCACCTCCACACTACAGGGAACACATTTTAAGGAACAAACATTAAGTTCTCCCAAGAACTCCAGGTGACAGCTGTGAAGTGGGCCTGTGGTTTTGCTGGAGATGGAGATGCCAAGCTCCCATGCTTTCAGATCTCCCAATATCTCATTCTTGGTGCCCAAGTCCCCCACCCCTGTAGGGGCAGGGTAGGGGCTTCATCCCAGGAGCATGAGGCCCATCTCCTCTGGATCAGAACCTCCTTACATGGTTTTTATATCTATAGGGGCCAAGGATCAAGTGGCTCTGTGACTCTCACATCTAGTGAGTCCTATGGGACCATGTGTCCAGTCTCTGTGACACCCTTTAGAAAGCAGAGGAATGTGACATTTTGTTTTCACCTTAGGAGCTTTATCAGCAACTCCAAGCCAACAGAAAAGTCCCTGTCAAGATCCTGTGAGAACTCTAACTTTGGAATTGCAAATTGCCAGTTTTTTAATGCAGACAGTAAAATAAAAGCCCCATTAATTACTACAATAATACTTCCTGTTCACAGCTCAATAAAATACCATTATAATTCAGGTCCAGATTTCTTGACTCCTTTATCCATTAAAATGTGTTTGTCTTTTAGTGTGTCTGCTACCTTTCCAAATGGAAAAAAAAAAAGTGTTTGTCAGCTGGTCATGGTGGCATGCACCTGTAGTCCTAGCTGCTTGGGCGACTAAGGACAGAGGATCACTTGAGCCCAGGAGTTTGAGGCTTCAGTGAGCTATGATCACACCACTGCATCAGAGACCCCACCTCAAAAAAAAAGTGTTTGTTAAAAAAGTATGTTTTTCCAAAATGACCAGGGTTTTACTAAAAGTTATTAGCAAAAATTAGTAATATCCTTCCACCAACTCTTGCAAATAGTCACTCATGCTCCTCATCTGCAGGAAGCCCTCTGCTCCTCTGCCCTCCCTTTTTAATTGGTGCCTCAAAAGGCATTTCTGGCAAGTGGCAACGCTCTGCCTGATTCTGACAGTGCCAAGACTTTTTCTTTTAACAATTTTTTATTATTTCCTAAAAATTATTTATTTTTGTTGAGATGAGGTCTCACTATGTTGCTTAGGCTGGTCTCGACTCCTGGCCTCAAGTGATCCTCCCACCTTGGCCTCCCAAAGTGCTGGGATTACAGGTGTGAGCCGCCGTGCTGGGTCCCTCCCTTCTTTCTTAGGCTTGGATCAGCTTCTCACTCTGAGGAGCATCAGTGCTCATTATTCCTTCCCCCAAATCCTTCAGGTGTGCTGGTGTACAAGTTATCCAGGCTTATGCCCTGAGGGAAACCAAGCAGGTGGTTGTGTGGGAGGAGGAATCAGATAAGAAAAAGGAGGCCAACTTTAACTGTAAATGAGTTTAAACATTCACAGAGGCACATACAACGAATACCTATGCACCACTGTGGGGACAAAAGTTTTAAATTTTATTATTTACTATTATTATTTTTTGCCTTTCAAATGAGTTTAATAAAGACTAGTTTGGAAAATAGCGATTTTAAATTTTAATCCACCATGTGACTTCTGACTAACCTAACCCTCAGTCTGGGAATGCCTCTAAAATGTCTAGTTGATGTATTACTCTTTACATAGAAACACCTATTTCCCTTCCCTCAAAACAACCCTTGATGCTGTTGCAGAAATCATAGGCTGTGATACCCGGAGCATTCCCTCAGCACATTCCTTCAACAGCATGTATACTTTCCCCCAAGATACAAGCCCTGGTTCTGATGGGGTGTGGTGTGAAGATCTACCTTCCAGCCACCCAAGACCACACTTCTGTCTCTAAGTTCCCCCTAAAAAATCACCCAAACCGACAAACTGGATTTGTCTGCCTCATTCTTTGGCTTCCCAGCTCCTTCAGCATCTGAGGGTTGCTTTGCATACATGGCCCTTTCACAGAACTGAGCCCTGGGGGAATTCCTATGTCTAGAGCAAGGAAAGATAACTTGGGAGAAGCAGCTGTCAATAAAGGATAAGAAAATCTAGTAAGTGTAACCTGGAAGCCAAGTGAAAAAAAAAGGGTCACTGTGAGGAAGTGATCAACTAATGTATCAAATAATGTTGAAAAGACAAGTAAAAGTGAGGTAAGAGACCAGCAGGACTTATTTTCCAGTCCCAACAGGATAAAGAGAAGAAATGGTGGGAACCAGCAGACAGTGCTGAAAGCAACCTCTAGCTTCCTTCGTTGCTCATTAGCGTAAGACCCTCCCACCAGCACCATGACATTTACAAATACCATGGCAATGGCCAAGAAGTTACCACCCCTTTCCATGACAATAATCCAAAAATTACCACCCCTTTTCCAGAGATTTCTGCATAACCCTCCCCTTGATTTGCATGTAATTAAAAATGGGTATAAATATAGCTAGCCAACTGTCCACAAGTGCTCACTTGGGGTGCACTGCCTAGGAGTTGGATGTGCTTCACAGGAGCAATTCCAGTTCAGTAAAACTTGCTAACACCACTGGCTTGCCTTTGAATTCTTTCCTGGGAGAAGCCAAGCACCTGTATGAGCTCATCTGCCTGCATCAATAGGACTGAAAAAGACCACTGGATTTAGCCACATGGAATCCATCAGGGATCTTTGATGAGAGCAGACACAAAGACCTGATTGGAGTGGGTACAAGAGCGAATGGAAGAAGAGGAATTAGAGATGAGTATTCCACACCTCTACTGAGGAATCTTACTATTGAGTGATGCAAGAAATGGAGTGGTAGGTAGGGAGAGGGGGATATAGCACACACACACACACACACGTATACACACACACATATAATTTGAGATGAGAAAAATACATGTTACTATGCTAATGGGAAAGATCCAGTAGACGAAAAAAAAAATAAATGCAGGAAAGAGAACAACTGTAGGAATTATGCCCTAGTTTAAGGATGGGATCTAATACACTAGAGGACGACTTGATCTTAGGTAAGAGAACAAAGTGTCAACCATAGCAACAGAAAGAATGCAAGAATAAGATGCACAGAGAAGAGGAATTATCTTCTGATTCCTTTTTTAAAAAAATTATTTTTTTGAGACCACGTTATGAGACTCATTTTTTTTTGCATTTTTGGTAGAAACAGAGTTTTGCCATGTTGCCCAGACTGGTCTCGAACTCCTGGGCTCAAGAAATTCGCCCACCCAGCCTCCCAAAGTGTTGAGATTAAAAGTGTGAGTCACTGCACCTGGCCTCTTCTGATTCCTTTTCTTGTTCTCAGTTAACTAGGAAATAAGGTCACCAGCTGAGTGAGGACTGGGCGAAGTGCTGCAGAGGTTAAAGAGAGAAGTCATAAAATAGCAACTTAAAAGAGTGGGACAATGACTGGATAGGAAAACAAATGCTGGAGGATAGCATACAAGAAAAGTGGGACTAATCAGCTGGGCGCACTGGCTCACGCCTGTAATCCCAGCACTTTGGGAGGCCGACACAGGCAGATCATGAGGTCAGGAGTTCAAGACTAGCCTGACCAACATGGTGAAACCCCATCTCTACTAAAAATACAAAAAATAGCTGGGCATGGTGGTACGTGCCTGTAGTCCCAGCTACTCAGGAGGCTGAGGCAGGAGAATTGCTTCAACCTGGTAGGCGGAAGTTGCAGTGAGTTGAGATCATGCCACTGCACTCCAGCTTGGGTGACAGAGTGAGACTCCATCTCAAAAAAAAAAAAAAAAAAGTGGGACTAATTGTCATAGTTGTTTTTCTTCAGCCACATTTAGCTGGATGGATATAGGAGTGGAATAGGCAGCTCTAGGCTCTTCTTTATTGTTTCGCCAGATGCTCTGGTTCCTTCATTTAAAAACTGTATGTTAAATTATAAGAATATGCCATGATTGACTGGGCACAGTGGCTCACACCTGTAATCCCAGCACTTTGGGAGGCCAAGGAAATGGATCACTTGAGGCCAGGAGTTCGAAACCAGCCTGGCCAACATAGCGAAAACTCATCTCTACTAAAAATACAAAAATTAGTCGGGTGTGGTGGTGCACACCTGTGGTCCCAGCTACTTGGGATGCTGAAACATGAGAATCACTTGAACCTGGGAGGTGGAGGCTGCAGTGAGCTGAGATCGTACTGCTGCACTCCAGCCTGGGTGACAAGGCAAGACCCTGTCTCAAAAAGAATATGCCATGACTTATTGTTAACCTATTCACTTCCCAGTATTTCTGTTGTGTTCATATTTTTACTCTTTAAAACACTGCCTCAATAAACATCTTTGTGTGTGTCTCTTTTCCTCACAAGGGAGAATTTCTAGTCTAGGATATGTATCTCCTAGTGGTATTGCTGAGACATGAGATATGCTTAGCTTTGATTTTACTGGATATTGCCAAATTACTCCCCAAAATAATTATACCAAGTTACCCTCTTGCCAGCAGTGTATAAAAGTTCTAATTCCCCTCTGCCAGATTTCTCAATTTTTGCCAGCCTAATTGGTAGGAAACAGTATTACATTGTTTTATTTTGCAATATTCTGACTTCAAGATTGAGCATCTTTTCATTTACCTACCAGTCTTCTTTGTCTAGCAATCAATCTCCACTCAATTGCTCACTTAAAACACTATATCACTATATTAAGTATCTACCATATGCCTGGCATTAATTAGCAGGGTAATAAAAAGAGCTATCAAAACAGACATGGACTCTTGCCTTCCTGGAACTCACCATCTAGTGTAGGAAAAAGAAAACCAAATAATCACAAATACAAACTGTGGTAACATGGAGGACATTAACAGTAATCCATGAAAATTTTTAAAAGGGAGACCAATGTAATTGAAATAGGAGAGTCAGCAAAACCTTTCCTGAAGCACCATTTGCATTTTAACAGATGAGTAGGAATTAACCACCTTAGTATTTTTAAAAAGTGCTCAATCTTGAAGTCAGAATACTGCAAAGTGAAAAGCCTACTGCAGCTATTAAAAAAACCAAGCATCACCACCATCAATATGCCTAAAAGTGCAGAAGTCTTTTCTCATCTTCCATGGAGGTGCGCTAGATGCTCTGGCAGGTAAAAGTATATCATACATATTTTAGGTTTCTTTAATGCAAGCAACAAACATAAAAAATTAGCTTGAGCAAAAAGGAGAAACTGTTGGACTGATGGGGAGCTTCCTGAATCCCAAGGAGAGCTTCAGAAATTGAGCCAGGTCTAAGGACATCAGGAAATAGAAACAAGAACACCATCATGTCAACCTTGTCCTCTCCTACTTCCCATCTCTGGTAAGAAATCAGGTTCCAGGAAGCTCTAGGCCTTTATCTTTTGGCCTAGCAACACAAAAGCCCAAAGTAGGGCTCCTTCCAGCTCTACTTGGAAAAAATTCTGGCAAAGGACTCTGATTAGCTGAACTAGGTCTCATGCCTGCCCCTAAAACTATCAGTGAGCCCCAGGGACATCCTGATTTAGGTTCCTACAGTCAATACAATCAGATTGTTGCAAGAGGAAAAGGGGGAAAATGCTGGGCAAAGACAAGAACTACCACCACACCGCTAACCAGAAGTTATAAGGATTGAATGACAGATGTGAAACACCTAGCACAATGTCTTTAAAGTAGTAAGCATTCAATAAATGGTAGCTATTAACTCACCTGGCTGTGATGAGTTTAGCAGTTAATTCCTCCCTCTTGGTGCACCACTCTTTAATCTTAGCCAAGTTCTGAAAATTGAAAACGACAAACTGACTCCCATTCAACTCAGAAGGCTATTTATTGAAAGAATACAATGATGTTACAAGGATGCATTTCACGTAGCCCTAAAAGGCTGGGTATCCATAAGTGCATGGTTCATGGCTGTTGGGACTAAGAAAGCCTTCTGGTCAATGAGCCACACATATGTCCTGGGCTCCCTCCCTGTCAATGAAGATGTGCTGAGTTTCAGAGTGGTGGCTGGATCTAGGCCAAGCACCAAACACAAACCAGTACTCTCCTTTGGGTCTTCTGGAACTAAGGTTTTATAAACTTCCGTAACAGTGGGGGCAGCACTCAGTTGGTTACAATTCATGCCATTCCTGAAAGTAGTCCACTATGGGGATCCCCAAACAACCAGTAGCATAATGAGTTCCTGACAGGCATCCTAGCCAATCAGTAGGGAGGGTCTGAGTAGAATTACCCATTGTCAAACTATGTATCAGATAATAGAAGCACAGCCTTGGCATTGTGTGTGAGCTAATCATGGTGCACCATAAACAAGGTGTTTTGGATGGTCAGCATCTCAGAAGGGCAGATCTGCCATTGAATATTCCATTTTGCATCACAGAGGAGAGACTAATTGAGCTACACATATTACATTTCAGCCCCCATGCACAATTTTTTCCCTGCAAAGAATGAAGAATACTTGGGTGCTGCTGCATGCCATCCATGATGAGAGAAAGGCAATGAATCCTGCTATGTGGCATGCAAAGAATCCAGTAGGAAAGGTTCACCATCAATACGACCAATATCTTGCCCCATGATTCATATTTAGGGCTGGGAAAATTTATCTATCTTTGGGAGGCAGCTCTTGTGTAAAAGGAATCAATGTCCAGTTGTGCCCAAATTGGTCTGCATGGTCAATGTCAACACACCAACAAAGGTTCTGGAAGTTCCTTTAGGATAGCCCATGGGAGTCATTAGGGGATGGAGCAGGCCACTGAAGCTTAGCTGATGCTTTACTAATAGAAAAGCATTATACAACTAAAATAAATTGATGTGTGTGTGTCTTGCTCTGTTGCTCAGGCTGGAATGCAGTAGTGTGATCTCAGCTCACTGCAGTCTCTGCTCCCGGGTTCCAGTGATCCTCCCACCTCAGCCTCCTGAGTAGCTGGGACTACCACTGCATGCCACCATGCCCAGCTAATTTTTGGATTTTTTTTTTTTTTTAAAGAGATGGGGTTTCACCATGTTGTCCAGGCTGGTCTTGAACTCCTGGGTTCAAGCAGTCTATCTGCCTTAGCCACCCAAAGTGCTGGGATTACAGGTGTGAGACACCATACCTAGCCAAGTTAATTTTTTTAATGGTGAAATCTTTTCTTTGCACATAAAATGAGCCAGTGCATGTTGCTTCTCTGAGTACAAGGCAAAATTTATGGCAATGGGCAATTAGACTTAACTTTTCTGCAAGAAAATTAACGGGAAAATTCTCCTCTTAGTTTTCTGTTGTTTTCCCATTGATCTGATACTGTAGGCTTAAGAAAGTGCTTTTTCATGGGCATGCCATAAAAAGTACAATAAGGGGACTTAATAGTTCTGTGAAACTGGCATATGTTAGCTGAAAGTATAATTGTAACTGGGAAAAGGGGAAAAAAGTCACTAGTAGTTCAACCATCTACAGTTTCTGTTAAATTGTGGTTTGTAAGCCTCCAAGAAGTTGCTTTAAATAGTTTGTGATAAATTTGCATACATTTTGCTCCCACTTATACTTTTAAGAATTCTCAAAGTGTCCAACCCATAGGTGCCCATTAAATGTTTGTGTATCTGATACATCTTAAAATTTATTTTAAAGCCCTCTGAGTCCAAAAATAACCTTTTCACTGGCAAGGCCATGGGGCCCCAAATCCAGGAAACCTGCATTTTTAACCCAGCTTTACCCTTATAGGCTGTATCATACTGTGGAAACCACTTCACATCTTTGGCTTTCAGTCTTCATCTGTACAATGAAGTGGTTGGGCTAGTTGATCTAATTCTTTGAATGGTGACTTCCTGGAGTTGGAACTGGTTTCCATGGTGAAGTTAATGTAAGAGCTGCAGTTGAGTGCAGTTGTCAAGCAATTTTTAAAATGGGTTTTGGTCATTACTGCAGGAATTTGCTTTTTAAAAAAGCTGTTGACATTGGGGGTCACAAGTCAAGATGTTGAAACTTGATGATATCCTGCATACATATATTCAAAAGCAAAGTCCAACATACAGGCATATCATCCCCAACCAGCTACATACATGTAGCTGTTTTTACACTAGTCTGTAATCAGATCTGAGAATGTGTCTTTATGTTAAAAAAAAAAAATCTGTCTACTGGCAGTTTTCTCCACACACAACGTATAAACACACACGTAATTCATTACATTCCCAAGCTCTCTAAGAATCCTCTGATCCTGAATCAGAACATTTTAGCTAAAGCATTCTGCAAATTCCTTAATTTCACGGTTCCTAGAGTTTATTTCGAGTATGAATTCTCTGGTGTTTAGTAAGAGCTGAACTTCGGCTGAAGTTTTTCCCACATTCCTTACAAGAATAGGGTTTTTCTCCAGTATGAATTCTCTGATGATCATGCAGGTTGGTTTTTTTTCGGAAGGCTCTCCCACATTCATTACATTCATAGGGCTTCTCTCCAGTATGAGTTCTCTCATGCTGAATGAGAGATGAACTTTGACTAAAGGCTTTCCCACAGTCAATACATTCATAGGGTTTCTCTCCAGTGTGGGTTCTCTCATGTTGAGTAAGCGATGAGCGTCGACTAAAGGCTTCTCCACACTCATTACATTCATAGGGTTTCTCTCCAGTATGAATTCTGTGATGCTCTATGAAACTTGTACTCCTTTTGAAAGCTTTCCCACATACATTACATTGATAGGGTTTCTCTCCAGGATGAGAAATAGCTTGCTGACTAAAAGCCTGCTCACAATCATAGGGGTTCTCTGCAGTATGGATCCTCTGATGGTCAGTAAAGTCTGTAATGTGACTAAAGTCTTCCCCACAGTCATTACAATGGTAGGATTTCACTTCGGTAAGAGTGCTTTCATCTTGAGTGAGAGATGTGCTGTGCTTGAAATCTATGCTGTAGTTACTGCTTTGGTAAGGTTTGCCTCTCTTATGAATCCTCATATGTTTATAAAGGGATGGGCTCTGACCAAAAGCCCTCCCACATATGCTACATTCAAAAGGTTTCTCTCCAGTATGAGTCCTCTCATGTTGGACAAGGGAAGAACATCGACTAAAGGCTTTCCCACATTCCTTACACTGGAAGGGCTTCTCTCCACTGTGTGTGACCTCGTGTTGAGTGAGGGATGTGCCATGCCTAAAGGACCTCCCACATAGATTACATCGATAGGGTTTCTCTCCAGTGTGAATTCGCTGGTGTTGAACAAGGGAGGAGCTGCGCTGGAAGGCTTTCCCACAGAGACTACACTGATAGGGTTTCTCTCCGGTATGAGCATTCTCATGCTGACCAAGAGATGAGCTATGCCTGAAGGCCTTTCCACATACATTGCATTCAAAGGGTTTCTCCCCAGTGTGAATTCTCTGATGCTCAGTAAGCTGTGTCTTCCAGAGAAAGGTTTTCCCACAGTCGGTACATTCATGGTGTTTCTTTCCAGGATAAATTCCTTGATCTGTTCCATTAGGGAAAGCTCCCTCTCCTTTATGTGTTTTCTCATGTTTAGTAAGCGATGATCTATGAATAAAGGCTTTTCTACATTTATCACACTTATAGGGTTTCTTTTTTGCAAGAATATTATTCTCATTAAGTAAGTCTGCATTATGTCCCAAATTGCTTCCAAGGGTCTCACATTCACTAGGCCTTATTCTTGCAGGAATGTTCAGTTGTGTAACCAAATTGGTGTTCAATCTAGAATTTTCACCAAATTTATTTTGCTCAAAATTTTCTTGTGGTGTAATTATTTTCTTCTGGGTGGATGCCTCTGATCCCAGATGTCTCTTCCAGTTTTCCTGTTGCCTGTCTAACTGGCTGCTAACATCCCAGGAGTCTTCTAATGTAGCATGTAAGAGATCATGTGTGCAGTGGGATACTTCTGATACATCCTGCTGCAAATGTGATGATTTGACTTCAGGCCTGGTCTTCCAGTCTGAAAGAAATCCAAAGTACAAAAGTCCCCTATTCCTTCCTGTTGAAATACACTGCTAGAGTAGGAATGAAGAAAGACATATAAGTTACATATGACTCTGTTTTGAAATTACTCCTGTATCCTGAGAAGACGACCCAAAATGGAGAAAAGGAAAAGTGAAGAAATGATAGCAAAGACTGCAGATTCAGAGTATGTGGTAAGTCCAGAGAATGAGGAAAGCCCATCTAGGAGGGTTGGTTAGAAAATAAGGAAATAAGTGAGCAGGACTGTGTTAGGCACAGATACAAATGGAACAGGATCACAGCCCATCTTAGGATCCTATATGCTCTCCATGCCTCCTATCCTTTTATAAACCACCACAAAATCTGTCTTCCTAATATATCCATTTCATAATTTCTTTACTGTCAACTCTCAGGTTCCAGGTCTCCAAATGCTGCAGAGAAAATCTGTACCCAGTGATACAACTGAAAAGATTATTTGAAATACTGCATTTTCTCAGTTTGTAAAGTATAACCCTTGGAGATCAAGGAGGTCCTTGATCAGGAGGCAAATCATCTTTGTCTTTACAACTGGTACTGTGGTTTTCATCTATTTGAGCTCCGGTTCTACACTAATTACCTCCTTTGACCAAAAAATTTATTTCAATCTGGCTAATAAATTGATCTTTAAGTCCCTGTTTTTACTTCAGAACACTGATACAAGCAAATTGATTTTTAGGGTTTAAGAACGATAACCTTTAAAAACTAAGGGCAGAGAGCTTTTTGGAGTGATGGAAATGTTCTATGTCAATAGGAATTTGGGTTAGGCAAGTGAATGCATTTGTCAAAACCAACTGGATGGTACATATAAGACTTGTACATTTCACTGCATATAACATTTTCTTTTAAAAACTGAAAAAAATTGAATTCTAGTTAACGACATACATACTAAAAGTGTAGGGGTGAAATGTAATTATGCCTGCAACTTACTTGGAAATGCATCAAAAAGTAAGATGGATTGATAGATGGCTAAAGAAATACATGATAAAGCAAATAAAACACATGTTAACAAAGCAAATAAAATAACATGTTAACAACAACAAATGTGATAATCTTGGTGGTAGGTATGTGGTATTGACTGTAAAATTTTTTTCAACTTTCCTATTTGAAAATGTTCCTAATAAAATGTTGAGAGAGGAAATCACAATAAGACCCTAAATCCCCAAACTCCTTACCCTGCAATAAGAATCAACTCAACTCCTGAGGACAGAGAATGCCTTGTAATTTTTTTAAGAATTGTTCTCAGTGGGACATGCAAAAAATGCTTGTGGAAATGATTAAATGAGAAAAGTTTTCTTGCTAACCAGATTTCTTACTGATCAGTCAAGTATGTTCTGATTGCTTTCTATATGCTCTGCCACACAGATAAAATATATTAAAATACCATAATAAACAGAGCTTGAAGAGAAACAAGACAATCTTTTGGCAACTAGAAAAGGGTAAAACCATCAGATGGCATATTATTAAATCTGAGTTTTTATAGTGTAGATGATATAAATGATATTTGTTGTCAGGAAAGGAAGAAATAAATATTAGTATATATCACATCTCATGGATTAGATAGATTTTGAACTCAAAGAACAAATGGCTTTGGATAGGCAGAATATATTGCCTAATGAGGAAAAAGATATGCTGCATACAGAGAATATTAAGAGAAGTTCAACCTAAGGGGATCTGTTTTAGCAGGAATAGAAGGATAATACTGGAAGTACGATAGGGAACTTTTAAATCAGGGAGTTTCTATTTTCTATAGTAAAGTACAGAGAGTAATAGCAATGGTTTGTCAGAAATTTTAAGAAGATAAAGCATTAGGCTGGGCGCAGTGGCTCATGCCTGTAATCCCAGCACTTTGGGAGGCCTAGGTGGGCACATTGCCTGAGCTCAGGAGTTCGCAACCAGCCTGGGCAACACGGTGAAACCCTGTCTCTATTAAAATACAAAAAATTAGCCGGGCATGGTGGCGTGTGCCTGTAGTCCCAGCTACTCAGATGGCTGAGGCAGGAGCATTGCTTGAACCCGGGAGGTGGAGGTTGCAGTGAGACGAGATCATGCCACTGCATCATGCCATTGTACTCCAGCCTGGGTGACAGAGTGAGATTCCATCTCGGAAAAAAAAAAGAAGATAAAGCATTAAAATCCAGTGGCTGGGCATGGTGGCTCAGGCTTGTAATCCCAGCACTTTGGGAGGCTGAGGTGGGATGAACATATTAGGCTAGGAGTTTGAGACCAGGCTGGCCAATAGCAGTTTAGTAGAAACCCCATCTCTACTAAAAATACAAAAACTAGCCAGGCGAGTTGGTGCGTGCCTGTAGTCCCAGCTACTTGGGAGGCTGAGGCATGAGAACTGCTTGAGCCCAGGAGGTGGAGGTTACAGTGACCTCAGATCACAGCCACTGCATTCCAACCTGGGTGACAGAGTGAGATTCTGTCTCAAAATAAATAAATAAATAAATAAATAAATAAATAAAATCCAGTGTGGTTCAGCAACTGATGAATAACAAAATGTGATATATCCATACAATGGAATATTCCTCAATGGTAAAAAAGAATGATGTACTGATACATGCTAGAACATGATTGAACCTTGAAAACATCATGCTAAGTGAAAGAAGCCAGTGCCATATTATATGATTCCATTTATACAAACTATCCAGGATATACAAATCCATAGAAATAGAAATTAGATTAATGGTTACCAGGTACTGAGAGGAGTGGGGAATGGGGAGTAACTGTTAATGGGTATGACATTTCTTGCTGGTGTGAGGAAAATGTTCTGAAATTAGATAGTGTTGCTGTTTGTACAACTATCTGAATATATGAAAAAACCACTGACCTCTATGCTCTAAAGGGGTGAATCTCATGGTATGTGAATTATACCTCAATAAAGCTACAATTTTAAAAATCCATTTGATTTATAAAAAGAAAAAACAGAGTGAGCTATTCCAACTGGAAATTATAGCAATCTAAATCTGGGACCTCAGCAGTGGCTCACACCTGTAATCCCAACACTTTGGGAAGCAAAGGGAAGAGGATTGCTTGAGCCCAGGAGGTCAAGGCTGCAGGGAGCTGTGATAGAGACACTGCACTGCACCCTGGGTGACAGAGCAAGACCCTGTCTCAAAATAAAAAAATTAGGCTGGTGTGGTCACTCATGCTTGTAATCCCAGAACTTTGGGAGGCCAAGGTGGGTGGATTGCTTGAGCTCAGGAGTTCAAGACCACCTGGGCAACATGGTGAAACCTCGTTTCTTCCTCACTAAAAATACAAAAAATTAGCCGGGTGTGGTGGCACATATCTATAGTCCTAGCTACTTGGGAGGCTGAGGTGGGAGGATTGCTTGAGCCCGGGAGGCAGAGACTGCAGTGAGCCGAGATCACACCACTGCACTCCAGCGTGGGTGACAGAGTGAGATCCTGTCTCAATAAAATTATTAATTAATTAATTTAAAAATCTGGGCCCTGGTTTACAGTGCCACCAGTAGAAGTTAAAAGGCAAGAAAATCTAAGCTACTTCTCATAGGAAGAAAACAACCTGGGTTGAAATAAAAGACTAAACTAATTAGGGTATCCAGCCTGAGCAATTAAAAATCCTTTGGATTCTAATAGGCAAGGGTAGAAATGAGAAATAGGCAAGGTAGCAAAACATACTGGTGGGGGATGAAAGGTGACGGATTTAGATTTTATGTATTTAATATGAACTATGTGACTTCTGAGAAGGATAAAAGTAACCATGGTACAAATAAGGAAGACTTCTGAGTCTATGGCATAGAATAAAGAGCTGCAACTACCAGGAGGCAGGTACTCTGTTAAGGAGGTAATCAAGAAAGGAGGCTAGAAGGCAGGTTCCTTAAGGCAGGGTCACTTAGGCAGAAAAGCAAGAAAAGCTAAAGACCTAAAGCTAAGCAGCTCTTAACAAGCGAGGAACTGGGAGATGAGGATACTACAGAACTGTGGAGGGAGGTAATGAGTCAAAGCAGCATGAACATGAGATGGAAGGAAGATGGTGGCAAGGCACATAGTCTGAAGGCAGGTTATCAAGGGAGAGAGAATCAAGGAAGGCTGTGGGTGTTTCCTACAAGTCTGGGGCATCTGACAGTGAAAGCAGCAAGACTAAACAAGGAAAAGATGGGGGAGATCAACACAACAAAGAGATACGGGAGTTCAATTCAGGGAAGAAATATGGGAGTTCAATTCTGAATGAGTAAGAGAAGGGATCTCTAATTAATGAAGGGAATCAGAGGCCACCAGAGGAAAAATAATCCAGCAAGAGCATGAGCACCCTTTTGAAGAGAGACCTACAAGGTGTCGGCCAGGCGATGGCTTCAGCCTCCTATGCAGATCTAGGAGATCGCAAGCCAGCTGCTGGAGGGTATCTCCCCCTCCCTAAGTTGTGCCATTAACTGCATTCATTCCTAATGCCTGACTCTCACTCATTTACCTGGATAGAAAGGTCGTTGGATTTCTCCCTCTGATATCCATGGCTCTTCTCCTTGCTCCAATTTGAAGATCACCTCTGGCTTGGAAACTTGATATCCTGCTCATGGGTAAATACACAAGATTTGGTTGTTTGTGCAAGTGGACAAAGAACCCTCCTAAGGACAAGTCAGTACTAGTCCTTGATCCTCAGGAACTCTGAAGGAAAAAAAAGGTGCAACTTAAGGAGTCATGCAATCAAATTGCCTATTTCCAGTTTTGCAAAATAAAGACCTTTTACCTAAAGAGCAGGCTCAAAACCCCATAAAACTGGGTCCCAATGAGATTAACAAGCTCTGACCCCTGAGCACCCTGGTCACAGTTACCTAAGCTCTGGGCACCACCACTATAGCAACCAAGGAAGGAAAGGCCCATCAGCAGGAAAGACACTCAGAGAAGTGGTCCTTACCAAGAGAAACCAGGTGGCTATAGTTCTCCAGCATCACATCCCTGTATAAGCTCCTCTGAGCAGGGTCGACATGGTACCATTCTTCCTGGGTGAAGTCCACAGACACATCTTTGAATGTCACTGATTCCTGTAAAATCACATTCCTGTTCAACTGGGGATCAACCCCACAAATGTTCTAAGGCAATGCTGGGAACATACTGCAGGAGCTATCAGAAGTGGTGATCACACATTTGTTAGATTGAGGAGGCAATGTTGGGTTACATAAACTTATTGTTTACATAATTTTGTAAAGGATCTAGTATGTCAGGCAGGAAAGTTATGAGGGGCAATTTGTCCTGCAGACCTGTATTGCTACCTAGCTATCTTCTTGGTTTCTTTCAAAGCCAAGCCTTTTTATACAATCACCAAGTCATTGCTGCCTATTCACTTTCTTTGTTACAAAATCCAAATACAGTGGGTAGTAAAAAGTGATGACCTTCTTTCACCACCATAACCAATCCCACTTTACTTTCAGAAATAACCACTCTTAATAGTTTGGTGTATACACAAAGTCCCTTGTTCATGTTTATTAACACCCCACCCACCCACTTAACCATACTCACACCCCAACACAGAATCTTGTTTTATGAAATACCATACATATTGTTCTACAACTTACTTTTTGATTTAGCTATGTATCCTAGAGATCTTTGCATAGTGGAATAATTGCACCTTATTGAACTGCTTCATAGTACTCCACAGTACACCTGTATCACAGGTACCCACTGATTAAAACCAACAACACCTCGCCGTATTAATAATAAAATGCGACAGGGCACGCGGGTGGTTCACACCTGTAATCCTAACACTTTGAGAGGTCAAGGCCGGCAGAACGCTTGAGCCGGTTCACTTCCTTTGTTACAGGAGCCCAAGAGTTTGAGACCATCCTAGGCAATAGAGCAAAACCCCATCTCTACAAAAGATCAAAAAATTAGCCTGGCATGGTGGTGTGTGCCTACAGTCCCAGCTACTCAGGAGGCTGAGCTGGAAGGATCACTTGAGTACAGGAGGCAGAGGTTGCAGTGAGCCATGATCATGCCACTGTACTCCAGCCTGGATGACGGAGTGAGACTGTCTCAAAAAAAGAGAGTAAAATGCAATTCCCTCATGGCTCACCAGGCTGTCGCATGCTGATCTTGATGTTCCTTGACTACATCAAACTTGTTCCCAGCCCTTTTGTTATTCCCTAGCCTCCTGCATGTCCACATGGTTGACAACTAGTTAACCAGTTATTCAGGCATCATCTCAAGCATGGCCTCCTCGGGAAGGCTGTCTTAGCACCTCCACTATCCATCGCATTTTGTGTTTAATTTTCCTGCTAGTCCAGCTATCTCTCACTGCCCAGTTCTTTTCACCTGAACTCAAGAACAGATTCCGAGAAAAAGGACACTTGTGTTTCTAGCAATGATCGGAGATATTAGCTTGTTACCCTATTGTCTGTCTCTCCACTGTAAGTTCCATGGGAACAGGGACTTTATCTTGATCAGTTACATGCCTGGTGCCCAGAACAACGCCCGGCACCTAGTGGGCACTTAAAAAATACTTGCTGAATGAATCAATGAACCAGTCCCTGTCAGCAGGTACTGTGATTATTTCCAGTATTCTGCTATTGTAAACATTACTGTAATAAATATTCTTTGGGCAAACATGCTAGGATTTCTCCTGGCTCGCTAGCTAAAATTACAACGGCTAGGTCAAAGGTCTTTCACTGCCTCATACCCTACTCTAATCACTTTTTCCTCTACCATCCCATGGACACATGGCTGGCTGGCTGGCTGAGGTGCCCCATGCCTCCCAATTGTCAGCTCTGATGCTAGAGAGCTGATTGTCTAGAATCACTTGGCTTTGTTAAACCATGAGTCACCTGTGACCATGGCCTCCTTGAGCTATGTACTTTTGGTTAGGCTTTTTTTTTGGAGACAGGATCTCACTCTCTCACCCAGCTTGGAGTCCAGTGGCTCAATCATGAATCACTGCAGCCTCAACTGCCTGAGCTCAAGTAATCCTCCCACCTTAGCCTCCAGAGTAGCTGGGACTACAGGCATATGCCACCATATCTAGCTAATTCCTGGTTAGACTTCTGTCTCAGAAAGTATATAATAAAGTATGGCAAAGACAATTAGTGCAAAAAGACATCGAAAGCAGAGCTGAGTTAGCTGGAGCAGTGAGGGAAGGTTTCACAGAGGCTTCAGCTTATTCTGTACCCTTCTCTTGTTTGCTTAGGTATAGCTGAACCGATTCACTCAAATTCCTCAAGAGTATCATTCTGTCCTCCCATTTCCCTTAGCTAATTCCATTTCATACTTCAGGTGCCAGTTAGCAGATCTCCAGTGAAGTCTTCTGATCCCCCACTGGAGAGTCAACCTCCCTATCATGTGCTTTAAACCACTCTGCACACCTACCATTATTCAAACAAACCTACTCATCTATTTAATGCTTGTTTTCCTAGTTAAATGGTACACATTATGAGGGCAGGGATAATACTTTTGGTTGTTTTTGAAATTCTACAACACCATTGTCCAGCAAGTACCTGACTCACACTATATCTCTGTTTCCTGAATGAGTTGAGCCTTAAGGAGATGGATGACATTTGAATATTAAAGAAGGCAGGAGTGGCCCCTTCTACTGAGTGAGGTGCATGACCACATCCACACACCATACTGGCTCCTCTGCCCCATATTTCTGTTCAACACTTGGCTGTGTCCCTGCAGGAACAGGGGAGGGATGAAACTGGGGCCATTTTTCTGATCAAGGTTAGAGATTTGACAGACTAGATATTTACAAGGTGCCTGGATTTACTATATACACTGTGGCAGACTAAAAATGCAAAAGAAAAACACTGCAGTCCTTGAATACGGTTCAGTTTATTTTAAAAGCGTTATTTATTAGAGCACAATATGAGACAATACACAGTAAGGTGAGGTGCTGCAGGCGCTCAAAGCACAAAAGATTGGGAGAGGGAGAGAACACTTCAAGGTAGGCTCTGTACCAGGTCCTAAGAGGTAAGTGCCACCTGCATGGAAGAAGAAAATGTGGGAATCCAATCCAGGGACTGGGAAGCTTGAGAAGGGAGGCTGGTCTTGGGAGAGGCATGGCCAGCAAGGATAAAGGGGTTGGACCAGCCATTTTGAGATAAGTGGTGAGAAGTAAAACCTTCTCCCCACTGCCTACTCTACCCTCTAGACATATTGTCTCTTCGGTTTAGTAATAGTCATTGCCCAACCAGGACTCCTTTGCTTAACTGGTTCCTCATATTTAACATATGGCCTCCTGGTTTATTTTGTTTTATTTTGTTTAATAGAGATGGGGTCTCACTATGTTGCCCAGGCTGGTCTCAAACTCCTGGGCTCAAGTGATCCTCCCACCTCGGCCTCCTAAAGTGCTGAGATTACAAGTGTGAGCCTCTGAGCCTGGCCGGCCTCCTGGTTTCATTCTGCTTTCCCAAAGAGTCTGCACTCAAGGTGAAGAATGTGCTAACCAGCAAGCAAACGTCTGCTCCAAGCCACTCATAACTTCTTGCCTTGACAGGGCAACCACTGGCCTCTGTTCTTTAACTCTTGATCCCAATCCCCTTTTTCTCCCCTGGGCACTATCAGAGTTACTTCAAAACACAAATTTGATCATGTTCACAAACACTTCACTGCAGCCAGGCTGAGTGGCTCATGCCTGTAATCCCAGCACTTTAGGGGGCTGAGGCGGGTGGATCACCTGAGGTCAGGAGTTCAAGACCAGCATGGCCAACGTGGCAAACTCTTTGGGAAAGCGGAATGAAACCGTCTCTACTAAAAATACAAAAATTAGCCAGGCGTGGTGACGGGCGCCTGTAATCCCATCTACTCGGGAGGATGAGGCAGGAGAATCACTTGAACCCGGGAGGTGGAAACTGCAATGAGCCGAGACACCACCACTGCACTCCAGCCGGGGCAACAGAGCGAGACTCCATCTCAAAAAAAAAAAAAACAAAACAAAACACAACCCATAAACCCTTCACTGTCTCCCACTTTTCCCTATTTCTGTCACCCTCACCCTAGTTCGTGTCACCATCTCTTACCTGAACTACTGCTACAACCTCCTAGTTCATCTCTCCTCTCACTCTTGCCCCACCACCCAAGTCCATTTTCCACATTACAACCAGAGAGATCTTGTTAAAATCTGCCAGACTGCTGGGCATGGTGGCTCACACCTGTGATCCTAGCACTTTGGGAGGCTGAGGTGGGAAGATCACTAGAGGCCAGGAGTTCCAGACCAGCCTGGGCAACACAGTGAGACCCCATCTCTAACACAAACAAATTTTTTAAAATTAGCTGGGCATGGTGGCTTGCATCTATGGTCCTAGCTACTTGGAGGGCTGAGGCAGGAGGACTGCTTGAGCCCGGGAGTTCAAGGCTACAGTGAGCCACGATGACACCACTTCATTCTAGCCCGGGTGACAGTGCAAGACCCTGTCTCAAAGAAAAACAAAACAAAACAAAAATCTGCCAGATCAAGTCACCTCTGTTTCAAGGCCTCCAATGGCACCGATTCATTTCAAGTAAAGTCAAAGTCTTTATGGCCGCCTATAGGCACTTCACAATCTGGGTGCCAGCTAGCTCCCTGACTTCACCTCAAGCCTCCTCCCCTGCCTGCAGCTCTCGCCTGCACCCACCCCACCCTCCTTCTGATTCCTGGAAGACACTAAACCTACTTCCTCCCTGGTGCCTGTGTTCCGCCTTTTCCCTTGACTTGAAAGCCTCTTCCTGCATGTACGCCCGTGGCTCCCCACTCACTGGCTTCAGCTCTTTGTTCAAATGTCACCTTATCAGAGCAACCTTCCCTCACCATCCTACACAAAATAGCACCCCATTCTACATTCTCACTGTCTTTTTCACAGCCTTTGCCACCTGACATATCATGTTTACGGTCTATATCCCAAAGCAGAATGTAAACCCCGAGAGCAAGAATACTATTTATTTTCTTTACTGTTGAATCTCCATTGTCTAGAACAGACCTGACATGTAGTAGGTGCTCCACAAATATTTAATACATTTTTCTTTTGAGACAAGGTCTTGCTCTGTTGCCCGGGCTGGAGTGCAGTGGTGCAATCATAGATCACTGCAGCCTTGACCTACCGGGCCTAGGCAATTTTCCCATTTCAACCTCCTAAGCAGCTGGGACCACAGGTGTGTGCCACCATACCTATTTTTTTTACTTTTGTAGAGATAGGGTTTCTCTATGTTGCCCAGGCTGGTCTATGAACTTATGGGCTCAAGCAGTTCTCCTGTGTCAGCCTCTCAAAGTGCTGGGATGACAGGTATTAGCCACCATGCCTCATCCACAAATATTTAATAAATATTTGTCTTGAGATTAAAACTTAGATTCCTCAGTGTGAGCTTCAGAGCCCTTCATGGCCTAGTCCCCTGGGGACCTCCACAGCCCCCACTCTGGCTTCTCCTCCCCTCAGACACTAACATTTGGCCATGCAGAAGAGTTACAGCTCCTTGAAACCAGAACGTTCTTTCACCTCGGCAAGCGTTACTTCAAGCGCTCAGCCTTTCTTCCTCGGCTTGGCTAAGGCTCACTCTTCACTCTTCACCAAGACTTGGTCAAGTTCTCTCCTCTGGGGCCCCATTCGTACCCCAGGTCTGGGCTGTGTCCCCCTCCCATCCCAGCAGCTCTCCTCCCTGGGCCTCTCTCTAGCACAGCTCATAAGACACTACTACATTCAGGTGTCTGTTACCCAGTGGTCACTCCTACCAAACTGTGCTCCTAGAAGGTCAAGACCTTGGCTCAGGCACCTTCAAATTTCCAGAGGCGAGAACCAGTTTGGTACATAACAGACAATCAAAAGTTTGCCGGAGTAAATAGGTAAAATGCACTCTTGGTGGAAGTTAGTCACTCTGAGTCAGATCAACTTCAGGGCATCTCATGCTACAGGTCACACCTTGAACCCTAATAAATGATCCAGTAACACCTTGCAGATAGCTGCTCATCCTTCTTCCAGATGTAACAGGACTTCATCATCAACCCCTTTTAAAAACTAACAAAGCAGCCAGACGCAGTGGCTCATGCCTGTAATCCCAGCACTTTGGGAGGCCAAGGCGGGTGGATCACGAGATCAGGAGATCGAGACCATCCTGGCTAACACGGTGAAACTCCCTCTCTAATAAAAATTTAAAAAAAATTAACCGGGCACGGTGGCGAGCGCCTGTAGTCCCAGATACTGAGGAGGCTGAGGCAGGAGAATGGTGTGAACCTGGGAGGCGGAGCTTGCAGTGAGCCGAGATCACGCCACTGCACTCCAGCCTGGGTGACAGAGCCAGACTCTGCCTAAATAAAAAAACAAAAACAAAAACCAAAAAGCAACGAACAAAGTTATTAAGAAGTATCACATGTTCCAGACAGGTGCAGTGGCTCATGCCTGTAATGCTACCACTTTGGGAGGCCAAGGCGGGTGGATCACCTGAGATCAGGAGTTTGAGACCAACCTGGCAAAACCCTGTCTCTACTAAAAATACAATTAGCTGGACGTGGTGGCGGGCACCTGTAATCCCAGCTACTTGGGAGGCTGAGGCAGGGAGAATTGCTTGAACCCAGGAGACGAAGTTTGCAGTAAGCCAAGACTGTGCTACTGCACTCCAGCCTGGGCAACAGAGCAAGATTCCGTCTCCAAAAAAAAAAAAAAAAAAAAAAAGGATCACATGTTCCCTTTCCTTATGCTGACATACAAGGATCTTGGCCAAATGGTTGAGCCCAAAGCAAGGAACTAGGAACAGCATATACTAAGTTGAGAAGACTCAATTTCATGGGCTCCTAAAAAGCTCCATAATGAATAAATGCATAATATCCTTGAGTAGATCTCACACCTCCTGGAGATCCAATTACCTCATCAATAACATGAGTTCCCTGAACTACAGAAATAAAGAGTTTTATGAGCAGATGGGGTGAAAGGGCACTTCCAGAAAGGACATGTACAAATACAGTTTGCCCAATCAGAAAACATCACATTTACGGCAATACAGTGTGGTATCTCCACTTAAGCACTAAGTGGCCTCTGATACCAGATTGATCATAGTTTAACAAGCCGATAGTTGACCGTGTAACTAACAATGGTGTACAGAGAGAAGAACATCACTGTCAACCTTTGCACACACACAGATTCCTACTGCATCACCATCTGCAGTATTGAAGACTGGAAACCTGGACCTCCTCCTTGACTCTTCATTTTTCCTTTATGCCTTGCAGTCACCAAAAGCCTCAGAAATGTCTCCTGAATTCAGTCCCTTGCCTTCATCCTTCAAATCCAGCTGAAATCCTCCCTTGCTAATGACAGCATTAATCCAGGGAATGGCAATCTACAGCCACACAGTCTAATATGGCAGCCACTGGCCACATGTGGCTATTCATTATGTTTTTAAATTAAGGATTTAGATGTTCACCCAATTACAAACTGGTTTTAAATGCTAGGAGGAAAAGAAAAAGAGCAGACAAACTTAAAAGTCACACTTGCAATGTAGCTAGTCCAAATGGGCATGTGTGATTAAGCAAAATACACACTGGGCCAGGCGCAGTGGCTCACACCTATAATCCCAGCACTTTGGGAGGCTGAGGTGAGTGGATCACCTGAGGTCAGGAGTTTGAGACCAGCCTGGCCAACATGGAGAAACCTAGTCTCTACAAAAATACAAAAATTACCTAGGTGTGGTGGCACATGCCTGTAATCCCAGGAGGCTGAGGCAGGAGAATGGCTTGAACCCAGGAGGCGGAGGTTACAGTGAGCCAAGATTGCGCCACTACACTCCAGCCTGGGCGACAGAGTGAGACTCTGTTTCAAATAAATAAAATAAAATAAAATACACACCGAATTTCAAAGATTTACTATCAAGGAAAGAATGTAAAATGCCTCATTAGTAATTTTAAAACATTTATCACATGTAGAGATGATAATATTCTGGATATATTGTTTTAAATAATATTTATTACTAAAATTAATTTCACCTGTTTCTTTTTATATTGTAGCCACTAGAAAACTTAAAATTACACATGGAATGTGTATTTCTTTGGCACACCACCGTTCTACATTGTTCTAGGTCTCCACCTCAGGCCATCTTTCTCTCAAATGCTGCCTCCTGTCATATACCCAAAGCTTCTGCCACATGGACTCTTTGGCCCAGTAACAACATTTTCTTTTGTGTTTCTTTGCCTTTATACATCCTATTCTGACCATAATGTACTTTCTTCCCTCAGTTCCACAGGAAAAATTCCTAGTCATCCTTGTAGAACCAGTTCACTGTTCCATTCCCTCCTGAAGCTTCCCCACATCCTCCGTGCTCCCCATCCCCCTTCAGCATTTGGTCCCCATCTCCATTTCAGAACCGTAGCCATCTAGTTACATTTTTCTCCCTCAAGACTTTTTTTTTTTTTTTTTTTTGAGATGGAGTCTTGCTCAGTCGCCCAGGCTGGAGTGCAGTGGCACGATCTCGGCTCACTGCAAGCTCCGCTTCCCAGGTTCACGCCATTCTCCTGCCTCAGCCTCCCGAGTAGCTAGGAGTACAGGCACCCGCCACCACGCCCAGCTAATTTTTTTTGTATTTTTAGTAGAGACGGGGTTTCACCATGTTAGCCAGGATGGTCTTGATCTCCTGACCTCGTGATCCACCTGCCTCAGCCTCCCATAGTGCTGGGATTACAGGCATGAGCCACCGCGCCCAGCCAAAAATTTCTTAAACTCCTTTTCATTTCAGTATCTCTGACACTGCAAGTGGAGAGTGTCCAGAATCACCTGGGCAGCTTTTCTAAATTGTCCATGCATGGAGGGTCTTGCCCAGCATCTTTTAAAAGCTCCTCAGGTGGTTCATTATCAAAGAGCAACAGCTCAGATTTCTTGAACACTCGCTGCTAGGCAAACACTAAACTCAGTCATTTACGTGCACTCTCACCACATTTCCTCACTGAAGCCTTGTCACCACCCCAGAGGAAGCAGGCACCACTTCCTGACTGGTTCTGAAGCATGACCCTGGTTAAGAACCACTGCCTGGCATAGAGCAAGCATTCCAAACACGTCTGCTGAGTGAATGGATACAGAATCTGGGTAATTCTCAATGCAGGAAAATGAGGAGTTGTTTCGAGGATTAAAAAAAAACACATGGGTTAGTGAATTAAATTCTTGGATTATAAAAAACAGAGGCAAACAGAAAAACGATGGCATTAACAGCCAAATCTAAGGCTGGTTCCTCTTAAGCACCAGCCAAATAGAAAAACCTCTGATAAATCGAGTAAGAAGAAATTTTTAAAAGATGAACTTAAAGATAGGAGGATAAGGCTGGGCACAGTGGCTCATGCCTGTAATCCCAGCACTTTGGGAGGCCGAGGCGGGCGAATCACCTGAGGTCGGGAGTTCGAGACCAGCCTGACCAACATGGAGAAACCCCATCTCTACTAAAAATACAAAATTAGCCGGGTGTGGAGGTGCATGCCTGTAATCCCAGCTACTCAGGAGGCTGAGGCAGGAGAATTGCTTGAACCTGGGAAGCGGAGGTAGCGGTGAGCCGAGATTGCGCCATTGCACTCCAGCCTGGGCAATAAGAGCGAAACTCCGTCTCAATAAAAAAAAAAAAAAAAAAAAAAAAAAAAAAGGAGGATAAACAGAACAGTGAAATATACACACTAGTGTGTTAAGAAATGCAAAAAATCTTAACAAAAAACTTTTAAATTCTAAACTACCAATGTTTACACAAAAAAGCAGAAACCTTTATAATTGAGGAGGAAATAGAGAAAATTGTTGCCAAAACATCTTGTCTATAAAAATCCTGAGTCTAAATGTTTTATAGGTAAATTCTTTCAAAAGACAGAAAAAGGTGAAAAGCAATCTGAATGTTTCTACAAATTAAGGATAAGCATGACACCAAAACCCATCCAAGAGAGTGCTTTCTCTCTGGTGGCTATTTCCCTTAGTAATACAGATATTAAAAAATGATCAACTGGGCCGGACACGGTGGCTCACACCTGTAATCCCAGCACTTTGGGAGGCTGAGGCAGGTGGATCACTTGAGGTCAGAAGTTCGAGACCAGCCTGACCGACATGGTGAAACTCCATCTCTACTAAAAAATCAAAACTAGCCAGACATGGTGGTACACGCCTGTAATCCCAGCTACTTGGAAGACTGAGGCAGGAGAATCGCTTGAACCCAGGAGGCAGAGGTTGCAGTGAGCTGAGATTGCCCTCTAGCCTGGGCAACAAGAGCAAAACTCTGTCTCAAAAAAAAAAAAAAAAGAGAGATCAACTGTATTTTGAAAAACTTATGTATTACAACCAAGTGGAATTTTATCCCAGCATTATGTATAATAGTAAAAATTTCAGAAACAACCTAAATGTTCTCTGAGAAATGGCTAAATAAATTTTGGTACATTCATACAAAGCAATATAATATAGTCATTAAAACTGATTTTAAACAACAACAAAAATAATCCTCATAAAATTTATATGAAATTTAAAATACATTGTAATTAAAAATGTTTAAGGGGAAAAATATGCATAAGGAGAAAAGAAAATTCACCAAAACAAATACAGAGGTCCTAAGGAAGAGGGATCATAAATGACTTTTTTCTATTAAAAAGTCTAGATTATTAAGCAAGTAATACCCAGAATATATAGAGAACTCCTAAAAATCCAACAAAAAACAATTCAAAAATGTGCCAGGAACTTGAATAAACATTTCTCCAAAGAAGATACACAAAGATGTTCAAGAACACTAATTATTAGAGAAATGCAAATCAAAACTACAATGAGATATCACCTCACACTGGTTAGGATGGCTACTATCAAGATAAAACAGAAAATAACAAGGGTTGGGGGGATGTGGATAAATTAGAACCCTTTGTGCACTGTTAAGAATGTAAAAAGATACAGCTGCTATGGAAACAGTATGGTGGTTCCGGAAAAAAATTACCGTATGACCCCGCAATTTCTCTCTGGGTATATAACCAAAAGAATTTAAAGTCAGGTCTCAAAGAGATATCTGTACCCCCACGTTCAATAGTTCAATGCCTCATGTTCATGTTCAGTGCCATAGCAGCATTATTCACAATAGCTAAACATGTAAACAAAGCAAGTGTCTATCAATGGATGAATGGATAAGCAAAATGGAATTGTATTTAGCCTTAGAAAGGCTTTTATTTTAAAGCACTGTATTCAGCCTTTAAAAGAAAGTTCTGATATATGCTACGACTTAGATGAATCTTGAAGACATTATAATAAGTGAAATAAGCCAGCCACAAAAAGATATACTGTGTGATTTTGGCCAGACGTGGTGGCTCACGCCTCTAATCCCAGCACTTTGGGAGGCTGAGGTGGGCAGATCACTTGAGGTCTGGAGTTCGAGACCAGCCTGGCCAACATGATGAATCCCTGGCTCTACTAAAAACACAAAAATTAGCTGGGCGTGGTGGCGCATGCCTGTAGTCCCAGTTCTCAGGAGGCTGAGACAGAACCGCCTGAACCCAGGAGGCTGAGGATGCAGTGAGCCGAGATTGCACCACTCACTCCAGCCTGGGTGACAGAGCAAGAATCCGTCTTAATAAAAAACAAAACAAAACAAAACATACTGTTTGATTCCACTTATATGAGATAGAGTAGTTAAAATCATAGAGATAGAAAGCAGAATGGTAGTTGCACGGGCTGAAAGAAGAAAGAATGAAAAGTTATTGTTTAATGGATTGTAGAGTTTTCAGTTTTACAAGATGAAGAATTTTGAAGATGGGTAGTGGTGATGGCTGCATTACATATGAATGTATTTAATACCACTGAACTGTACACTTAAGATTGTCTTATGTGTATTTTATCAAAATTTATAAAAACTGACAAAGATTATATCAAAGGTAAAAAGTCTCTAATATTATATATGCTCACATACTTTAATAAAATATACTTTGTTTTGAGTCAGAGTCTTGCTGTGTCGCCCAGGCTGGAGTGCAATGGTGCAATCTCAGCTCACTGCAACCTCCACCTCCCGGGCTCAAGCAATTCTCATGTCTCAGCCTCCCAAGTAGCTGGGATTACAGGCGTGTGCCTCCACACCTGGCTAATTTTTGTATTTTTAGTAGAGATGGGGTTTCACTATGTGGCCCAGGTTGGTTTCGAACTCCTGGGCTCATGCAATTCGCCTGTCTCGGCCTCCCAAAGTGCTGGGATTACAGGTGTGAGCCACTGTACCCGGCCATAAGATATACTTTAACAAAAGTAATACAACACGGAAAAGTAAGGAAAAGAATCTTATTTTTGAAACAGTTATTTTTTGAGACGGAGTCTCGCTCAGTCACCTAGGTTGGAGTGCAGTGGCGTGATCTCTGCTCACTAAAAGCTCCGCCTCCCAGGTTCATGCCATTCTTCTGCCTCAGCCTCCCGAGTAGCTGGGACTACAGGCACCGGCCACCATGCCTGGCTAATTTTTTTGTATTTTTATTAGAGACGGGGTTTCACCATGTTAGCCAGGATGGTCTCGATCTCCTGACCTCGTGATCCACCTGCCTCGGCCTCCCAAAGTGCTGGGATTACAGGCGTGAGCCACTGCGCCTGGCTTGAAACAGTTCTTAGAGGAACAGGTTTTGACATCCTAACATCCTAAAGACAAATTTTTTAAAAACTGTTCAGTGCAAATCACATTGTTTCATGTAATCATTTTATCAGAAAATAAAATAGGCTCATTGTGACTGGAAAATATAATTTGTGCTATATTAGTAGCAGAAAGTATAAAATTGCTGCTTGGGCTTAAGTGATTCTGAATGATCATGTTACCTCGTGTTTAGTCTGGGCAAGGGGTTGAAGGGAGGGGTCAAATGGCCTTACTCTGAAAGAGTACAAAACCTGGTACAGAGAAGGCTGGGTAAATGCACCACTCCATTCCATGTAAGAATATTATAATAGGAGTGCATGGGCCGGGCGCGGTGGCTCATGCCTGTAATCCCAGCACTTTGGGCGGCCGAGGCGGGCGGATCATGAGGTCAGGAGATCGAAACCATCCTGGATAACATGACGAAACCCCATCTCTACTAAAAATACAAAAAATTAGCTGGGCATGGTGGCACGTGCCTGTAGTCCCAGCTACTCTGGAGGCTGAGGCGGGAGAATCGCTTGAACCCGGGAGGCGGAGGTTGTAGTGAGCCGAAATCACGCCACTGCACTTCAGCGCAACAGAATGAGACTCCATCTCAAAAAAAAAAAAAAAAAAAAAAAAAAAAAAAAAAAAAGGTGTTCACAGGTGCTATGGGCACACACAGGAGCGGTACCTAACGTTACACGGGAAGGTGCAATCTCAGCTGAGACTTAGAGACCACCTCCTGTCAGCTCAGGCTGAAGCTGAGAAGGGGAACCTCTGGACAGAGGGAGCTCGGACATCCTTGACTACAAACATCCTGACCTGATTCAGCAAGTGGTCTGGTTTCCCCTGGTGGCCCCAGAAGCATCTTGTCTAAGTTTGGGTGACCTAAGCCAGGTTTTGCTGGGTCTGTTCACCCTGATGATCTAACCAGAGCTTCTGTAATCCAGAGTCAACAGAGACCAGGCCCTGACCCCTCCTCCCCATTTCCTCTCTATCAAGGAAATCTCTTCTCTAACATGAAGAGATCTGGTTCTCCATATGAAGCATTTTCCTTATAAAACTTCCCTCATTTCTCTTTTCTGTTTTTTTGTTTGTTTGTTTTGAGATGGGATGTCTCTCTGCTGCCCAGGCTGGAGTGCAGTAGTGCAATCATAGCTCACTGTAGCCTCAAACTCCTGAGCTTAAGTGATCCTCTCACCTCAGCCTCCCAAGTGGCTGGGACTATAGGTGTGTGTGCCACCACACCTAGCTTAAAACTTCTCTCATTTCTTACTGCTCTGGTGGCTTCAACTTTAAGAATGGCAAATGCCTTTTTTGTTTCCTAACTAAAAATGTAGTACACATGTTATGAAAAAGAGGCCAGCCAGTGTGGTGGCTCACACCTGTAATCCCAGCATTTTGGGAGGCCAAGGTGGGTGGATCACTTGAGGTCAGGAGTTCAAGACCAGTCTGGCCAACATAGTGAAACCCCATCTCTAGTAAAAATACAAAAAATTAGCCGGGCGTGGTGGTGCACACCTGTAATCCCAGCTACTTGGGAGGCTGAGGCAGGAGAATTGCTTGAACCTGGGAGGCAGAGGTTGCAGCGAGACAACATTGCACACTGCACACTGATAGAGCAAGACTCTACCTCGAAAAAAAAAAAAAAAAGGGCAGGCCAGACACAGTGGCTCACGCCTATAATCCCAGCACTTTGGGAGGCTGAGACAGGCAGATCATGAGGTCAGGAGATCGAGACCATCCTGGTCAACATGGTGAAACCCTGTCTGTACCAAAAATACAAAAATTAGCTGGGCGTGGTGACACATGCCTGTAATCCCAGCTACTCGGGAGACTGAGGCAGGAAAATAGCTTGAATCAGGGAGGCAGAGGTTGCGGTGAGCCAAGATCACGCCACTGCACTCTAGCCTGGCGACAGAGCAAGACTCTGTCTCAAAAAAAAAAAAAGAAAAAAAGGCAAATAAGGATGTATAATGTTTACATAGACATTGCTACTAACAATCCTATAAATACACAGCTATATCTACGTAAACATTCTAAATGGGTATCCCGGCTCCTCCATCTCTGCTCCTAGTCCCATCCCGCTTCAGGTGGAGCCAGTTCAGGAATTTGTTAACTATGTTCAGGGGAAAGGTCCCACTCATCAAAACACCTCTCTAAAGGAACTATTATCAAATATAATATCAAACTTTTTATCCTAGGATTCATCATTCATGGCAATCTTTTAAAAAATCTATGAAGTTGTATTAGTTCCCTGCCCCAAATCACCAGCTCAAGCTACACTGGCCTCTTTGCTGCTCCTTGAATACACCAGACATACATCTTGCCGCTAGGCTGTTCCCTCTGCCCAGAGCACTCTTCCCCTACACATCTACTCCCTCATCGCCTTCAAGTCTGCTCAGGTGTCACCATCTCAATAAGGATAAGGCTTACCCTGACCACATCATTTTAAATTGCACCCCGACTACAAACCTCCCACCTCCCCACTCAGACCCCCTTACCTTTCTCTACCTTTTTTCCCTCTTGAGATACTACTGCCTTCTAGGATACCATACAATTTATTTATTTACTGAATTCTTCTGTCTGTCCTCTCTAGAATGTAAGCTCCTTGAGAGCAGGGTCCTAATTTTGTTCACTGAAGTTATCCCAACTGCCTAGAAAAGTGCCTGACACATCATAGGGCTCAATGACTACCTGGTGAATGAGTAGATGAATGAATGATGAATGAACGAGTTACAAGGCCAAAAAGAACAAGTCCAAACTCCTTCTATTCTCCTCTACCCACTGCCAGCAGCCCACAGCTGGTGTTACAAAGAAAATGCTTTAATGAACATGCACCGCCATCTTCTTGCCTCCCAACTCCCGATTCACCAAATCAATCAGCTCTACCCTCTCCCTTTTGTTTTTTGGGGTTGGTTTTTTTGAGATGGAGTCTCACTCTGTCACCCAGGCTGGAGTGCAGTGGCAGGATCTCGGTTCACTGCAACCTCCACCTCCCAGGTTCAAGCGATTCTCCTGCCTCAGCCTCCCTAGTAGCTGGGACTACAGGCGCCCGTCACCATGGCTAGCTAATTTTTGTATTTTTAGTGGAAACAGGGTTTCACCATGTTGGCCAGGCTGGTCTCGAACTCCTGACCTCAAGTGATCCGCTTGCCTCCGCCTCCCAAAGTGCTGGGATTACAGTCCCCTTTTGTTTTCACCTGCTTAGACTCTGCTCCTATTCAAAGGTGAAAACTCCACTGACTTCTTCCCACCGGCAGAATGTCCTGGTCCCTCTCAACTCCAAGCAGCCTCTGGACCTCCGCAACAACACTTGACACCAGCTCTCTTGCGCTCTACTTCTGCAGGAGACTGTCTGCTCCCACTAAATTAACTTTACAGTTAAGCAGTCACAGGACTCATTACTAATCTTTGCATTCCCCTGAGGGTCATGCTCAGGGAACCACTGCTAAAGGGAAATTTCTGCCTGAAAAGCCCCGTTTAGGACCAGTGTTCTGTTCTGTCCTTCATCCCTGGTTATCTGCAGCCTGAGTTAGATAACCCACATGGACATCATCAGGCCATTCAATGAGAATGCAACTGAGCCAGGGCGTTCAGGGAACATAGCTTGAAAAGTCAAGTTTACAGTGGTCCTTAAAATTCACTGCTCAGAACATGAATCCACTTTCACCACTAAAAAGGTATCCTCCCACTATGGAAAAGACCAGAGTCCCTGATGAGGTGTTAAGTCATCTAATTCTCACAAGCCTATGGAGGATACTTTGCATGTAAAGGGGATAACGATCATGATGTGCTCTGGCTCTCCTCAAACCAAGTAACTGTCTTGTTTTAGTATTGGCAGGTGTCTTACTCCTTAAGGCTCATCCCTGTAAAAACAGAAACATATAATAAGAAGTATATATATATATAAAAACGCAGGCCGGGCCCGGTGGCTCACGCCTGTAATCCCAGAACTTTGGGAGGTCAGGAGATCGAGACCATCCTGGCCAACATGGTGAAACCCCATCTTTACTAAAAATACAAAAATTAGCTGGGCATGGTGGCACATGCCCAGCTGTGGTGGCTCACACCTGTAATCCCAACACTTTGGGAGGCTGAAGCGAGCACATCACTTGAGCTTAGGAATTCAAATCCAGCCTGGAGAAACCCCATCTTTACAAAAAAAAACAAAAATTAGGCCAGGCGTGGTGGCTCACATCTGTAATCCCAGCACCTTGGGAGGCCAACGTGGGCGGATCAATTGACGTCAGGAGTTCGAGACCAGACTGGCCAACATGGTAAAACCCTGACTCTACTAAAATACAAAAAAATTAGCCGGGTGTGGTGGTGTACACCTGTTAATCCCAGCTACTAGGGAGGTTGAGGCAGGAGAATCACTTGAACCCAGGAGGTGGAGGTTGCAGTGAGCCGAGATCATGCCACTACACTTCAGCCTGGGTGACAGAATGAGACTGTCTCAAAAAATAAAATAAACCAAAAAATACAAAAATTAGCCGGGCATGGTGGCGTGCACCATGGCAGAGGTTGCAGTGAGCCAAGATCATGTCACTGTACTCCAGACTGGGTGACAAGAGACCCTGTTTCAAAAAAAAAAAAAAAAAAGGCATGATGTATTGTATGCTTAATTCACTATAAACTGCTCTTTTAAAGGACATTACTAAGTTGGTGTTTTTATCTTTTAAATTTTTTTTTTTTTTTTTTTTTTGCAGAGACGGAGTCTCACTATGTTGCCCAGGCTGGTCTCAAATTCCTGGGCTTAAACGATCCTATTGCCTCAGCTTCCCAAAGTGCTGGACTTACAGGTGTGACCCACTGTACCTGGCAACTTGGTATTTTTATTTGAATTGATCTTGATGTCTCACACACCTAGCAACTACAATCTGTCATTTTCCCTTAATTCTAAAGAGAATGTAGATTCAAAGATACAGATACCATCTGGATCTTGATGTATTTTCACCAATATGTAAATCAATGGATAACCTTAGAGTTGTGACGCTTCTAGAAAATGCCCCCTCTGCCACAAGAATAAATGGGTTCACGAATCAGCCTCACATTAAGGTGAAGGCTGGACTTCTGGCGGTGGGGAGTGAGTTGCTCTATTACATTTTTGTTAAAGCAGAAAAGGACAGACACAAAAAGCTCTGGGAGAATCAGCCCTGGTTTTATTTTTGGTTGTTTTTTATTTTGTTTTGTTTTTGCCTCCTTGCCCAAGAAAGCCCATCTCCAGCCTCTTCCTAGACATGTTCTAACCAGGCTTCTACGGCCCCTTACGGACTCTCTATGGGCCCTGGGTCAGAAGCTGGGGCTCCTCTCTCCACACTTGCCGACAGTCACTTCCTCCTCTACAGTGTTCCATCCTGTGACCCCACTCTCTCCATTTCTTATTGACAAGAGTTCAAAAAACTGGCGTGGCATTCAGGACTCTCAAAACTGACACTTCCCAACGCATCCAATCTCAACTCCTCCCACAAGATCGCACCACACTGGCCCTCTCTACCCCACAGAGCAGCCTCCCCTTTGGGAATCCAGCTCCCCAAAGCCTGGGGTTTTCCATGGCCAGGAGGCTCCGATCGAGCCAAGCAAGTAAGGGAGTCGCCAGGCAGAGAACAATGACTGCTCCAAACACCCTTGGGAGATGGGATGGATAGATGGATGGGATGCCCAGGAGGTTAGGAACGCGTTGCTCACCTGGGGCGCGGCGGTCGGAGGCCTCGGGGCCATTCCTGCCTCGCCAGGGCCCGGCTCCGGGGCAGGAGCTGGGGAGAAAGGACAGGGCCCACTCACCCCGCTGCAACACCGACCCCACCCCGCCCCGCCCCGCCCCACCTCCGCCCCTAAACCACATCTCCAGGGGAGATGGTGGCGAGGACCGTGGAACCAGCCCGGGCCTGCCGCTCCCCATCCCCGAAATGAAAGGCTCAGCGGCCTCCCGGACACCCCCCTCCGGCCACGCCCAGTCCCCTTCGCAGGGTGGTGGGCGAGGCCCGGCTGACACCCGCCAAACCCAGGAGGGGTCCCGCCCAGACCCGCGCACTCAGAATCACCGCCTCTGGGGGGCTCCGGATTTCGCGACCTCCGGCCCACCCAGAGCCTCGGGCAGCTCCTCCCGCCCCCGCCGAAGCCTCGGTTATCTCCAATTCTGATCTGCGGAGGGGCTGCCCAAAGGGGCCTCAGCCGCACCGGGGTCGGACAATGGCCGCAGCGGTGGGGCAGAACTGGAAGTGCGCCTGCGCACTCGGAGCCTCGCTCCTGCAACCCCGGGTCCACGCCGGGCGCGCGAACTACACTTCCCAGAGGCCCGCGCGCGCAGGCCCCGCCTAGGCGGCTTCCGAAGGCGCGTTAGGGACCCTTGCGAGGGCCGAGGGAGGCGGCCAGTGTGGCTCGAGTGTGCGTGTCCCTGTATTCCAGTCACTGTCCGCCTCCTCTTTGCAAGGGGCTTGTTGCTAGCTGGGGAATCGGCCGGGAAAGACCCTGGTTTCGGGGAGCAATCGTACGCCCCTTTCGACGAGGCTGACGATAAAAACGCAAACATGTCAACAAGATAATGTCAGGTCCTGACTTCAGCGGTAAGAGTGACACAGGAAGGGAGTGAGACAGCGTCAGAGGGTGGGGCATTTACATCTTCTTCAAAAGGCAATTTTCCATTTCTCATTTTAGAGAAAAAAGAAACTTCGGACAAATCCGTGGCCTCCTGAGCAATGTGCAAAGGCAGATCTACTGCCGTGTTATTTCATTACTTCGTATCCCCTTACGCAGGATTTTGTTTGGGACAAGCAAACAATGATGGAAATTTTCTTTTTTTTTTTTGAGACACAGTTTCGCTCTTGTTGCCTAGGTTGGAGTGCAATGGCGCGATTTTGGCTCACCGCAGCCTCCGCCTCCTGGGTTCAAGCGATTCTCCCGCCTCAGCCTCCCGAGTAGCTGGGATTACAGGCATGCGATGCGTCACCAGGCCCGTCTAATTTTGTATATTTAGTAGAGACAGGTTTTCTCCATGTTGGTCATGCTGGTCTCGAACTCGCCTCGGCCTCCCAAAGTGCTGGGATTACAGGCATGGGCAACCGCGCCCGGCCCGATGGAAATTTTCAACACAAAGATAGGTCAACTTTTAGATACAGCTATTACGTTTATGTAATTATGTCTTATATATCACAGACATTCAGGCTACATTTCCTAGATTTCAGCTTGATTTCTTAACATTAGAGCATTGCATACCAACATGGTAGAAAATGACTGCAACGAAATGTTCCTGATGTCACACTGCTTTATCAAAAATATGAACATTCAAAAATAAATGCTTTATGCCGGGTGCGGTGGCTCAAGCCTGTGATCCCAGCACTTTGGGAGGCTGAGGCTGGCGGATCACCTGAGGTCAGGAGTTCGAGACCAGCCTGACCAACATGGAGATAGCTCGTCTCTACTAAAAATACAAAATTAGCCAGGCTTGGTGGCGCATGCCTGTAATCCCAGCTACTCAGAAAGCTGAGGCAGGAGAATCGCTTGAATCTGGGAGGCAGAGGTTGTGGTGAGCCGAGATTGCACCATTGCACTCCAACCTGGGCAACAACAGCAAAACTCCATCTCAAAAAAAACAAAACAAAAAAGGGAGAAAATTTCCATCACTGTTGGCTTGTCCCAAACACAAAATCCTGCGCAAGGGGCTAACAAGTAATGAAATAACACGTCAATAGCACAGGGAGGCTGAGGAGGGAGGAGCCCAGGAATTAAAAGACCAGCTTGGGCAACATGGCAAAACCCTGTCTCTACAAAAAATACAAACATTAACTGGTTGCAATAGTGTGCGCCTGTGGTCCCAGCTACTTGGGAGGCTGAGGTGGGAAGATCGTTTGAACCCGGGAAGCAGAGGTTGTGGTGGGCTGTGATTTCACCACAGCACTCCGACCTGGGCGACAAAGCGAGACTGTCTCAAAAAATATATATAAAAATTAATGAATGCTTTCTATCACTGCTTTGTGAATATAGTGGTCTGGAATTAGCAGAATGCATAATTCACAAGTATGAATTAGAGTGGACCGGGAGGCCTCTCTGAGGCAAGTGACTTAGTAGCTGCAACTTAAGGCAACTGCAGGCTGGGCATGGTGGCTCACGCCTGTAATCCCAGCACTTTGGGAGGCTGAGGGGGGCAGATCACTTGAGGTCAGGAGTTCGAGACCAGCCTGGCCAACATAGTAAAACCCCATCTCTACTAAACATACAAAAATTAGCAGGGTGTGGTGGCGTGCGCCTGTACTCACAGCTACTTGGGAGGCTGTAGCAGGGGAATCGCTTGAACCTGGGAGGTGGGGGTTGCAGTGAGCCAAGATTGCACCACTGCACTCCAACCTGGGTGAGAGATGGAGACTCTGTCTCAAAAAAAAAAAAGCCCAACAACAACAAAACAACTGCAGGTGCATAAGGGGAAAAGAATTCCAGGCTGAAGAAACTGAAGGTGCAAAAGCTGTCAGATGGGAACAAGCTTGGTGTGCTTAGGAACAGATAGATGCCTAATGTACCTTAGCAGAGTGAGGGATAAGAGAGTGAGCAGAGCAGAGGTAGGGCAGGTAGACTGGGACTTGATGGAACAAGGCTTTGGAGGTTGTGATGAGGGGTGTGGATTTTGAGTGTGATGAGAGCCATTGGCTTAGTAACAGCAGTGGAGTCACTTATTACTATGAGAGAATAAGAGGAATTTTTCCTACTGTCCCAGAATTGGTAACCAGGTCTCAAGAGTTGAGGATTAAGTTCTGCATTCTAAGGAAAGATGAAAACATTTGGGGTGAGAACCTCTCAGGTCTTATCAAAGGAAGCTGGGTGCTGAATTCTGAATTTGCTGTTACTATTAACCACTGACGCAATGCCACCCCTCTTTTCCCAGGCTATATAAGAGTATGACGGGAAAGAAAAGGAAAAATCCGTACCCAGGCACAGTGGCCTATAATTCCCACACTTTGGGAGGCTGAGGAGGGAGGATCGCTTGAGCCTAGGCGTTCCAGACCATCCTGGTCAACATAGTGAGACCTTGTTTCTACAATAGTAATAATAATGCCAGGTGTGGTGGCATGCCGGTAGTCCCCAACTACTGGGGAGGCTGAGGTGGGAGAATCAGCTTGAGCTAGGGGAGGTTGAGGATGCAGTGAGCTGAGATCGTGCCACTGTACTCCAGCTGGCGTGACAGAGCAAGACCCTCTCTCAAAAGAAAGAAAAAGAATTCCTTAGACGAGTAAGCCTTCCACCTAGTGCGGAAGGCAGCGTTCACCACCGCTCCTACTTGCAAGATGAATGTGAGAAAGAGCACTCAAACATTGAGCCTACCCAGGAGAGCAGAGGTTTTAAAACCTGCACTGGTACCTCCCAGAGAAAAGGGAAAGAGAACAACGCTGTTTGTAAGGAGAGCAACCTGAATTTCTGCTGTTTGTGTAGAAAGTGCATGTACTGGAAAATAATTGGGCTTTTAGCCCCCAGGGGAAAGGTGCGCAGTTCACAATAGTAAGAGGCTATGGAATTAACTGGGTGTGAGAACTTCAGCTCACACCCATTTGGAGACTGAAGGAAGCTGAAGCAGAGCCGGGTGTTCCAAGTCAGGTATCTATTGGTTTCCTTTAAGGAACTCACAGATGCACTTCTGCTTCTGGGAGTGTGGCTCAGCAACTTTAATGCTGGATAAAATAACTTAAAAATCTTTTAAAATGTATTGATGAGCTAGAAAATTGGTAGGGAATACCGAGAAGCCCAAACCCAAACAAAATGAATAAACTTAGAGAGTAGTAGGCAGAACATGGAACGCTAGCTTTCACCTGGGAATCATTTGCCAAATGAGGCAAACTTGAGCTTTGTTTTTCTTTTTTTTTATTTCAGTCTCCGTAGAGACTGTCAAAAATTAAATTGCCAATGCCTAGTATAGCTCAAGTCATTATGGCAGTGTTGGGAAAAGTTTTCAATTAGCAATAATTGTGCCTCAGATAAACCTCATTGGTTAAGATACTGCCACTGCACAAAGCTAAGAGCTTTGTTTTTCATAGTCCTGTAGGCACAAGAGCCAAGTGACAAAACCCAGACCCCATCCAAAGCAGGGTATCTAATAGGAGACACTCCCCACCCCACCCAGTAAAAATTGGGACTCCATAGATGAATACTCCCATGGTAGAGACTGCAAGGTAAATTACCTGTTTCAAACTTTGACAATGAGTAGGGGCGTTGGTGGATATCTTTCCCGAGAATTTGTAACCAAACCTGGTTCCTATGTGGAATTACAGCCTGTATTCACAGTCCCTGGGTGGTCCAAAAAACTGCAAGCTGAGAATGTAGTTTAAATTGGTTCTCGGCTAACAGTGCTTCCAGGCATCTGGCAGAATCAAACATAAATCCAGTCTGGGAGAACTTACCTTCAGTCCAGGCTTCAAAGAACTTCCCCAGATATAATCCCAAGAAATATGAGCTCACAGCCATGAATCACAAACACAAAGCACATGCATAAAACATGGAACCATGAATGACAGAAAAAATAGTATAATATTCATAACAACCTCAAATATAGGGAGTTGTCAGACACAAAATTTATGATGTCTAATATGTTTCAAAAATTTATTTTATTTTTATTTATTTATTTTTTGAGACAGTCTTGCTCTGTCACCCAGGCTGGAGTACAGTGGCATGATCTCAGCTCACTGCAAGCTCTGCCTCCCAGGTTCACACCATTCTCCTGCCTCAGCCTCTCAAGTAGCTGGGACTACACAGTCACCTGCCACCAAGCCAAGCTAATGTTTTGTATTTTTAGTAGAGACAGGGTTTCACTGTGTTAGCCAGGATGGTCTCGATCTCCTGACCTCGTGATCCACCCACCTCGGCCTCCCAAAGTGCTGGGATTACAGGCGTGAGCCACTGTGCCCGGCTGTCAAAAATTTATTTTAATAAACTAAAGTAGGGGTTGGACATATGAATAAAGAACAAGAGTCCAAAATCTTAAGAACCAAATAGAATTTTAAAAATGGCCGGGCGCAGTGGCTCACGCCTGTAATCCTAGCACTTTGAGAGGCCGAGGCAGGTGGATCACAAGGTTAGGAGATCAAGACCATGCTGGCTAACACAGTGAAACCCCGTCTCTACTAAAAATACAAAACATTGGCCGGGTGTGGTGGCATGCGCCTGTAGTCCCAGCTACTCGGGAGGCTGAGGCAGGAGAATCACTTGAACCCAGGAGGCAGAGGCTGCAGTGAGCCGAGATCACGCCATTGCCCTCCAGCCTGAGCTACACAGTGAGACGCTGTCTCAAAAAAAAAAAAAGAAAGAAAGAAAATCTTTAAGTTAAAAATGTAATGCACATGGTTAATAATAGATTAGACACACCCGAAGATAAAATTAGTGAATAGAAGGTCGATCTGAGGAAATTATCCACAAATGGACAAAGAGATAAAAAAAAGTTTAAAAAAGGCAGAGAGCTATAACAATCTAATCTGGGTTCCAGAAAAAGAAGAGAATTGAGGCAATATTTGAGAAGATAAAGGCTGAAAATTTCCAGAACTGATTAAAGATATAAAGATTCTGGAATCCTGCCACTCCAAGCCAGATGAATAAAAATAAATTTACATTGAAACACATCATAGTGAAACTATAGAACACCAAAGATGATCTTTAAAATCCTAGAGAGAAAAAACAGATTACCTTTGAAGGAATGAAAATTAGAAGATGGCTAGCTGGGCGTGATGGCTCCCAGCTACTCAGGAGGCTGAGGCAGGAGGATGGCTTGAACCTGGGAGGTGGAGGTTGCAGTAAGCTGACATTGCACCATTGCACTCCGGCCTGGGCAACAGAGCAAGACTCTGTCTCAAAACAACAACAAAAAAGGAGAATTAGAAGATGGCAACAATGGAAGACAGCTAGAATTATATCTTCATCAATGAGGATTAAATAGAGGGATTTTTGGAAAAACAAAAAACAGAATGTCATCAACAGAGACTCATTAAAGTTGGGTGTCTTTCAAATGGAAGGAAAATGATTCCACATGCAGTCATATATAGACAAGGAAACAGTGAACAAAGAAAGTGGTAACTCTACCTCCCGGGCACGGTGGTTCACGCTTGTAATCCCAGCACTTTGGGAGGCCGAGGTGGGCGGATCACGAGGTCAGGATTATCGAGACCACGGTGAAACCCCATCTCTACTAAAAATACAAAAAATTAGCCTGGGCGTGGTGGCGGGCGCCTGTAGTCCCAGCTACTCAGGCTGAGGCAGGAGAATGGCGCGAACCCGGAAGGCGGAGTTTGCAGTGAGCCGAGATCGCGCCACTGCACTCCAGCCTGGGTGACAGAGTGAGACTCCGTCTCAAAAAAAAAAAAGTGGTAAATCTACGTGTAAATCTAAATTAAAATTGACTATATAAAACTATTGATTATGTCTTGTGGGTTTAAAAAAAGATGAAACTAAAATCCAGGTCAACAGAAAAAAATCAAGGTTCTCCTGATGAGAGATTAAAGGTTCTAAGATTATTATATTGTTTTGGAGGATAAAGAGGGACTTCAGTGGGTTGACTATATGTCAAAGGTCCCTATGGCCTCTCGGTCTCTCACTTTCTCTGAATGTCAGTATTTGTTTCTCTTTCTCCTTTATGAAGACCTCACAGCCAGTCAACTGAACTTTTTTCCTACCAGGGCTCTTGATTCTTTTATCCCCACTTGTGTTGAAACTGACCTACAAAGTCCAGTATCATGCCAGCTGAAAATTGCTGGGAAAATGAGCCTGTTGACAATTTTTATACCCACTTTTCAACCCACTTCTCCACTTCACCTCCAGTCTTAGAGACAGATGTTCCTTTGCTGATTTGGAGAAACGTGCTCTCTCGGGGTCTTTGGTCCCCAATCCCTTCTAATCTATCATCCATATTTCTTCTACATCTCACATTTTTTTCCTTTTGGCTTTTTCCATTGGACTTATAACCATGCTTAAATCTGTCCCTTCTGAAAGACACACACACACACACACACACACACACACACACAGATTTCTTGTCCCCAGATGTCTCTCAGCTCCCATTCTTCTTTACCCCTATGCGTTTCATCTGAACTTCTAGAAAAAGTATACCATCTTGTGAAGACCAAGTCCTCACTTCCCCTTCATGCCTTGTTTTGACTGTTGTTTGGCTTCTACCTTCACCTTACTCTGATACTGATTTTCCCAACATGTCCAGTGATTTAGCTAGTTGATGACCTGACTGGACATCAGGCAGATTTTATCTAATGCTTTATGGCACTTATCTCCCTGGAACTCTTTCCTCCACTGGCTACCAATACTGCCTTTTCTGGAACTCCTAGAATTTCTCTACATCCCACCTTTCTCCCCACTCCACCCATTTCCTTTTTTTTTTTTTTTTTTTTTTGTTTGAGGCGGAGTTTTGCTGTTGTTGCCCAGTCTGGAGTGCAATGGCACAATCTTGGCTCACTACAACCTCCGCCTCCTGGGTTCAAGCGATTCTCCTGCCTCAGCCTCCCGAGTAGCTGGGATTACAGGCGCCAGCCCCAACGCCCAGCTAATTTTTGTATTTTTAGTAGAGATGGGGTTTCACCATGTTAGCCAGGCTGGTCTCGAACTCCTGACCTCAGGCGATCCACCCACCTCGGCCTCCCAAAGTGCTGGGATTACAGGCGTGAGACACCACACCAGGCCCTTTCTTTTTCTAACAGCTTTACTGAGATATAAATCATATACTATAGCGCTCACAGTTTACAGTGTACAATTCAGTAGTTTTTACTGGATGTAGAGAGTTATATAACCATCACTATAATGGAATTCTAGAACATTTTCATCATCCCCAAAAGAAAACTTATGCCCATTAGTAGCCATTCCCTAATCCTACCCTGCCACCTTGCAGTCCTAGGCAACCACTGCTCTACTTTTTCTCTATGTAGTTTGCCTATTCTGGACATTTCACATAAATGGGGTCATGCGGTATATATTTGTATGTGTGTGACTGGCTTCTTTCACTTGTCGTGTCAGAGGCGTGTGACCCAGAGCAACTCCATCTTAAATAGGAGCTAGGTAAAATGAGGCTGAGACCTACTGGGCTACACTCCCAGACAGTTAAGCCGTTCTAAGTCATAGGATGAGATAGGAGGTTGGCAGAAGATAGAGGTCATAAAGACCTTGCTGATAAAACAAGTTGCAGTAAAGAAGCTGGCTAAAACCCACCAAAACCAAGACGGCAACAAGAGTGACTCTGGTCGTCCTCACTGCTATACTCCCAAAAGCGCCATAACAGTTTACAACTGCCATGACATCAGGAAGTTACCCTAAATGGTCTAAAAAGGGGAGACATAAATAATTCACCCCTTGTTTAGCGTATCAAGAAATAACCATTAACATGGGCAACCAGCAGCCCTCTGTTGATGGCATAGCCATTCTTTTATTCCTTTACTTTCTTAATAAACTTGCTTTTGCTTTGCACTGTGGACCTCGCCCTAAATTCTTGCTAGACAGCCAAGAGCCCTCTCTTGGGGTCTGGATAGGGACCACTTTCCTATAACAGTAGTGCTTCTGAGGTTCATACATGTTGTAACCCATATCACCAACGCATTCCTTTGTATTACTGAATAATATGATTATACGGACATATCACATTCTGTCTAGTCACTCATCAGTTGGTGGGCATGTGGGTTGTTTACACTTTTGGCTTTATTGTACTCCAACTTGGGCTCAAGTGACCCACCCGCCTCTCCTCCCAGGGTGCTGGGATTACAGGCGTGAGCCATCGCACCCGGTCTCAAAAATTTTTATTTATAAAACCTGGAGTTGCTATGGGAGAGGGGACCAACTGGATATTTTGGAGAGTGAAGCTCTCCCCATTCACAGAGCTCTAGTGGTTGGCTCGGATTTCTGCACAGACGGAGACACACACGAACACACACACTCGGGGGAATTCATCGGCTCCTGCTCACAGATCCAAAACGCCACCCCAACCAGAACCACCCCTAAGCCCTCAGCCCAGCGCACCAAGGTACCAGGTGCACCAGAAGTGGAGTCTGACTCGTGCAGCTCCGCTGACTGCTGCTGGGCAGGGGGCCCCGCCCAAGCTCTACGTCCTGAGCCTTGGGGAAGGAGCCGAGCCCCTGAGGAATGGGGGTTGGTCGACAGTGAGTCCCAGAGCAACGACGCGCGCCCCTCGACCGCGGCCCCGGGTTGGAGGCACCGACCTCTCTTCTCCGCTCCAGGTCCGCGCTCGGGGCTGGCGGCGGGGGTGCCGGGAGGGAAGCGGCAGGCTAGTTGCAGGGGAGGCGCCTCGCCCAGCACCTGCCGCAGGGGGTCGCGCAGCCAGACTCCGTCCCGGCAGTTGTCGAGTTGCAAGGCGCGAAACCCACCAGGTGCTAAAAGCCAGCAGCCATGTTCTCCCTCCCTGTAAGTCGCCGAGCCACGGGCTGGAAGGGGAGGGCGGGGGCGTGCCTCCCAGCCAATCACAAGCCACGTAGTTGGGCGCGCGCTCTCTCCATGACAACGGCCTGGGGTTCTGAGAGCTCCTCCGGGTTCTGCTAGCTACTCAAGAGTTCGAAGGCAGAAAAGACCGACTCGCAAGTCCCCTGGAAACCGGGAACGCAGGGGCGGGACGAGAGAGACTGGCAGAGGTCTCCACGTGCCCAAGTGGTGCCTCAAAGCCTCTTCAAACCCCGCGCCCCGGTGGGCAAGAAGGCACTCCTGGGCTTGGAGGGCGGAGGATGAGGCATTCAGCGGGACCTAGTCCTAACCCAGCCTGGGAGAGCATCAGGGACCCGTCGTTAACGTCAACTGCCTTTCTTGTTGCCTGCTCTATCTTTCATATCCACGAGGATCCCATTCTCCATGATGTGCTTATTTCACGTTGCATGTCTATCAAAACATCTCATAGACCCCGTAAATATATACACCTACTGTATACCCACAAAAATTAAAAAACAAAAAGAAAAACATCTACAAGGGACCGGGCTTGGTGGCTCACACCTGTAATCCCAACACTTTTTGAGAGGCCGAGGCCAGGGGATCGCTTGAGCCCAGGAGTTTGAGACCAGCCTGGGGAACACAGTGAGACCACCCCCCACCCCCGTCTTTACAACAACAAAACAACAACAAAAACAAAACAAAAACAGAAGCAAACAAAAATTAGCCAGGCGTGGTGGCCCAGCTACTTGTGAGGCTGAGGCAGGAGTATTGCTTGAATCCAGGAGATCGAGGTTGCAGTGAGCTATAGTCGTGCCACAGCATTCCAGCCTGGGTGACAGAGACCCTGTCTCAAAAAAACAAACAAAACAAAACACATTAACATCCCCGTGGATTGGACCTCCAGTTCCTCACTCGACCCGGCGTGGGTCCAGCCTTCTGGATATCCAACTTCCAGTAACTTAAAACGTTCAATAAAGTGCCCCACCCTCTGGTTTCCATGAAAACGGTGAGAAGAGATGGGACTCAACGAATATAGCCAGATCCGCTTCTATTAAGCTGGAGAACCTGCGATTCCCAGAGCAACAGGGAACCGGGATCCCCTGACAAGAAAACAAGGCTGAACCACTAAGTGGGACCTGGGTAGCTTCTGACCCTCTCTGCAGCGTTTGAGGCCGAAATGCGCGCCCACTAGCTTTTGACCTCGCGAAAGCGTGTCCCAGCACCTCGGCTACCTTTCCTCTACTGACACCAGGCGCCTGTTTTGCCTCGACCTTCTGGGGCGTGCATCTCAAAACTGCTGGGCTCGAGCGCCACCTGCCGTCCTCTGCGACGCACTACTGCTGTAAAGCCAACCAAGCAGCAACACCAGCAGGGGACCAGGCGAGGCACTTCACACTATCTCAACTGAATTTAACAACCTGTGAGATAGATATTCTCATCCCCATTTGACACCTGGGGTAACAGGTTCAGAGAATTTAAGAAACTTGCCAAGCCCACTCTGACACCAAGTGTCATCCAGGATCCCAGAAGCCACTGTCCCCAGAGCTGTATACCCTCCCATGTCACAGTTGAGCCTCTGGCGATTTTGTCTTCAAGGGCCCTCCAAGGTCCCTTCTGGCCTGCCTCTGACCCTGAAGGCTCAGCATCTCTCTTCTCCAGAGCTTATCATGCCCCTCTGTGGTTAAGACTGGCTGGCGCTGGTCTGATAACCAACAGTGTGTGTGCAAGCCACCACACTGAAACCTTAACTACATTAGAAAGTTGTTTCCTTATACCCAATAGATTTAGGAACTAATTTTATATTAATGAATATGTACATTTCTATTAATCAATATGTACATTTACCTATTTTGTATGTTGTAATGTGGATCTCCCCCCTCCTGTGTCCAGAATTGGTGGGTTCTTGGTCTTACTGACTTCAAGAATGAAGCTGTGGACCCTCACAGTGAGTGTTGTGTCCGGAGTTTGTTCCTTCTGATGGTCGGATGTGTTCAGAGATTCTTCCTTCTGGTGGTTTCGTTGTCTCGCTGGCTCAGGAATGAAGCTGCAGGTCTTTGCAGTGAACGTTACAGCTCTTAAGGCCGCACGTCTGGAGTTGTTTGTTCTTCCTGGTGGGTTCATAGTCTTCCTGGCCTCAGAACCGAAGCTGCAGACTTCCCTGGAAAGTGTTGCACCTCATAAAGACAGTATGAGCCTGAAAAGTGAGCACTAGCAAGAGTAATTGCAAACAGCAAAAAGAATAAAGCTCCTACAGGAAGAAAGAGAATGCGGCAGAATTACCGCTAGGTTCTCGGGCAGCCTGCTTTTATTCTCTTATCTGGCCCCACCCACATCCTGCTGATTGGTCCATTTTACAGAGAGCCGATTGGTCTGTTTTACAGAGAGCTGATTGGTCCGTTTTGACAGGGTGCTGATTGGTGCATTTACAATCCCTGAGCTAGACACAAAAGTTCTCCAGATTCCCACTAGATTAGCTAGATACAGAGTGTTGATTGGTTTATTTACAAACCCTGAGCTAGACACAGAGAAATGATTGGTGCATTTACAAACCTTGAGCTAGATACAGAGTGCAGATTGGTGCATTCACAATCCCTTGGCTAGACATAAAGATTCTCCCAGTCCCCACCAGGGTAACTAGATACAGAGTGCTGATTGGTGCATTCACAAACCCTGAGCTAGACACAGGGTGCTGATTGGTGTGTTTACAAACCTTAAGCTAGATACAGAGTGCTGGTTGGTGTATTTACAATCCCTTAGCTAGACATAAAGGTTCTCCAAGTCCCCCCAGATTAATTAGACACAGAGTGCCGATTGGTGCATTCACAAACCCTGAGCTAGACACAGGGTGCTGATTGGTGTGTTTACTAAACTGTGAGCTAGATACAGAGTGCTGATTGGTGTATTTACAATCCCTTAGCTAGACATAAAGATTCTGCAAGTCCCCACCAGACTCAGGAGCCCAGCTGGCTTCACCCAGTGGATCCCGCACCGGGGCTGCAGTTGGAGCTGCCTGCCAGTTCCGCGCCGTGGTCCCACGCTCCTCAGCCCTTGAACGGTGGATGGGACTGGGCGCCGTGGAGCCAGGAGCGGCGCTCGTCTTGGAGGCTCGGGCTGCGCAGGAGCCTGGGGCGGGGGGAGGTTCAGGCATGGCGGGCTGCAGGTCCCAAGCCTGCTCGGCGGGGAGGCAGCTAAGGTTGGGCGAGAAACCGAGCACAGCAGCTGCTGGCCCAGGTGCTAAGCCCCTCACTGCCCAGGGCTTGCGGGCTGGCCAGGCGATCCCAGTGCAGGGCCCGCGGAGCCCACACCCACCCGGAACTCGCGCTGGCCCGCAAGCGCTGTGCGCAGCCCCGGTTCCCGCCTGCGCCTCTCCCTCCACACCTCCCCGCAAGCTGAGGGAGCCAGCTCCGGCCTTGGCCAGCCCAGAAAGGGGCTCCCACAGTGCAGCGGTGGGCTGAAGGGCTCCTCAAGCGCGGCCAGAGTGGGTGCCAAGGCCGAGGAGGCGCTGAGAGCCAGCGAGGGTTGCGAGGGCTGCCAGCATGCTGTCACCTCTCACTACCCCAGCCAGCATCCCTTCTCTCATCTCTCAGTAACAGCACCCTCTTCCTTTAGGGGCAGTTCTTCTTCCTCCTCTATGAAGTTCTGGTGACGCGGTTAATCACAGACTCCATGTGACCCAAAGCAGGCCAATCAGATGCTTCCCTCTGATGTTTTATGTAGATGCTCTGTAGAAGGAAGCCTTTCCCCCTAGATTGTCAGCAGGGCTGTGAGGATTGGAAGCCAACACACAGAGAGGAGTCCAGAGTGCAGGTTGAGAAAGAGAGTGGGGAGGAAGAGATGAGGGATGGGAGAGGAGGAGATGGGAGAGGGGGATGGGAGGAGGGAAGGGAGAGGAGGCGGCAGAGAGAGAGAGAGTTCTTTTTGTGCCAGTCCCGAGTTAGCTGGCCCTGTGTGCAGCTCTAGCCCTGCTAGTTTCACAGTTTAATTATATGCACCAATAATTTCTTCCTGTTTTGTCCTATGCCAGTTTAAAATAGGTTCTCTGCCCGGGCGTGGTGGCTCACGTCTGTAATCCCAGCACTTTGGGAGGCCGAGGCGGGTGGATCACCTGAAGTCAGGAGTTAGAGACCAGCCTAGTCGACATGGTGAAACCCCGTCTCTACTAAAAATACAAAAAATTAGCCAGACGTGGTGGTGTGCGCCTGTAATCCCAGCTACTCAGGAGGCTGAGGCAGGGGAATCGCTTTGAGAGGCAGAGGCTGCAGTGAGCCGAGATCGTGCCACTGCACTCCAGCCTGGGCGACAGAGGGAGACTCTGTCTCAAATACAGATAAATAAAGTCAACAAATAAATAAAATGGGTTCTTTGACTGCTGCAACCAGAGTCCCGGATAATATTCCATGACACTAGCCACCCCCGAACTCAAAATATTCAAAACAGAATAAAGCTAGTACAGATTTTGTTACACTTTTGATTTTGAGTTAATGACAGACTCACAAGAAGTGCAAAAGTAGAACGAAGAGGTCCCGTGTACCCATCACCCAGTTTCCCTCGATACTGGCACCTTACATAATTCTAGTGCATTCTCAAAATCGGGAAATTGATATTGGCACAATATATTTATCTAAAGTCCTTACTTGGATTTTTACCTGCTTTGCATATATTTTTTATGTCTTTGTTTATAATTCTGTGGCACCTTGTCATATGTATATATTAATAGAACCATGGTAAATTTAAGATACAAAACTCCTATTACGACAGAGAAACTCCCTTTGGGCTATTCTCTTTTTTTTTTTTTTTTTGAGATGGGGTCTTGCCCTGTTGCCCAGGCTGGAGTGCAATGGCGTTTTCTCAGCTCACTGCAACCTCCGCCTCCCGCGTTCAAGCGATTCCCCTGCCTCAGCCTCCCAAATAGCTGGGACTATAGGTGCACGCCACCACGACCGGCTAATTTTTTGTATTTTAGTAGAGACGGGGTTTTACCATGTTGGCCAAAATGGTCTCGATCTCCTGACCTTGTGATCCGGCCACCTCGGCCTCCCAAAGTGCTGGGATTACAGGCGTGAGCCACTGCGCCCGGCCTGGGCTACTCTCTTATGGTGATACCCTTTCTAGCTCCTTCTCTAATCCATGACATCTTTATTCTCCATCTCTATACTTTTAAAATCTCTATTACTTTTAAATGTTATATAAATGAAATCATGCAGTATATGAGCATTTAAGATTGTATTTACTTTTTACTCAGAATAACACCCTTGAAGTCCATCCAAGTCATCATGCATATTAATAATTGATTCCCTTTTATTGCTGAAGACTATGCTATTGTATGGAAAACTTTACCACAGTTTGTCATTAGTTCAGTCTAATTAAAGTTTCTTATTCAGATATATGTTGGGGAGGGCAGATAACAAAAAAAAACCGGGCACTCAGTTCCCCAGACCCACACAGCTGTGAGCATCTGGCGCCTTGTCACAGACACCCTGTGGTGACGTCTGATAGGTCTGATCTTAGGTTACTGACACCTCCATAAGCCCCAGAAAATGACTTTCAGTTCAACAAAAGTTCACTGAGCACCTAGTAGCCCCAGCTGTCTGAGTTCCTCTGGTGTTCTGCCACCCTGGGTCATTCTGAAGGGCTCTACAAACCCTTTATTTTTTATATATTTTCATGTATATCGAAATGGGGTCTCGTTATGTTGCCCAGGCTGGTCTTGAACTCCTGGGCTCAAGTGATCCTCCTGCCTCTGCCTCCCAAAGTGCTGGGATTATAGGCATCAGCCACTGCACCCAACCTTCCACACACTCTTGATTCATCTCAACTGCGGTGACTCAGGCCAGAGCCAAGTGGTGTCACCTCAAGGCAATGTAGTCCCTGTGGGTAACAAGGGTCAGCAGTCAGGAGACCTCACACTGGGCTCCAGTTCAGCCACCTGACTTTCCCAGAGAGGCCCTGCTCAGGCCAGTCACTTGTCCCTTCGTCAATTGATGGATGGGCCCCAGGAGTACCCGAGCGAGAGGTGAAGCCAGCTGGACTTCCTGGGTCGAGTGGGGACTTGGAGAACTTTTCTGTCTTACAAGAGGATTGTAAAACGCACCAATCAGCACTCTGTAGCTAGCAAGGGGATTGTAAAATGCACCAATCAGCGCTCTGTAAAACACACCAATCAGCAGGATCCTAAAAGTAGCCAATCACAGGGAGGATTGAGAAAAGGGCACTCTGATAGGACAAAAACGGAACATGGGAGAAGACAAATAAGGGAATAAAAGCTGGCCACCCCCTTCAGCCAGCAGCGGTGGTCCCCTTCAACACCATGGAAGCTTTGTCATTTTGCTCTTAACAATAAACCTTGCTACTGCTCACTCTTTGAGTCCATGCCATCTTTAAGAGCTGTAACACTCACTGCGAAGGTCTGAGGCTCCATTCTTAAAGTCAGCGAGACCACGAACCCACCAGCGGGAACCAACTCCGGCCACCCTAGCATCCCATGTTTGCCCTCACCTGGTCTCTTTTATCACAGGCTTTCCTCATGGGCTTGAAGTCATGAATGTCCACCCAGGCAAGGCTTTCCCCAGATACCTCTGTGCCCCCGAGACGAGGATATTCAATGACCCTGGGATGTGGCTGGTTGTGGGGAGGGGACTGATCCCACGCAGCCATTCAAGACACAGATGGCATCTGAGGGTTTTTGCAGCCAAGCAGAGGACTGTGTTTAGAAACAAAAAAGTGGACAAGGCCGGGCATGGTGGCTCTTGTCTGTAATCCCAGCACTTTGAGAAGCCGAGGCAGGCAGATCGCTTGAGGCCAGGAGTTCGAGACAAGCCTGGCCAACATGGCAAAACCCCAACTCTACTAAAAATATTTTAAAAATAGCCTGGCCCGGTGGCTGTTCGAAATCATGCCACTGCACTCCAGGCCTGGGCAACAGAGCAAGACTCCATCTTAAAAAAAAAAAAAAGAAAGAAAGTGGACAAAATGAGCCAAGGACAGGATAGAGAAGGAGGGCAGAGAAAGAGTGAGGGACTAGAAATTAAACAAATTTGGGCCAGGTGCAGTGGCTCATGCCTGTAATCCCAGCACTTTGGGAGGCTGAGGCGGGCAGATTGCTTGAGCCCAGGAGTTTGAGACCAGCCTGGCCAACATGGCGAAACCCTATCTCTACTAAAACTACAAAAATTAACCGGGCCTCGTGGTATGCACCTGTAGTCCCAGTTACTTGGGAGGCTGAGGCACAAGAATCACTTGGACCCGGGAGGCAGAGGTTGCAGTGAGCCGAGATCGCACCAGTGCACTCCAGCCTGGGCCACAGAGTGAGAACTTGTCTCCAAAAAAAATAAAAAATAAAAAATTAAACAAGATTGTTCTCATGCTATATTTATTGAATTATGTTTGTATCTGAATTTATTTATTTATTTGAGACGGAGTCTTGCTCTGTCGCCAGGCTGGAGTGCAGTGGTGCAATCTGAGCTCACTGCCACCTCCGCCTCCCAGGTTCAATTGATTCCTCTGTCTCAGCCTCCCGAGTAGCTGGCATTACAGGTGCCCACCACCACACCTGGCTAATTTTTGTATTTTTAGTAGAGGTGGGGTTTCACCATGTCGGCCAGGTTGGTCTCAAACTCCTGAACTCAAGTGATCCACCCACCTTGGCCTCCCAAAGCGCTGGGATTACAGGCATGAGCCATGGCACTTGGCCTTGTATCTGAATTTTTAAATAAACTTGCAAATTAATTAACTTGCAAATATTATAGCCGAGATAGTTTTTGTTCATGGCTGATGTCCTCCAACATTACAACCAGATACATGGATCCAAGAACCTGGTCTAGATTGTCCTGAGGCTGGGCCTGCCAGGGGCCCAGTTACAGAGATATTTGACAGCCAAGCAGGTTCTGTCTGTAAGAGGAACTTACCCACTTATGTGCCCACGAACTGTGTGCTGAGTTAACTGAGCTAAGCTTATGACATAAAGGCTTTATTTATTTATTTATTTATTTATTTATTTATTTATTTTGAGATGAAGTTTCACTCTTTCACCCAGGTTGGAGTGCAGTGGCGCAATCTCGGCTCACTGCAACCTCTGCCTTCTGGTTTCAAGTGATTTTCCTGCCTCAGCCTCCCGAGTAGCTGGGATTACAGGTGCCCACCACCACGCCCAGCTAATTTTTGTATTTTTAGTAGAGATGGGGGTTTCACCATGTTGGCCAGGCTGATCTCAAACTCCTGACCTCATGATCCACCCGCCTCGGCCTCCCAAAGTGTAGGACCACAGAGGCTTTGCTTTATTATAAAGAGTAATGGTTTTTGAGAAGAGCTAAGACAGCTCCTTCATTGTATAGATGAAACTAAAGCCCAGAGAAAGACACTAGTTGGAGGAGGAAGAATGTGGTATAGGAAGGAAAAGATGCCTGTCATCTGCTGGAGGGATTCTTAAGTTACATTGTAGCATTATGTCTTCTTAAATTCACCAGGTAAAAGCTTATGCTTAAAACTATTTAAATTCAAAAGTGGTAATTTAAAAAATAGAATGCTGAGTGAAGTGGCTCGAACCTTTAATCCCAGCACTTTGGGAAGCTGAGTCCGGAGGATCACATGAAGTCAGGAGTTCGAGACCAGCCTGGGCAACAAAGCAAGAGCCTGTCTCTACAAAAAATACAAAAATTAGCTGGGCATGGTAGCATGAGCCTGTGGTCTCAGCTACAGGAGGAAGGCTAAGGTGAAAGGACGGCTTGAGCCCAGTAGTTCGAGGTTTGAGGCTGCAGTGAGCTATGATTGCACCACAGCACTCTAGCCTGGGCGACAGAGTGAGACCCTGTCTCAAAATAATAATAATAATAATAATGATGATGATGATAATAAAGTGAACACATTGCTTGACTGGGCTTTGCTCATTTGCTTTGCTTTCTTCCATTCTGTTCCACTTTCTCTTCGCTCTGTTTCCAGGTCTGCTGTTGTGTGATCTCCAAGTGACTTTCCCTCTCTGGGTTGCTATTTCATCTGTACAATGCAGGAGCTGTTTTGGCTGATCCAAAACACCATTTTAATTTTTCCTACCACAACTGCTAAGTCCAGTTCAACCAGTGAAGGTGTGACCTGAGCAGAGGTGAGAAAACACGAAGGTGAAAGTAAGCTGGGTCCTTCATCTCTGCCTGGACCTTGGCCTGGGCTCACGGCCTGCCTGGGGCTGATGGCCACAGACCCCCGCCCCCACCCCAGCGTCTGATACGCCGCGCCTGGGGCGATCTTGGTACCTCCCCGCCACCGCGTGGGGACAACACATTCGCAGCTCCGCGGTTACCAAGGCGACCCAGCTGGTGTATCCTCGGTAGCCCCCTAGCGGACACTTATGGAACCTGCAGTTCTTTCCTTTACCTCGGGCGGCGTATTTCACCTGCAGCCCTGTCCAGAGAGGGGGCGGCTCTCTTACCTGGCCTCTGTATTGCTTCTCTCTACCCTGAGCCTGGCCACCCGCCCCACCTCTCCAGACATTTCGGTTTCTCCTCCAGGGACCAGGCTTCTCTGGCTTTGTCACCCAGGCACAACAGCTCTAATTACCCATCCCTTCCAGCCAGGGTCCTGGGGACTTCAGAAGGGCTGTCACCCACGGCACTTCCAAAGTCCCTCTCGAGAGTGTAAAAGTCTGGCCGGGCGCGGTGGCTCACGCCTGTAATCCCAGCACTTTGGGAGGCCGAGGTGGGTGGATTATCCAGCCTGGCCACCATGGTGAAACCCCGTCTCTACTAAAAATACAAAAATTAGCCGGGCGTAGTGGTGGGCGCTGTAATACCAGTTATTTGGGAGGCTGAGGTGGGTGGATTATCCAGCCTGGCCAACATGATGAAACCCCGTCTCTACTAAAAATGCAAAAATTAGCCAGGCGTAGTGGTGGGCGCTGTAATACCAGTTACTTGGAAGGCTGAGGCAGGAGAATCGCTTGAACCTGGGAGGCGGAGGCTGCAGTGAGCCGAGATCATGCCACTGCACTCCAACCTGGGCGACAGAAAGACTCTGTCTCAAAACAAAAAAAAACAAAGAAGAGAGAGTGCAATTTATTATTATTTTTTTCTGAGACAGAGTCTCGCTCTGTCGCCCAGGCTGGAGTGCAGTGGCACTATCTTGGCTCACTGCAACTTCCGCCTCCCGGGTTCAAGTGATTCTCCTGCCTCAGCCTCCAGAGTAGCTGGGCTACAGGGGTGCACCACCAGGCCTGGCTAATTTTTGTATTTTTAGTAGAGCTGGAGTTTCACCATATTGGCCAGGCTGATCTTGAACTCCTGACCTCAAGTGATCCACCTGCCTCGGCCTCCCAAAGTGCTGGGATTACAGGCGTGAGCCACTGTGCCTGGCAATGAGTGTAAAAATCTTATGTGATGTGGAGTAAAATACCCTTCCCTCGGCCAACCCCCTGTCCACACCCCACCCCCAGCAACCCTTGACTCAGACTCTGGCTTTGGGATCCACTTTTCCTTACAGGCCTCGTGCATCTGTGTGATGGAATCCCATAGGCAGCACAGCCCGGCCGGAATCCAGGGAGCCACTAGTGCATGGGGTGGGGCAGCATCACCAGAACTGGGCATACAGCCTCTGTTGGGAGACAGGCAAGCATACAGACAAGCCAACCCAATACAGGACTGGAGGTGGGCAGTCACAAGGTTGGTGGCGCAGTGTGCTGGGAGCACCACATGGAAGGGGGAGGACCACAGCCTGAGCTGGGCAGAAAGGCTTCCTGGAGGAAGTGATGCTTGAGCCTTGAAGGATGAGTAGGCGCTGGCCTGGGGTAGAGATCTCAGTGATGGCTTGAGGGGTGGGGGAGGACTTCTCTTCAGAGTCTACCTTCCTGAGTGTCACTCCTCATCAGGGCCCCTCCTTGCCCTTTTCCTCTTCTCACCCTGTCCCCATTCCCTGGGCAACCTTCCCCAGCCCAGCAAATGTAACCAGCATCTCCTTGTTACACGTGATCCTTTTCTCCTCGTCACAGGCAGTCCCTGGATGTGCCCTGGACTTGCTTGCCTTCCTGGTGAGTTTATTCATCCTTCAAGACCCAGCTAGAAGGCTGAGCACAGTGGCTTATGCCTGTAATCCCAGCACTTTGGGAGGCTGAGGCGGGTGGATCACTTGAGGTCAGGAGTTTGAGACCAACCTGGCCAACATGGTGAAACCCCGTCTCTACCAAAAATACAAAAATTAGCCAGGTGTGGTGGCGGGTGCTCATAATCCCAGCTACTCGGGAGGCAGAGGCAGGAGAATTGCTTGAACCCAGGAGCCAAGGTTGCAGTGAGCAAGATTGCGCCATAGCACTCCAGCCTGGGCGACACAGCGAGGCTCCGTCTCAAAAAGAAAAAGACCCAGCTAGATGTTCACTCTTTCTGGCACCTTCCCAAAACCACCCTTTCAATCCTGTATTTATTCCACAAACTTCTACTGAACACCAGGTATTAGGCCCAGGATGTGGCCCTACATTGCAACTTTTTTTTTTTTTTTTTTGAGACAGGGCCTCACTCTGTCACTCAGGCTGTGGTGCAGTGGTGAAATCATAACTCACTGCAGCCTTGAATTCCTGGGCTCAACCAATCCTCCTGCCTCAGCCTCCCACGTAGCTAGGACAACAGGCGTGTCCCACTATGCCCGGTTAATTTTTGTATTTTTTATAGAGATGGGATCTTGCTTGTTGCCCAGGCTGGTCTTTAACTGGCCTCATGTCATCCTGTCACACTGGCCTCCCAAAGTGTTGGGATTACAGATATAAGACACCGCACCTGGCCCCTACATTGCAACTTTCTGTTCATCTGTCGGTCTTCCTAGCTGGCCAGGATTTCCTGTGAGCCGGGGGGAAGCTGAGTTGTATATTTTATTAATCCTCAGCCTTTAATATTCATGCCCTGAATGAATGGGTTAATGAATGAATTAATATAAGTACAGCTTCTTGCAAAAAACAAATAAGAAACACCTCAGTTCACAGGGCTGGCACTCTCTGATTTCCAGTTCTGTCCCCTGCCACTCTCTCAAAGGTATTTGGTCATATGTTATTAAATTAAAGTGAATTAAAATTTGCTTGAAATAACTACAGACTCCCCCGCTCTCCTGGGCCTGCAATGACCAGATTACATCTCCTCCAGGCACAGAAGTTTGACATTTCATTGCAAAGTCATTTTCTTCTCATTTCCTTATGTTGCTAAAATATTCTATTTCTCTTCACTTCCCCTTTGTGTCCCCATTACTCACGTTTAGTTAAATTTATCTGCTGCCATTTAATCATCTGAGATAAGCTTGCTGGTGTGGCTGTTCTTAGGGCACTGCCTCGCCTTCCCAGACCGTCTGTCTCCTCCCAGGCCACTCGGAGAATGGGATCCAGACCCCTCCCCCTGGGGACAGAGTGTCTGGGTTACCTTCAGACCCTGGGTTTCTCCCCAAGGCAACTGACTTCAGGGTCCTCCCTGCCCCCAACCCACCCACCGCCTTCCTCCCCAGCCTCCTCCTCTTCTGTTTTCTGGGGTATGGTTTTCATTCCGCCTCCTGACCTGGCACTTCTGTGGCCCCTTTGGTCACACTGAGCAAGTGGCCTCATAATTCTTCTCTCAGTGGGATCAATGAGTAAATCCTTAAAGGGACAAAATATCTAGCAGAGTAGCCAATGTGGGAATTGTTCAGTGCCTGCTTGGGACACTGCCAGACCCACCACATTCCCAGAGCTGGCTGGGGTACCCTTCTCCTCTCTGGCCTACCCATTCTCACAATGTAACCAGGGGAACATTATTCTCCCTGGAGGTAGTTGGTGGAGATCAGAAAGGCACATTTTGCTGGGCGCCGTGGCTCACGCCTGTAATCCCAGCACTTTGGGAGGCTGAGGCAGGCAGATCACATGAGGTCAGGTGTTCGAGACCAGCCTGGCCAACATGGTGAAACCCCATCTCTACTAAAAATACAAAAATTAGCCAGGCATTGTGGCCGGCGCCTGTAACCCCAGCTACCTAGGAGGCCGAGGCAGGAGAATTGCTTGAACCCAGAGGCAGAGGCTGCAGTGAGCCAAGATCGCGCCACTACACTCCAGCCTGGGCAACAGAGCAAGACTCTGTCTCAAAAAAAAAAAAAAAAAGCCTCCTGGGAAGAACAAAAAGACATTGGCAGAAAGAAACTGAAGGTTACTCCTGGGCCAAGGGGCAAAGAAGGGGTTGTCAGGGGACTTAGCCTAAATTTCAATGAGGGACAAAGGGAAAAGAAACTCCATAGGGTCAGTGTAAAGGACAAAGGGAGACAAATAGAAATTGTTTTATAGTTATATTTTATGAGTCACGTTTGTAGGACTATACATATATTATTTATATGTCATTTAATTTCTTTCTTTAAATAAATGTGCTTTATTTAATTAATTTATTTTTTGAGACAGGGCCTCACTCTGTTGCCCAGGCTGAGTGAAGTGGCACAATCACAGCTCACTGCAACCTCAACCTCCTAGGCTCAAGAGATCTTCCCACCTCAGCCTCCTGAGAAGCTGGGACTACAGGCGGGTGCCACTATGCCCAGCTAATTCGTTTTCTTTCTTTCTTTTTTTTAAGAGATAGGGGTGTCCCTGTGTCACCCAGGCTGGAGTGCAGTGGTGCAATCATAGCTCACTGTAGCCACAAACTCCTGGGCTCAAATGATCCTCCTGCCTTGGCCTCTTGAGTAGATGGGACTATGAGTGTGCAACACCACACCTGGCTAATTTTTTAAAAGGTTTTTTGTAGAGATGGGATCTCACTGTGTTGCCCAGGCTGGTCTTGAACAACTGGTCTCATGTGATCCTCTCACCTCTGCCTCTCAAAGCGTAGGGATTACAGGTGTGAGCCACTTTGCCTGGCCTAAAATGTACTTTATTCTTGTGTCAATTCAAAACGTATGCATCTTTCTAGAACAAGATCCTATCTCCGGTCTACATTCATCGATATTTTCTATGATCTACAATTGCATCTAGGTCAAACAATCTATTATCTTTATTATTTCCCAGTTTATGCTCTTAAACTCTTATTTCGTTTAATTTTCACAACAACCCTGAGAGAGAAGAGCTCTTGTTCTTTGTGTTCTATGTCTCAGGACCAGAAATTAAGAAAGGGGTCCAAGGAGTAAGGGACAAGAGCCAAGGTTGATTGGAAAAGTCAGGCCTGGCATTTGGGGATGTAGGCAGTGGTGGTGCCAACAGGTGGTGTCAAGGGGCTTTAGGAGCGGGTGTCAGCAGCTGCCATGGGCTGAACGTTTATGTCCCTCCACAATTCACCAATGTGATTGTATTAGGAGGTGGGAGTCTTCGGGAGGTAATTAGGTCATAGGGTTGGAGCGTGCTCATGCTGGGGATTAGCGCCCTTATAAAACAGGTTCCAGAGAGCTAGCTCACCCCTTCCACCACATGAGGACACAAGGAGAAGGCGCCATCTGTGAACTGGAAAGCAGACCCTCACTAGACGCCGACTCTGCTGATACCATGATTGTGGACTTCCCAGCCTCCAGAACTGTGAGAAGTCAATTTTTGTTGCATATAAGCTGCCCAGTTTGTGGTTATTTTGTTATAGCAACCAAAACAGACTAAGACAGCAGCCCTCCCTCAGATCTCAGTCACACCTCTATTCTTAATTATAGGCAGTTGCTTAGATGCCCTCTGAGGAGGTTCTGGGTGGGGCCTTTTGATAGATGCCTCTAGGACAGTGGCACCGTGGCAACCGGGACTTCCACAAGGGTGCATGAGGCTCTCTGTCTTTCTCTGTGTGTGTGTGTGTGTGTGTGGTTTTTTGTTTTTTGTTTTTTTTGTTTTTGTTGTTGTTTGTTTGTTTTGTTTTGTTTTTTTGAGGGGGGTCTCGCTCTGTTACCCAGAGGCTGAAGTTGCAGTGGCGCGATCTCACCTCACTGCAACTTCCGCATCCCGGATTCAAGCGATTTTCCTGCCTCAGCCTCCTGAGTAGCTGGGAGTATAGTCACACGCCACTATGCCAGGCTAATCTTTGTACTTTTAGTAGAGACAGGGTTTCGCCATGTTGGCCAGGCTGGTCTCAAACTCCCGACCTCAGGTGATCTACTCACCTTGGTCTCCCAAAGTGCTGGGATTACAGGTGTGTGTGTGTGCCACCACACCCGGCCTTCACTCTCTCTTTCTGAGAAGATTTCTCACTATGTTGCCCAGGCTGGCCTTGAACTCTCGGGCTCAAGTTATTCTCCTGCTTTGGCCTCCTAGGTTAGCTGAGACTACAGGCATACACCACACCCAGCTACTCTGTCTCTTGAAGACCCCCTCGAACACTGGGTCAAGTGTCATGACCAGAACTGATAAACCCAGAGCCTTGTTTGAGTGAGCTCGAGTTTTGCAAGGAGCAAGAACCAAGAATCTGTCTGCAGGGAAGAGGGTACCCAGGGCCAGGAGACAGGTGAGCACTTCCAGGCCCGGTGCCAGGGGGGTGCTACCTGCAACCAGACAGTTCCCAGGAGGCCTGGCAAGGCTCTTACTTCTGGCTCCCTCCCAGAGATTCCTCTGGGTCTCTGCAGGGACACCATTCCCTTTGTAAACTTGGCTGTGGGTGGTTCTGGTTTCACATCAACACATCCCTAAGCAAGATAGAAATTCTAAAAACCTAGATTTCTTGAAAAATTTAAAATTTCTTGTATGAACTGGATTCTTCCTTTCTTAATGCCACTTACTTATGGGTACTGTATCTTCAAGAATGCAACAGGCCCCCAAGAAGACCATAGGTCCTGGCTTGTATCCCCAGCCTCCTTTCTGCCATTTCGTTCCCTTGGAATAGATGGATGAAAATGGGCAGGCCGGCCTGCGAGCACCCACCTAGTGCAGACACATGGCTGTCATTTGCAGTAGGGATGGACTGAAGTCTCACGGGTTTTTCGGAGCCCAGCCACATGTACCTGGAGGTCAGAAGAAACATCTGCCAGAGGCTTAGATGCAGCTGACATTGGCCTATTTCTTTTTTTCTTTTCCTTTTTTTTTTTTTTTTTTTTTTTGAGGCAGAGTCTTGCTTTGTCACCCAGACAGGAGTGCAGTGGCGCAATCTCGGCTCACTGCAACCTCCACCTCCCGGGTTCAATTGATTCTCCTGCCTCAGCCTCCCAAGTAGCTGGGATTATGGACATGCGCCATCATGCCTGGCTAACTTTTGTATTTTTAGTAGAGATGGGGTTTCGCCATGTTGGCTAGGCTGGTCTCAAACTCCTGACCTCAACTGATCCACCTGCCTCAGCCTCCCAAAGTGCTAGGATTACAGGCATGAGCCACCGAGCCCAGCTGACATTGGACTACTTCTGAAGGAAGAGTCTTGCATTTTGCCCTTTAACAAGACTTCACAGGTGATTTAATGTGACTCCAGTAGAGGCCACATCTGGGGTGTCCAATGGGTGTTATTTTTTGAAGCTCCTCTTTCATTTTTTCCAGTGAACGAGTTTCAGCAGGTGTTGAGAAGTCTGAGGCAGCAATGGGTGAGCTGCCATGAGACAGTGTATGTCTGGTGTCTAATTTGATTGACTTGTTTTCGTGTCCATGAGAACTTGGAGCCAGGAATAAAAAGCACAAGCGGCAGAGATGACAGCTCCTTGCCACATGTCCCACCTCTCTCCACTCCAAGGGTTCACTCTATAGCCACAGAGAGATGGGAAAGAAATGTGTCAAAGAATTCATGTCAGACACACATGGAGTGGGAGATTGTTTTTGATTACTTGTTTGTTTGTTTGTTTGTTTGTTTGTTTTTTGTGAGACAGAGTCTTGCTCTGTCTTCCAGGCTGAAGTGCAGTGGTGCAATCTCAGCTCACCACAAGCTCTGCCTCCTGGGTTCAAGAGATTCTCCAGCCTCAGCCTCCCTCGTAGCTGAGATTACAGGTGTGCACCACCACGCCTGACTAATTTTTGTGCTTTTAGTAGAGACATGGTTCCACCTTGAGGGCCAGGCTTGTCTCGAACTCCTGACCTCAGGTGATCCACCCGCCTCAGCCTCCCAAGGTGCTGGGATTACAGACGCCCGGCCTGTTGTTGATTATTTCTGAAAAGCCTCAGAAAAACCTCTTCCCCAAACTAGCCACCATAAGGCAAGATGGTGATTTATTAAGCATGAGTTGGACTGGCTTAGCTCTCCTGGTTGGCTAAAATTGGCCAGAAAAATAAAGTAATTTGTGGTTGTCAGATTCTAAATTAAATGATTCAAATACTACTGTGGCTGATTAAAAGGCTTTATTCAATTTCCTCCTGACCACATGCTCTCCTGTGAGACCAGGAGATACTGTTTCTAGAAGAAATGCACTATTTGGAGCCTGTTGATCTAATCTAATGGATGGTGGTTATTAAATATGGTCTCCCTACTTTTTTCTAAATGAAAGGTGAGACTAAAGAAGGAGGAAGAAATGACTCCCTGTTTGTTTAACTATGAATGATTCTCTCTTGCCAGGTTTCTGGGTAGCAGCCTCTACAGTGAACCAGGGTGGATACCTAAGACATTTTTAAGTACCCTTAAAAGACCTCTAGGCAACCATAACAAAGGTCAACAAATGAAACTCAAGCATGAATAAACAGGAAGAAGAGTCTAGGATTGTAGCCGACCATCTAATGGTGCAGTGCATCACCCACGGTACCCGCTGAAGGGACAGTCTTGTGCCGGCCATCTCAGTGCCCTCCCTTCTTGGCCTTGCTGATTAGACCCCAAGGGAACCAGGACACAAGGCGGCCAATCCAGAGATGTATCATGTGCCCTGGCGGAAGACAGATGAGCTGGCTTAGGAACATGAATGAGGAACTCCAGCAATGAGGAGGTTAGCAGCTGATGCAGGCATTGAAAGGGGGAGAGAAAGAGGTCAGAGAGAGACCACGTGACTCTGGGAGAGCGCTGGAGTAACCAGCTGGCCCCTAGAGTGGGCCTTACTCTGGTCCAGGCTCTGTCTGGACCAGTTTGTTGCACTCATCTTGAAAGCAAGCTCAGCCCTTCTTCTTTTTAAAAAAAATTTTATTTCTTTACTTTTTTTTGAGACAGGGTCTTGCTCTGTCACTCAGGCTGGAGTGCAGTGGCACTAGCAAAGCTCGCTGCAGCCTCAACTTCCTGGGTTCAAGGGATCCTCCCACCTCAGCCTCCCAAGTAGCTGGGACCACAGGCAAGTACCACCATGCTCATCTGATTTTTATTTGCTTATTTTAAAATTTATTTTATTTTTTTCTGAAATAGGGTTTCACTCTGTCACCCAGGCTGGAGTGCAGTGGCACCATCTCCACTCACTGCAACCTCTGCCTCCCAGGCTCAAGCGATTCTCCTGCCTGCCAGGTGAGTAGCTGGGACTTCAGCCGCGCATGACCAGGCCTGGCTAATGTCTGTATTTGTAGTAGAGATGAAGTTTTGCCAAGTTGGCCAGGCTGATCTCAAGCTCCTGGTCTCAAGTGATCCTCCCACTTCGGCCTCCCAAAGTGCTGGGATTACAGGTGTGAGCCACTGCTCCCAGCCTGCAGCCCTTCTTAAGGTGGCCTAAGCAGGACTCAAAGGAGCCCAGCTGACCCCAGGAATCAACAGAAGATTTTCAGCAGGAACCACAGAGCAGTTCACCACCATATAAAACACAGCGGCTTTTGGAGAGTGAGTTGTGTAATCTACAAGGGATATCATGAGGCCAGACCACGGGGCAGGAAATGGCCCTTTGACCAAAGCAAGGAGGAGGATGGCAGTCTCTGGGGAAGAATGGGGCTCACCTCCCTGCGGCCACCTCCCACTAACCTCACCTCTATGCTTCTGTCTCTGGAGGAAAGGATGCCACAGCCTGGCCCTCCTACCCCAGGCCAACAGACAAGGGGGCTCACAGAAGCGAAGCTTGCTTTGAACTCCAAGTACCTCCAAGGTCTGGTAAGACAGCATGACCTTGGACCTTGGAAGGGAGCACAGATGGAAACACACCCAGGCCCTGGCTTGGCCCATCGATAGGTGCAGGATCCCTCATCTGGGATTCCCTTGGTTTATTGAATGAATTTGTTTCCATTTACACTTTGGTTTTAGCCAGTGTATATTTTTCATTATGTTAAGAATTGGTCTCATGTAGTGAATAAGGCCATAGGCCTTGGTGCCAGGCTGTTGGGTGAGTTTCTGGCCCTGCTACTTACTGTGTGGCCGTGACCTAGTCACTTAGCCTCTCAGTGCCTCAGTTTACGCATCTGTAGAATGGGAACAATCTGCCTCTCCCTAGTGTCATTGTTTGTGAGATTAAAGGATCTGTCTGTCCTGTGCCACGGCTTGCAACAGATTCTGCCCATGTCAATATCAGCTTGATGGTTTATTGGACATTTGTGTTTCTTTTCTCTTCTTTTTCTTTTCTTTTCTTTCTTTTATTTTTATTTTTATTTTTATTTTTTCTTGAGACAGAGTTTTGCTATTGTCACCCAGGCTGGAGTGCAATGGCCTGATCTTAGCTCACTGCAACCTCAACCTCCGCCTCCTGGGTTCAAGTGATTCTCCTGCCTCAGCCTCCTGAGTAGCTGGGATTACAGGCGCCCGCCACCACATCCAGCTAATTTGTGTATTTTTAGTAGAGACGGGGTTTCACCATGTTGGCCAGGCTGGTCTCAAACTCCTGACCTTGTGATCTGCCCACCTCAGCTTCCCATAGTGCTGGGATTACAAGCGTGAGCCACCGCGCCCGGCCCTTGTGTTTCATTTCAAATGCTTCTGTCCCGGCCCTTTGACCGTTTTTTTATGGGGGATGTTTTTCCGGTTGACAAGTAGGAGTTCTTAACCGCCAGCGCCCTCCTCCGTCTGCGCTGCGCAGCTGAGGCCCGTACAACCTGCAGGGGGCGCCCGGGGCTCGCGCTGCCTCGACGCGGTGGCCCGTGGGTGTCCGGGCCGGAGAACTCCAGATCCGAGTGCGTCCTCTTGGTCCACGAGCCTCCTCCCTCTCCCTTACCCAAGGACAGTGAGCTGGAGCGCGGGCGGCTGGACGCGTAGCGCAGCCTTCGCAACGGGTCTTTTTTCGTCCCACTTTTTATGGGACCTTGGGCTTCCAAACCGACGTTGGATGGTTTGTCAGCGGATACTTTCACCGCCCACAGCAAACTTGCAGAGCCAAGCGGGCTGTTCTCCGGAGGCTCTCGGAGGACGCCCCCTGCCAGCTGCCGGCATCTGGGGGAGAGGGACAGCATTTGGGGTGGGAAATGAAGTTCTGGTTTTGCACATTTACTGGCCTACACTGGCGTCTCACTGTGACCTAGAAACTGGAGATGGAGGCTAGGGGTGGGAGTTGAGGAGCCAGAGGCTGTGGGGCGGGGGTTCCCACTGGGATCGGTTGGTGGGGTCACCAAGCAACAGCTCCCCATCAGGCAGAGGCCTTAGACGGCAGCATCATGGGCGACGGATGGAGACCATGGGATTCAGGGGCCTGAGAGGGAGGCAATGGGATGGCCACAGAATGCAGCCAGAAATGAAGGGACAAAGAAATCCCTGGGGCTGCAGACCAGTGGCCTCTGTGGTGGCCAAGGGTGAGGGAGACACAGGGCGCTAGGTATGGCAGAGGTGCCACCCTAAAGGCCAAGACTGTACAGGGCTGGACCTGGCAGCACCCGGAGAGGGACCAAGGAAGTTTGTGATCTGGACGATGACATAGGTCGTTCTTACCCATCACAGTTACCCAAGATGAAGGGAGGTCCCTGAGCTGAGAAAAGGGCTGGGCGCCTGCCTGTAATCCCAGTGCTTTGGGGGGCCGAGGTGGGAGGCCAGGAGTTCAAGCCTGCAGTGAGCCATGATCATGCCACTGTACTCCAGCCTGAGTCACAGAGTGAGACTCTGTCTCTAAAAAAAAAAAAAAGAAGAAGAAGAAGAAGAAAAAAAAAACAGACTGGGCGTGGTGGCTCCAGCCTGTAATCCCAACCCTTTGGGAGGCCAAGGCTGGCAGATGGCTTGAGCCCAGGAGTTCAAAACCAGCCTGGGCAACATAGTGAGACTCTGTCTCTACAAAAAATGCAAAAATGAGCCGGGCGCAGTGGTGTGCACCTGTGGGCCCAGCTACTTGAGAAGCTGAGGCGGGAGGATGTTTTGAGCCTGGGAGGCTGAGGTTGCAGTGAGCCAAGATCGCCCATTGCACTCCAGCCTGGGAAAAACTGGGGAGAGAAAAAGTGAGCCAAGCCCCAGAGCAAGGGCTGGGAAGGGAGAACAGCAAGCAGGAGCCTCAAAAACTGGGGCGGTGGGGACGGGGGGTGTGAAGGGGGTGGGATTGTTCAAAGGCACAGGAGCAGTGGTTTCCAGGGATACTGGGGGGTCTGGAGAAGGGACAGCAACTCCCAGGAGATGTGGGGAAGCTGTGGCCAGCAGGGGACAGCTGCAAAGCAGGAGATGGAAGGCTGAGGATGTGTCTGTAACAGATGGCCCCTGCTTTCCAGGGCGTGGAGGACAGCACTTGGGGAGTGGGTGAGAAGACAGGAGACTTCAGTGGGTGGGAGGACAAGATGGGGTGACCAAGAGTGTGAGGGTGGAAGTCTGGACAGGACCCTGGGCTCATCACATGGGCCTCCGGGCAGAACCAGGGCAGCAGAGCCTCCACTCACAGCCTGGACACCAGCCTCTCCTTGGAAGAACCCATCTCCTATTAAGAACCCTGTGGCACAGTGGATCATGCCTGTAATCCCAGCACTTTGGGAGGCCGAGGTGGGCGGATCACCTGAGGTCAGGAGTTGGAGACCAGCCTGGCTAACACGGCAAAACCCCATCTCTACTAAAAATGCAAAAATTAGCCGGGCATTCTGGGCGCCTGTAATCCCAGCTACACGGGAGGCTGAGGCTGGAGAATCACTTGAACCTGGAACCTGGGAGGTGGAGGTTGCAGTGAGCCAAGATCGTGCCATTGCACTCTAGCCTGGTCGACAAGAGCGAAACTCCATCTCAAAAACAAAAAACAAAAAACAAAACCAACAACCCTGCACTATGACGGGTCCTTAAGGAGTGAGTCATGGGCTCTCACTGCACACCAAGGAGCCCCACATGTGAAAATGCTTCTAGAAACATTGAGTGCTTGTAAAGACCTACTGCTGGGCATATTGGCCCTATTAGAGGGAACATTTTATCACACGAAGGCACAGGTAGGTTGTTTCATGGTAATTGCTTTCCTAAACCATAGAGAAAAACGCATCACAAACCCAGCACAGTTAACTAAAGTGGTCACATTCCTCTTCTTTGATTTAAAGCTATTTAGAAATATTAGCAACTGACTTTGCCTCCAGGTTGTCGGTGCTTTTTTTTCTCGACTGTAACTTTTTCTTTTGAATCCCATGAAATATCCTGAGTACACCAGGAGGGAGGAATGAAAATATGTTTGCATTTCCAGCTCTGCAGCCAACTGCTACTCAGACAATACCCTCAATGTGTAACCTGGGAGTTTAATATTCTCAAATATTTATAATTACGCAGAAACAGCCCGAAGAAATGTTCAGCTTCTTCACAGCTGGATAATTATCTACATTCAATGTTCACAACCTCAGAGCTGCTTCTCAGAGTTTGGGGTGCCTCTCTGCCACTTGGGCATGCAGAGTACATGGGTTCTGTGGGCAGATTCCTAACGGGGCATAGAAGTGGCATGGGGAGATCCCATGCCAGCGTGCTCTCTCTCTCTCTCTCAAGAGTCCTGCTCTGTGGTACAGGCTGGAGTGCAGTGGTACAATCATTGCTCACGGTAGCCTCGAACTCCTGGGCTCAAGCAGTCCTCCCACCTCAGCCTCCCGAGTAGCTGGGACCACAGACGCATGCCACCGCACTTGGTTATTATTTTTTAAAATTTCAATAGGTTTTGGGGGAACAGGTAGTGTTTGGTTACAAGGATATGTTCTTTAGCGGTGATTTCTGAGATTTTGATGCACCCATCACCCAAGCAGTCTACACTGTACCCAATGTGTAGTCTTTTATCCCTCACGCCTCTCCCATTTTTTTTTCGGACTAATTAAAAAAAAATTTTTTTTTTCGTAGAGACGAGATCTTACTTTGTTGCCTAGGCTGGTCTTGAACTCCTGGCCTCAAGCAATCCTCCCACCTCAGCCTCCCAAAGTGCTGGGATTACAGGGGGAAGAAAGGCTCAATCATTCCCAGCAAATTCTGTAATGGACCCATGAATAAAGTCCTACATTGAAGAGTCCCTGCGGAAGTGTCTCATGGAGTCCCAGATGCTCCCCACAAAAGGATGCTGTGGTCAAAGCAGCGCTGCCTCTGTCTGCCTTTGGAGAGGCACCATGCATTCTGCTATTCATACATTTTCTCCTTGCCTGGCATCTCTCCTGCTGCTCCCTCTGTTCCACGCATATTTCCAGAAGAATATCAAGAAAACTATTTTTCCTGCATAATTACCCGCCTCCTCTCCACCCACCTCCACACATCTTTTCGGCTTTGACGTGGCAGCTGCTCTGATTTCTTTAAGTGGACTGCATTCTGCATTTACCAGGCAGGTGGAATTCTATGAAGGGAGCCTCCAGCCGAGGCTGGGAGTGAGGGCCCTGGGCATGATCATCCCTCCCTGCACCAGACCTGCGGCTCCCCTGTCTGCATTGAGGTCCTCCTTCCCACAGTCCCTGGGGCACAAAGCTATTGGTTCCTGAATGAGTGTCACCAACCAACTGCCTGGTCCTCCTTCTCCCAAGCCCAGGCTGCCTCAGTCCTGACTCTGTGACCTGAAAGGAAATTCCTCTTTAGTGAGATCAGCTAGCATCTTCTCAGTTGTAGCTTTCAGAACAGTAGACCCAAACTAGCACAAACTAAAGAGAATGGGCTGTCCCATGGAACCAAACAGTCTTGAAGCCCCAGCTGAGGTTCAGGCGGGGCACTGTCGCTGCTGCTCTGGAATTCTTTCCACCTGCCTGCCTTGGGCTATGGGCTTCATCTCCAGGCCAGCCATGCCCAACACAGCAAAGGGTTCAAAGATGTGCCAAACCCTGGTTCACGCTCTGACTGCCTGGAAGAGCCAGCAGTTCCTTCTCCAGGTGGCTTCTACAAATTATCAAGAAAGCATCTTCCCTTGCTGGGTGTGGTGGCTTACACCTATAATCCCAGCATTTTGAGAGGCTGAGGCCGGTGTATCACTTAAGGTCAGGAGTTTGAGACCAGCCTGACCAACATGGCAAAACCCCATCTCTACTAAACATACACAAATTAGCTGGACTTGGTGGCAGGCACCTATAATCCCAGCTGCTTGGGAGGCTGAGGCAGGAGAATTGCTTGGACCTGGGAGGCAGAGGTTGCAGTGAGCCGAGATCATGCCAGTGCACTCCAGCCTGGGCAACAGAGTAAGACTCTGTTTCTAAATAAATAAATAAGAAAGCATCTTCCCAGGTGCCCATCAAAAGTCCTGTGGGTCTTATTGGTCCCAATTGGGTCTGGTGCCCATCCCTTAGCCAACCACTGTGGCCAGGTGGCTGGGACATGCTGATGAATGTCAGTCTATCAAGGCCTGTCCCTGAAGCTGGGAGAGGGTGAGAAGTCCCTGAGCTGTATGGGGGAAGAAAGGACACCCAAATCAAATGTGGAATACTGGACCAACGGAAGTGGGAATGGACAGCAGAAGATCTTGGAAGTGAATGTTCACTTCTCTGTGTAACTTGCAATTGAGTCCCCTCACCTTCTGCCTCTGAGAAGCAAAGACCAACCTCTTTCTTTGTGCACCTCAAGAGGCAGTTTTCTAAGCAGGGTCCTTGCCTGTCTCGTGGACTTGCTGTATCCCCAGCACCAAGGACACCGACTGGCCAATGAGGTGCTCCACCAGGATGAGCGGATGGAAGGAACCCAAGAGAGGAAGAAATAGGCATGCTTGCCTGCAGGTGGCTTTGGGGCTCTGGATAGATAGAGACAGCCCTGGGATCCATGGAACCGTCTGGATGAAGGGCCCAGGACCCAGAGTGACACATGTCTTCTTCCACAGGCCTCACTCTAAGGTGGCCGGGAAGAGAGCTGTTACCAACAGAAGTGTGGATGCCTGTCACTTAAGTGTTTCACTGCACGGGTCTGCGGGAATCATTCAGTAAGATTCTAGAAGCATTCATGGGACATCTATTCATGCCAGGCCCGGGCATGGGCACTGCAGAGCCCACAACAAGTGGACAAAGCACAGCTAGTCTCTGCCCTGCAAGGGCACACCTGGCAAAATCAGGTCCCCACAAAGCCAGGACAAAAACCATGGGAACCCTGTCATCAGAGGTGGGGAGAGCCACCCCACGGCCCCCTCGGCACCTCTGCCAGCCTTTCTCTCAGCAGCCAGAATGAGCCGCCAGGTGCCCTCATATAGCTGTGAGGTGTGCCAGACACTATTCTTTTATACACCTATGATTTGTGACAAGTCGACTCCAACTTGCATAATAGGACACTAAAAGGCTTAGAGGGAATTTTTCCCAAATTGGAGACTCAGAGATGCCCAGATAATCTCTCCTTGGTTGCCGCTAAGTCTTATATCAGTCATGGTGTTCCGTTTCTTTGGTATGTCTGTGATAATATGTAAATTATGAGCTTCCCATTACACCAAGGCTTGGAGGGAAGAGCCTTTCCTGAATTTTCCTTTTGAGGAAGTTGGTGACTTGGAGACAATGTTCTTCTCCCTTGAGGACTCTTCTTAGTAAGTGGAGTAAATTTTTTCTTCACTAAAAAAATCTATTTCTCCAAATTTTTGAAAATTGGTTTAATATTCTGCTTTAACCTCTGTGCCCAATTCCAGAGACACCAACTCCCATCAGGACCAGGCTGTGTTTAGCACCCCATGCAAGCGAACGCCCCAGCAGTGTCTGGGACATTCTGGGGGCCTCACCTGAGTGTCAGACACATCTGCCATTTCTCCAGCCACGAAGCAGCCTCCGCTGCCTGTGACCCTGAGGTGTTGCTCAGGTCAGCATGGTCAGCCTCTCTAGCCACCACCCCTGAGGCCCCTTTCTGGCTTCCAGAAAGGATTCTCTCTGCTTGGGGCCGAGAGATTAGTCCTGACAGGGCTTGTTGGCAGATGTCAGGGCTTTTCAAAATCAGAGCCCCAGAAATGGCTTGCCTTTGGCCACTGTCGTGATCGCCCCTGAGTTGTTGCCACCAACCCCTCCCAGCCAATAGCAGCCAACCCTATTATCTAGTCCCCTGCTCCTTCGGCCTCAACGTGGGCAACTGGGTCCCTACACTGGAACCACCCAGGCAACCCCTCATAGGGTAGCCCAATGGTCTTGCTTTGCCTGGGTCTCAGGGGTTTCCTGGGATGCGAGACTTTTAATGCTAAAACTTTCAATGGGGTAGTTGATTACACATCTCAGAATCCAGAGTTCTCTCAAGCATCTGCAGAGAGAAAAGAAGTCTCTTCCGTTACCAGTATCCTCCTTCTGTTCCCAAGAGTAATCACTTCTAAGACAGTTATCTAAGGAAATTATTTGTTTCTGGGGCAACTGCCCCTCGATCATCAAATAATCTGAGAGGAGTCCACGTCCCGGCATCTGGGGAACCCCACTCTGGGCATCACCCCTCATCAGAGCCAATGTGAAACAGTCCCTGTTAACAGAGCCTACTGCTGGCAGCTCAAGAGGCTGTGAAGTGCCTGGGAAAGACAGGGTGAGGCAGAGCTATTACTGAGCATCTTCTCTATGTCCAGTGCTGTTCTAGAGCCTGCAGGCAAGAGGAGGCTGGTAACCTATGACTCATGCCCTCAGGACTTACAAACCCCAATTCTTGGGAGGAAGCCCTAGTTATTTCCTACTGGGATACCCGGCTTGACTTGAAATCTGAATGTTGGGGTGGATCTTGCAAAGAAAGTTAAAACCTAAATTCCACCTGCCCCTTGAGAAGAAGCAACCTTTGCCCCTCTTCAAGGGAAAGGCTTTCCTGTGAACAACCTCCATTTCTCCACGGAACACTCATTTCCAGAGCCAACTCCTAACCTTATGAAAACACAAGGACATTAATGAATGTCAGTCTATCAAGGCCTGTCCCTGCAGCTGGGGAAGAATGTCTTTGCTTTGCCCCTTACTCCTTGGTTAAAGTTGCCTACAAGCCAAATAAATCCCAGCTCTAGGTCATCAAGCTGGACCCATCAAGGTATAAATGAAGTTTCCAATTCAAGCTTCTCCCTGGGCAGGCTGTGTTGCTAACACACGAGTCGGCTCTGCTTGTTGACACGTTCAGCAGGAAAATGCATGCATCGTGCCACCTACATTCTCGCCCTGTCCCCCAGGCTGGAGTGCCATGGTGCGATCTCGGCTCCCTGCAACCTCCGCCTCCAGGGTTCAAGCGATTCTCATGCCTCAGCCTCCTGAGTAGCTGGGACTACAGGCACGCACCACCACGCCCGGCTAATTTCTTGTATTTTTAGTAGAGATAGGGTTTTGCTGTGTTGGCCAGGCTGGTCTCGGACACATGGCCTCAAGTGATCCACCCACCTCAACCTCCCAAAGCGCTGGAATTACAGGCATGAGCCATGCCACTCAGCCAGAAAACCAAGGTTTAAAGATGTTTGTGATTTGTTTATGTTCTTGTAGCCAGAAAATAGTAGAAGCAGATTTGGGGGACCCAGGAAATTCAACTCCAGAGGCCACCAGCATAACCACCAACTTATAATAGGGACCCCTCCTAAAAGATAAGGAATCTTGCAACATTTGATGAGTGAACAATGTATTTGGGAAAACTTTTTTTTTCTGGGAAGAGAGTCTAAGGCACTCATCAGATTTCGAGAAGGCACCAGGACCCCATACAAGTTGAGGAGAAAGTCTGGGGGTGATGGACCATGCTGGGCTCACCTCCCTTTTACTCTGAAGATAGAAAAGGGCTCAACTGTGACATCGGGACTTGGGTGCAACCCCAGGAACACACGTGGAGGGTGGGGGCTGTGTGGACTAGAACGCACCCTGAGGAGTTGTGAAATCATCTTCCCTGGAAGTGTTTGTGAAGGGGAGGGTCCCCGACTCGGCTGCCAGGACTCAAGTTTGACCTACACAAAGCTCTGGGAATGTGAACCCTTGAGGACCCCAACTTAGGGAGGGAGGAAACAGCTTGAGCTTTACCAGCCCAGCAAGGCCACTTGCTCCCATGCCTGCCTGCCTGATACAGGCCATATACCCGATATTCACTGGGTGCCTGCAGTTTGAAGCACTATGCTAAGTGCTGCATGTGAAAGAGCATCTTCATTTCTCACAATAGCCCCAGGGGATAAATACTATTATCATCCCCATTTTGCAGGATGAACTGAGCCTTCAAGATGCTAATGGGCTTGCTGAGGTCACCCAGCTGGTAAGAGCTGGCCCTGGGATTTGAACCCCGGCC